>NC_000009.12:65645191-66018289 GCF_000001405.40 Homo sapiens | reverse complement strand
ATGGGGCATTTATCTACAGGAAAGGAAATCAGCATATTTAGGAGATACCTGCACCCTCATGTTTATAGCAGCCACTATTCACAGTAGCCAAGATTAGAATCAACCTAAATGTCCAAAAACATAATAGATTAAAAATGTAGTATCTATTCACAGTGGAGTACTATTTAGCCGTAAAAATAATGAAATCCTGTCCTTGGCTGCAACATGGATCAGCCTGGAACACTACATTAAGTGAAATAACCTAGGCACAGAATTATAAATCTTGCATGTTCTCACTCATATGTGGGAGCTAAAAAAAAACGAACTGAGCTCATGGAAGTGGAGAGTAGAATTCTGGTTATTACAGGCTGGGGAGAGCAACAGGGAGAAGAGGACAGGGAGAGGTTGGTTAACAAATACAAACTTACAGCTAGATAGGAGTAATGAGCACACCTATGACACCAAGCTGGGAATCGACAAGTGTGACAACTCCTCCACGTCCCTGAAGATGGGATACACGCAGGGCGCTCATCAGAGCGGCCAGGCCTTCGGCATGGGCCTACAGATATACGACCCCAGGTACTACTGGGGAGGCCCAGTGGCCCACGGCGCTCCCTCGGGCTCCGGCCCCTGAATATCTCCCTTACTACCAGGAGGAGACCGGCTACTGAGGCTCCCAGCACGCTCTCTCCACACATGATCTCCCCTCTGGGTGTTTGGGTTTTTCTGTGTTTTCATCTTTTTTTTTTTAAACCTGTTCAGTGCTGCCAGTCAACCGAGGGTCTGTGAGTGGCAGCGTGGGATCAGGCAGCAGGGATTTTTCCCCACCTCCCCCTGCTTTGGTTCCTTCTCAGGACTGAGCCACCGGGCTGTGGGGGAAGGGATCAAGGCCATATCCTGATGCGTGTAGGGTGAAGGTGCCCGCTGGCACTTCCAGGCTGTAGGCTGAGCTGTGCTGGAGAGAAGAGACCTGGACATGGAGGGAACCGGTCCCTGAAGGTTTCTGGTTGCCTCTCCTCTTCCCCTTTTCTCAGCCTATCAGTAAGTGGTTTCTGTACCCGCAAAAGTTTCAGGAAGTATTAACAAAATAAAAAAAATTTTTTTTCCCCGAGGAATGGGGCGGGGACAGTGGAGAGGGTGCTAGGAAGTGTGTCCCCTGGGAGAGGGGGCTCAGCCACGATGCTAAAATATCTCAGGCTCCTGAGCGGCTGGATTTCCCTAGGACCCTCAGACCAACAGACCTCAGACCTACGCTGGGGCTCCTTGAGGAAACTGAGGCCCGTACAAGGTAGTGGAATTTTGAGTTGTCAGGGTTAAGCCTGACCCATCTCCATCCTGCTCCCCCACCTCCGTGGCCCTCAGTAGGGCTTTTTGTTTGTTTTTGTTTTTTTGAGATGTAGTCTCACTCTGTTGCCCAGGCTGAAGCGCACTGGAGTAATCTCGCCTCACTGCACCTCGGCCTACCGGGCTCAAGCGATTCTCCTGCCTCAGCCTCCAGAGTAGCTGGGACTACAGGCGCCCACCACCACGCCTGCCTAAATTTTTTGTATTTTTAGTAGAGACGGGATTTCACCATGTTGGCCAGGCTGGTTTGGAACTCTTTCCCTCATGTGATCCGCCTGTTTCGTCCTCCCAAAGTGTTGGGATGACAGGCGAGAGCCACCGCGCCCAGGCCCTCAGTAGGTCTTAAGGAGCCCCGGCCCTCCTTCTCCCCTTCCGGGCCTGACCAGGTCTACTGCTCTATCTCTCCCGGCCCCAGGCCACGCCAAGTACTGCACAGAGCCCTCCACCCAGGGGCCCTGCGCTATGAGATAATGTGAAATACCGACTGTGGACCAAACGCAATAAAACCTCTGTTTTTAAGAAGAAAATGAAAAGACTTAAAATTGGCATTTTAAGACTTTACTATATATTATTAAATATATATTAAATATAAATGTTATACAATTTAGCGCCTCTATCTCCCAGTCTCTGGTTAGGAACTTAACTTTCCTAAGCCTCAATTAGTAAACACTTATGGCCTAGCCACGTTGACCCGCCTCTCTCCTAACATCATCCAGTACATTTCGGAAGCGCATGCAAAACTCTCCCACCTTCTGTTTCAACAGATATGTCAACTGATACAATTATACAATAATTGCATAATATTAGATTTAATCTCACAATCACACTCAGCTTGATTACTAACCCTTCTCCTACACCTTGCTCACCTAAATTTATCTACATTTTCTATGAATTGAAATAGCTTAGAAATGTATGTTGTCTGTGTATTATAGTGTAAGTTATTGTAATATAGAAATATGGACTTTCTTTAACTCCCATTTGCTGCCTAGGAAATACCAATATTTTCTAAGCATGGCAAGTGTTTCCAAGCATTCAGAAGTGGAGAGTGTAGGAAATCCACTGCAGAATGAGGTCTGCTCGTCATCCTCTCAGTCTCAACTGCTCTCCCTCCTTCATCTCTCTCTGTTTCATTGGTGAGTATAGAAGATCAGGCATTTTTATATGAAATGAAAATTGATGGAACTAAGGTGTTGATTTGAATATCCAACCGACCTTTTATTGAGTGTCTATTACAAGTTAAATTGTGTTGTAGAGAACAGCTCAGGAAACGAATGCTTGACATTGATGTACATAACAGAAATACAAACATGCCATTAAAAAATCAGACCTCTTATGAGCATCCAGATTCTCACGTAAGTTTTGTGAAGCTCTTTCAAAATGAGAATGTAAAATTTCAAAAAAAACATCATTTTCACAAGTCATTCTTGAGACAGAAAAGTGGAAATAGAAGTTCATATATGGTTGTTTCACTAGCTCTAATCTTATGTACAGTTTTTAGTCAGTTGACAGCCATATAATTCTTAGTTTTATATACTGATAGTCATTAGAAATTACAAATTTTAAAAAATATTCATGTCTCATTCTACGAATCAATGTAAAAATTTCATTCACTTGGTTATATTTCTTCATTTTACCTGGCCTTGACTACTTCTTTCCTGCCCAGCATTAAATTTAATTAATGTCTAATTTGTTTACTTGGTTTAGTTATTTTGGCCATGTTCAGTACACTTGTTATGAAGCAGGCATGTAGGAATGTTGACAAGTTTATGGTCCTCACTCTTCCAAATCCCTAATGGCGGCACCCCAACAGACACATACCACAATGTAAATACATACACATACACACAATCCACACCCACCCATACTCACCCACGTACACACAGACACACACACACACTCCAGTGGATCAACACATAAAACACTCCACAGGCAGGCATCGTACAGCAGGGATCTCTTAGTGCACTACACACTTCTGTAAATTATCAGGACTCTTCAATTGAGGTGAGTCTACAGAGATTTCAAAAGCTATTTGAGTGTTAAGCTATCTAACTAGTGGTTGGACACTATTTAAATAATGCATTAAACACAACTCTTGAGGCTCTGAAGAATTTCTGTGCTTTCCAATTCACCAGGAGTTACAAGGTCCTGAAAACCACAACTGTGTTACATCCTTTAATAGATAAAGCAAAGCTGATTTTAATGTGAATATACTTTATAGTTATTTCTATTCCTGTTAATTTTTGTTTGCTTGTAATACACATTTTTATGTAACTGGGAGTAAGGAACATCTTAGGAAAAAGAAAACAAAAAATAAAATTTCGCTGTTTACACTGTGCCTTGGTCCAGTAACCCTGCACTGCACATATACACTTTAAATTGGTGCCTTGGGGAACCACTTCGGTATTTCTTTTTTTTTTTTCTTTTATGTTGTAAACCTTTCTTGTAAAAATAAACAAAAAACAAAAAAAAGACAAACAAACACATTAGACTATGTCAACATGAGGTCAGGATAATCAATATTACTGTCTGAACCTCCACATCTTGTCCCACTGAAAAGGCTTCAGAGATAATTACACTCATGGAGTTGTTATTTCCTATGGTAATGATGCTTCTTTCTGTAATACTTCCTGAAAGATTTGCTTGAGGCTATTGTACAGATTTAACTGTTTTTCCATAAGTAGAAGGGGTAATTCTAATGATAAAAATTGTAGTATATAAAACAAATAAACCAGTAACAGAGTTTATCATTATCTAATACTATGTACTGCACACAATTGTATGTGTACTTTAGTATCACTGAAAGAAGAGCAAATTTGTTTACACCATCATCACCACAAACAGTAGCAATACATTTTGCTACAATGTTAGGTGGCTTACAATATCACTGGATGATAGAAATTTTTCAGGGCCATTAGAATCTTATGAGGTCAACATCATACATATATGGTCTGTCATTGACCAAAACATAATTATGTGGCACATGAGTGTATATATCAGATACATCAATCAATATATTCAACATTTCTCCCCTGCTTATCCTAATGATAAAGATGATATAAAATGTAATTTAAAAATATAAGAAGAAATGGTGTAATGGTCTCTATATTAAAAACTAGAGTTAAATTGTTTAAAAAATTATAAGTAGATGCTAAATACACAGATTGAAATACATTAAATACATTAAGAATGTTTGTTCTGTTTCTTATATATTGCTGGTTTTCTGTCATTGAAAGTTTAATTTAGACCTCCTTATTTCATGTAATCACCCCAATAATTTGTCTTACAAACAATTAACAGAAGTTAACACTATATAACATAGTTGTATATTGTCTTACTCTTACAATGGGATACTTTACTTTTCATGAGGGAAACAGTAAGCTATAAAGTTTACACAATCTGAGATGTAGATAAAGATTGATGTGCAAGATTGCTTCTAGATATATCACTTTATAATGGTAACATAAAAAAAGGAAAGTAATGTGTAAAATATCTTCTAATGCAACCCTTTCCACTCTTCCTGACTCATTGGCCTTTTTTTTTTTTTGACTTCTCACGAATACATTAGGAGGCTCCCTCATCCTCTGGCTTCAGGTTAGGTTCAGCCTGTGGAGAACCCTGTAAGAAGGCAGAAAGGAAGAGGAGAAAAGGGTCATGGTGTTTATTCTGTTGGTCTCTTCCCCATGAGGCTGTCTTCCCTACATGTGTCTCTTTACAGAAGGTCACTTTTGTTCTCCAGGTGGTCTGATCTTCTACTCCTTCTTTTTCCATGTTTTGTTTTTATCCTCACTGAGCGCCAGTTCCAGATTTATTGCTTACAATTCTTTCATGCTCCTTCCTTTGTATGGAAGCATTCCTCAAATTATTCTTAGTTGTATTTACCAACTGTTTTCTGTTGAAATTCTGACTAATCCAGAATATAAAACTTTTTAGAGTCCAGTCATTCTTTGCCATGTTCTGTTTCCCCCCATCTCTGTGGCTATGAAAACATGTATCAAATATTTTACCTGACTCGCAGGAAGGGGAAGTCCCACTGCTTTGCCTGTTTTGGATAGGTAGCATCAGTTAAACTAAACCTTTCATAAACTACTGATACATCAGTGGTTTCTTGTTACATAGAATGAACAGTATTCACCAGAATAACATCCTGACTAGCAAACACATCAATTGCCACTCGATGTTCTAAGTGTTATGAGTAAAATAAAAACTGAATAAAGATTTTGCCCTCAGGATGTTTATGTTCTCCTACGTGAGAAAGATAATTAAAAATACAAAATATAATATCAATTTTTGAATCATAAGTGTTACGCAGAAAGTGAATTAGGGTAAATTTCCATGCTTGTAGTTTTGCTTATGGTTTACTATTTGTATTCATTTTTTAGGACTGTCATACAAAATACCACAAACTGGGTAGCTTAAAACATCAAAAGCTTATTCTCTCAGTTTTGGAGGTCAGAAATTCAAAATCAAGATGTTAGCAATACCATGCTCCCTCTGAAACCTGAAGGAGAGAATCTTTCTTTACCTCTTGTCTTCAGGTGCCAGTTATCAATTCTTGGCACATTTTTTGGCATGCAACTGCATCAGTTTGTGACTCTGTCATCACAGGACATTCTCCCTATATGTATGTATCTCTGTGCCCAATTCTTATAAGGACAGCACTCACCTGACCTCATCTTAACTAGTGACATCTGCAATAGCTCTATTATCAAATAAGTTCACATTTTAAGGTACTGGAGTTTAGCACTTCATTGTATCTTTTGAACAGACACAATTAAGCTCATATGTAATAAATATTAGTATTCAAATTAAGTATATCCTACACTTAAAATATACTGATAAAATAATTTGTAATTTCTAAAGACCTCATAATCATACAATCAATATTTATAACAGATTTCTCTTCATTTTGTTATCTATAAATCTGTATTTTTGTTTTTAGTTACAACCATGACATCCCCAGAAAGCTTTTCTATACAGAGAAGTGGCTCTGAAACTGTTATCAACATCTAAACTTTTGTAAAAATTGAAACTATTGTAATTTCAATTTACCTGAAGAATGTTTTCTTTTGATGTATTTGAACTGAGTATCCCTGTGATTGACAGGATGAAATGTTTATGAAATAGATCAATATTGCTCATTGTGATATTCATCATTGAATAATTATATTTTTATTTTGTCAATTCTGAGTTATTTGGAAACAAAAATCCACAGAATGTTACCTTATATAAATATGTTAATACATTCTTGATTATTAATAAATCTGTTACTACAATGTCATATCCTCTCAGTAATAAAAGCATATTTAATTTATGCTTTTATCCATTAGAAAACAGTGAAGCTAGAAATTATTTAAAATTTTCCCCTAAGAAATATGTGGAAAAAATAAGAAAATTTATATTTTAAAATGAAATTGCATTAAGAAGCCAACATTGATGCATTTATTGACTAAAGACCAGAGTTTACATTAGGGTTCACTCTTTGTATTATACAGTTCCATGGGTTTTGCTAAATGCATGATGTCATGTATCCACCATTACAGAATCATAGATAATAATTTCACTGCCCTAAAAATTCCCTGTGCTCCACCTACTTATCCCCCACATGCCCAACTCCTGGTAATGACTAAACTTTGCACTAGCTCTATAGTTTCGCCTTTTCTAGAAGATTATATACTTGGACTCATACAATATGTAGACTTTTCAGACTGGCTTCTTTCACATAGAAATATGCATTCAAATTTCCTCCATGTCTAATCATGACTGGATGGCTTATTTTTTTACCCCTGATAATTATGTCATTGTATGGATATAGCAGAGTTTGTTTATCTAATTAAGGAATGATTACCTATTAAAGGATAAGCTGGGTGCTTCTAAGTTTTAGTAAGTAAGAATATAGCTGCACATGCAATAAACATTTGCATGCAAGTTTCTGTGTGGTACAGTATACCATTTCTTTGTTCTTAAATACTTTTCACTGGTGTGAACCAATGAGATGCTAACATTGCATTGCTCGTACTTGGTTGGTTTCTAAACTTTACTTACTTTTACAATTTTTAAAGAGAAGTTTCTATTGCCAGTTTTTTAAAGTGATATGCTCTGCTGGCCTTGACATAACAATACACCATCATTAGCTTTTAAGTCCTTAATATGCTCAAAAAATTAGAGAGCAACTATATCCATGAACCACCATCTAGATTGCAGGAATTAAAGGGAGAACAAATGTTCATTGAATAGATGCAATTTACCAGGACTTATGCTAAGCATTACAGATCTATAATCTCTTTATATATATATATATATATATATATATATACACACACACACACACACACACACACACACACACATATATATATAAGAAAATTAAGGTGAGAAAGTAATAAACAATGCTAATTAGCTCTGTTTTTAAAAGTAACAATCCAAACTTAAACTCAAATTATTTTTACTGTAAAACCACTGTAGAAAAATAAAAACAATTAAATTCAGAGTTCTATATTGCATACTAACTGTAAACCACATCATTGTTCAGATTGATTTTTTTAACAGATCAAAACATATTTAATCCGTTGCATTGAATTTAATGCATTGTGTTGCTACTCCTTATTTTATTTTGTTTTATTTTACTCAATTTTATATTTTATTTTCTTTCTAGTAGACTATTAGCAGGTACATCTGAATACCAGAATGTAAAGAAAGGAAGAACAGATCCAAATAAATATTTAAAGTAATAATGGCTAAGAATTTTCCAAAATTAACAGCAGATACTGAATACAGATTCAAGAAGTGCAGAGAATACCAAGCAGAATAAATGTCAAAAATCTATACTTAGGTATATATTTTTTAAACCAAAGAAAATCAAAGACAGAGAGACATACTGAAAGGAGCCAAGGGTAAACAAGAAAACTTACCTGTAAATAAATAAGGCTAAGAATTACAGTTGGTTTTTCATTAGATGAAAGGAAGAAGAGAGTGGGGGGAAATACTTAAAGTGTTGAAAGTGAAACACACAGAGACACACACACCATCTACATTTCTTTTCTTTTTTTTTTTTTTTGGAGACTGGAGTGCAGTGGTGTAATCTTGGCTCACTGCAACCCCCACCTCCTGGGCAAGCAATTTCTCCTGCCTCAGCCTCCCGAGTAGCTAGGACTACAGGTGCATGCCATCACACCTGGCTAATTAGTTTTGCATTTTTAGTAGAGACGGGATTTCACTGTATTAGCCAGGATGGTCTCAATCTCCTGACCTCGTGATCTGCTCGCCTCGGCCTCCCAAAGTGCTGGGATTACAGGTGTGAGCCATCGCATCTGGCCTACATTTCTATATCTAATAGAATTATCCTGCAATAGTGTAGAAGAAATAAAGACCTTCTCAGACAAACAAAAACTGAGAAAGTTTATGGTCAGTAGACATGCCTTGCAAAGAATGTTCAAAGAAGTTCCTAGGGAGAAGAAAAAGGGTATAGGTCAGAAATTGGTCTATATAAAGAAAGGAAGAATATCATAGAAGGAATGAATGAAACTAAAATAAAATGTTTTATTTTCTTATTCTTAATTGACCTAAAAGATAATATTTTGTTTAAAAGGAATAACTGTAACAATGTATTGAATGAATATAGTATATAAATGAATACATTAAATGGCAGTAGTGTCATAAATAATGGTAGGAATTGGGATTACTTGTATCTTAGTTTGCTCAGGCTTTTATAACAGGATACCATACACTAGGTGGCTTATAATCAACAAAAATGCAGTTTTCAGTTCTGAGACTGGGAAGTCCAAGGTCAAGCCATGTGCATATTAAGTGTCTGGCAAGGGCTTGTTCATAGAGGATGGGTCACTGGGATTTCACACGGCAGAAGAGCAAATTAGCTCTCTAGGGTTTCTTTTGTAAAGGCACTAATTCTATCCATAACAGTTTGCCCTCATGACCTAATCACTTCCCACAGACCCATCTCCAAATACTCTTACCATAGGGATTAGGTTTCAACATACACATTTTGGGGGAATAGGGGAATACAAATATTGAGTCTGTAACACTCTTGTAAAGTGATATTTGTGTTGAGTTATTCAAAGTCTTATTTAAAGGTAGATTGAGATTAGTTAAAAATGTGTATTGCAAACTCACATAAATCACTAAAACTGTTCTAAAGTATAACTGACATGCTAGGAGAGGAAATGTAATGGGATTATTTTAAGTGTCAATTAAAACAATAGAAATAAGAAAAAGAGTGATTGTTGGGAGGCAAAGAATAAATGATATGAATAGAAAATAGTTATAAACATAATAAATACCAGCCCAACTTTTTTACCACCCAATAATTACTTTAAATGTGCATGATCTAAATATACCAATTTACAAGACAGCTGTTGTCAGAGAAAAACAAAATAAGACATCTAGTTAACAATCTTTTTCTTTCTTTATTTAATAAACCTGAACAACATTTTACATCTAATTTAATCCCAGCACTTTGGGAGGCGGAGGCGGGCAGATCACGAGGTCAGGAGATCGAGACCATCCTGGCTAACACGGTGAAACCCCGTCTCTACTAAAAATACAAAAAAATTAGCCGGGCGTGGTGGCGGGCACCTGTAGTCCCAGCTACTCGGAGAGGCTGAGACAGGAGAATGGCGTGAACCCGGGAGACGGAGGTTTCAGTGAGCCGAGATCGCGCCACTGCACTCCAGCCTGGGCAACAGAGCGAGACTCCGTCTCAAAAAAAAAAAAGAAAAGTTGATGAGTAATTTTTGTCATATGGAGTTCAGTGATATTTATAATAAAAATTGCATACCACACAACTGATCAAAGCACAGCATATCCGTGCCACCGTAGTCTTACTTATGGCTACCTGTCCAGAGCTCACTTTGAAAAGTCACTTCCCTACTGAAATTCATGACACTTATGGAATTGTCAGAATCTATAAAGAATGTATAAGGAATTTTTATAAATTATGAATTACTCTAAGTAAGATATTTTGTTAAAGCAGCAGGAATGTCCTAAAACACCATGTGATGGGAACAAGAAATGACATCCTTAGTCATAAGCAAAACTTGTTGATGAAATGGCTAAAAAATAAATATGCCCAACTCAGCATCATTAACAAGGGAAATCTCATAGGTGATAAGGAACAGAACCTGGCCCTAAGGTTTCTAATAGGGCCAAAGTCTCCCACTTCATGTTTTACTCCTTTGGGTGTCTCTATGCAGTAAACTCACTAGTTTAGGTACTAGGGAACAGTTGGTTTAGAAAGGTCATGCCAAAAGGTCAATATAAATTTCTTCACTGGCCTTCTTTTAGAGTAATGAGACCTTTCTGTAAAATAAAGATGGTTTTGTTGCATATCCATACAGCAACCTATCATTTATAGGAGCTATTCTTTCTGCAACATCCATATTAATACCCAGATGAAAAGTGAACCAAAATAAAAATAAGATAAAAAGATGAATGAATTTTTTTTCTTAATTTGGGCAAAATTACTTCAAAATGTTTACAGTATATACAACATCTCAAAATATGTAATTGGAAAGAAAATTTTACAAACTAAAAATATTTACATTGTGCATGTTTTGTTTTTTTATTTAGAAATAAAAGCCAAACAGGTACCCAGAGAAGCCAAATACAAGATAATAATTACTTTGAACACTTTTTCATTCAAGCAAATTTCTAACTGTGAATGTAGGGTTACAAGTACATTCCAGAAAGTGAAGGTACATTCGGTCTACTAAATTTCTTGGCCATGATTTTCTAAATTTTACTGAACTTGGAATCACAGCACTGGGGAATATTCATTGGGGAATATAAAAAGTAGCTTTCTCATTTTTGCAGTGATTTCATATAAAAGAAGAAACATTATTTATATAAAATATTTTCTTCACATGAAAATTTGGTTGGTATATCTGTGCTATTTTACCTTTTGCTAGATATATGTTAATAACTTCAGAAAATATAATACGTGACACATTTTGATTTATCTTCTGTCTTCATATATCCCAAAGCTTGAGTTAAAATGAAGATAAATCATAAAACACTCAATGATTTTGTATGTTATATTCAAAATAAGGCCACATTGATCCAAAATCACTCTGTAGTATTCAGTTACTTAGAGGAGCATGTTAAAGTTTTCATACCCATATAGGATAATCAATTGTAAGAATTTCTGTCATTTGCCTCAATGGTGGTAACAATGTTTATTTATTAGTAGAATAAAGAGAATTTATTTCCAAGAAATGCAAGAGTTTTATGTATTTTGCATTTAAAAATTAAGTACAGTTCAATGAGTGTTTTGATTTAAAAAAATAAAAATGAACAGAATTTTAAACTACACTTATGATGTAGCCATGTGGCCAAAATACTAACAATCTGACTTAAAATATATCTTCATCTAATTATTCCTTCTGTGCAAAAGATGAATTGGATTTGTTGGGAAGGATGCTTTGAAAGCATGAATTTAATTTTCCTTCTTCCAGGGTATCTATTTCTTCCATCATTGTAAGTAGGAATTGCTTGCTCACATGCAAAAATGCAAACACTGGTTTTTAAGTGCTATCTGGAAGAAATACTAGAATACATATATTCTACATACATATAATATTTACAATACATATTCAAGATATCTATAGATACATAAAAATAAACATTTAATGAAAATTGAAAATATTAGAAAGGCCTAAGGTACTTCAGGTAGGTAATCTCATTTATTTTTACAGGAAAAGGATATTTCCCAATAACATTAAAGCTTATATAAAATTTGATAATTGGTTAAGTCAAGCTTCTAATAAGTGGTAAATAAAGATTTACTTGTTAGTATCCATTATATGAGTATTAGTTCATTCTCACACTGCCATGAAGACATACGCAAGACTGGAGACTGAGTAATCTATAAAGAAAATAGGTTTAATTGACTCACAGTTCTGGGGAGGCCTCAGAAAACTTACAATCATGGCAGAATGCAAGAGAAGCAGGTACCTTCTTCACAGGGTGGCAAGACTCAATGAGTGCAACCAGGGGAAATGTCAGATGCTTATAAAACCATCAAATCTCAAGATAACTCGCTCACTATAATGAGAACAGCATGGGGGAAACCACCTTCATGATCTACTTACTTCCATCTGGTCCTGCTCTTGACACATGAGGATTATGGAGATTACAATTCAAGGTGATATTTGGGTGGGGACACAGAGCCAAACCCTACAGTATGTATGGTATCCTACTATGTATTGCTTGAATCTACACAATACAGTTCTGTCTCTTCAAATGGATTCCAGCTGAGGATAGTAAGGAACAAAATTGACACATAATATGTAGAAAATAATGTATCAACAAAATGTATTATATAATAATTTTCTTCATTAAATAATATTTTTTAGTAAGAATTATGTTAGGTGCTGTAGGAATAAGAGAATAAAACAAGTGTGTATTTTACTCTTTGGAGAAAAGTAATACAAAAAAGAAAGCCAAAACAAAGCAGAATCAAAGTTGGACCTTCATATAGATATGCATGTAAATATATATGCATTTGTGGACTTTCAAAAAATTTAAAAACATTTTTATTAGAGAAATGATAAAACTTTATGATAAAATTGCATTCAATTTGGATTTAGAAAGGGTAAAATTATGTGTCTTAGACCATTTTGTGCTTCTAAAACAGAATACCATAGATTGAGTAATTTATAAAGAACAGAAATTTACTTCTTACCATTCTGGTGGCTAGGAAGTCCAAGATCAAGATACCAGGCTCTGAGGTCTTCTTGATGCATCCTCACATGGTGGAAGGTGGAAGGGGCAAGAGAGAACCAACTCTCTCTGTCAAGACCCTTTATAAGATCACCTCATCCCATTCATGAGAGAGGATCTCTCATGGCCTAAACACCTCTTAAAGGCCTGACCTCTTAGGACTATCACATTGGCAACACTTGAATTTTGGAGGAGATTCATTAAAGCCATGTCAGTATCCATTTCTTACTAAAGGTAAAAAATAATTTGAAGTATGAAGGGAACACAAAATGAATAATACCTCCAAGAAATATTCATTCATTTGTCCACTCACTCACTAAATAAATATTGAGAGACTGACTTGTAAAAGCTAATTTACTCTCTTCTAAGCTCCATCATACCAGGCTGGGAAACTCCCAGTAGATAATATGGGCACTAAGATCCAACCTAATATAAACTCAGATCAATTTACTTCAGATATCAGGATAAAAAGTTCTGCACCATTGTGAGCCAGGGTTCTTCCAGACAGCAGTACAAGGAAGTAGAAGAGACAGAGTTGATCCAAAAAGCAATGAGCCTGGGAAGTTTTTATAGCAGGTAATTTCAAATAAATCATTTTCTATACAACTGAGATTCTTCTATTCATGAATAGAACCTTCTTAAATGCACTCCAGCATTTCTCCAAAGTGGGGCATTGTAAACAAATAAAAAGAGGGCCAGAAATGGCTATTTATCTCACTTAAGCGTAATAGAGCATCCAATACCAGCATCCAGGCTGGGTCAATGGAAATCTGGTTCCAGACTTTGCTTTTGCCTTTGAAGATAATTTTTTTTTTCTTTAAACTGTATTTGAAGTGAGATTCTATATGGACTGCTATGTAAGGGAAGGGATTCTTTGAAAATGGGTCCAACCCACTAGAAGAAGAGATAACAAATGGAGATAAGCTGAACCCTGATTACTTTACTTGGAGCCTGAAATCACCTTTAGCTTAAATCATACTACCCTTGGGCTTAGTTACTTTAGTCTACTTTTTTTTTCCATTTATGTTACTTGCCCCCAAATGAGTCTTAATGGGGACAAATGGTCATTCAGGTACAGGCCTCAGAAGAGCATTCCTGATGAGAGGAAACATTTCCAAGGAATGTTAATGAGATTGTTCTGGGACAGGATAAATAAAAGAAATACATTTAGAGGAGTTCTACATTTAAGGAACAGCACAGAAAGAGAAACGTACAAAACAGCTAGTGGTGGAACAGTAATAGAATGAAAGGGAAAACCAATTTCTTTGAAACGTTTACAGTCATGCCCCACATAATAATGCTTTGGTCAATGACAGACTGCATTTAAAATAGTGGTCCCATAAGATTCTAATGGAGCTGAAAAATATCTTCCATGTAGTGACATAATAGCCATTATAACTTCAAAGCTCAATGCATTACTCAAGTGCATTTGGTGATGCTGATATAAACAAACCTATCGTGCTGCCAATCATAGACAAGAATAGTGCATATAATTATGTACAACACATAATACTTGATAATGATAATAAATTACTATGTTACTCATTTATGTATATACTTTACTATTTAATGTTATCTTAGGGTATACTCTTATTTATTAAAAAAAATTATCTGTAAGACTGTCTCAGGCAGGTCCTTCAGGAGATATTTTAGAAGAAGGCATTGTTATCACAGCAGACTACAGGTCCATGCATGTTATTGCCCCTGAAGACCTTCCAGTGGGATGAGGTGTGAAGGTAAAACACAATTATATCGATGATCCTGATCGTGTGTAGGCCTAGGCTAATGTGTGTGTTTGCATTTTACTTTTTAACAAAAAGGTGTACAAAGCTGAAAAAGGAAAAAATCTTATAAAACAGAGCTATAAAAGATGATATTTTTGTATAGCTGCACAATGTGTTTGTGTTTTAAGCTAAATGTTATTATAAAAAATCAAAGCGTTGAAACATATAAAAGCGTTAAAATATATTAGATTAAAAGGTATAGTAAGATAATGTTAATTTCATGGTCCTTAAGTGTATCATTTTTATAAAATCCACAGTCATATACAGTAATGTCCTAGGGTTTCACATTCACTCGCCATTCACTCACTGACTTATCCAGAGTAACTTTTAGTCTTCAAGCTCCATTTATGGTAAGTTCCCAATATAGACGTAACATTTTTCATCTTTTACGCTGTACTTTTACTATACCTACTCTATGTTTAGATACGTTTAAATACACAAATACTTGCCGTTATGTTACAATTGCCTACATGTTCAGTATAGTCACACGCTGTACAGGTGTGTAGCCTAGGAGCAATAGGCTATATCTCATATAGCCTAGATATGTAGCAGACTATGTTGTCAAGGTTTTGTAAACATCTATGATGTTTGCATAATGACAAAATTGCCTAATAATGCATTTCTCAGATCATATCAGTATTACTGTCACATGATTATACATATTTAATTTCTACTGGTGAAATATTATTATTCATATTGAACAGAATTGAAACTCTAGCTCTATTACTTATCTCTCCTAGTTAAAGCCAAGCTTTTTCCAACAGATTGGAAAACTATATGCTACTGAGAAAGTTACTGCTATTGGAGTTCTAAAATACATACGTATGTCTCTTAGCTCTCAAAATTATTTTGTAATATCATATGCCCAAATACAAAAATATAAGTGCCCAAATATTTAGACTTGTATAGTCAATGAGTATAATTAAGTCTTGACACTAAGTAATATTCAAAGAGGGAAGTTTGCTCTTTATTTTCCTAATTGCCATGGGCAACCATCAGTTATTTACTTCATTTCCTTTCAATAGTTCTTGCTCTCAGCAAGTCGGGATCTCTCAGAGAGAAAGATTCATAGAGGCCTGAGAAAAACAGAAGAATCTAGGGACAAATGTAAAACCATCTTCCTAATTACAATCCATTTATTAGATACACCATCCTAAATTTTGTCCTAAAGAATAAGCAGGGCTCATATTCTATTTCTTATATTTTTTGAGGGACGATTTCAGTGTAAGCAACAAAGCAGTGGAAATAATTTCAAATGCTAGAATAGTTTTTTGAGTAAAATCTGGTCCTACTAATGATTTAAGAGCTGGAACACAACTTCTTGCAGATCTAGAGCTGGATCCTAGTCCAAGTGTTCCTGGAAGGGATGGGGTAAGGGTGAATGGAGTGTGGGAATGCAGTCCTGCTGAGTATGGGCAGCTGTTCTGGAGCCAAGCAATTCACAGTTTCACTTTGCCAAAATAAATCCACTTGAATGATTTTTTTTTCAGGGATGAAACTGAGAAATTGGTGGTGAGTAGTTCTGCTTAGGAAAATTTTTGACATTTCAGGATAAATGACAAATATTACACTTTTTCTGAGACTATCTTAAAAATTCATTTACATATCTAATTCTCATTATTTTGCTAAACTTTCTATACTTGCTATTCACTTATTCACATTTAAATTTTTATTGTGACAATTATATAAATGGAAATAGCTGTATCTTTTAAGTATAGAATCCCTATATTTTTCTTCTTGCTAGCCATATCTATCTTATTTATAGTGAGTATCCAACTTTCATGAATTCTGAAAGTGTTCAGTGACCTCAGAAAGCAATACAATTGTGTGGTATACAGAATATTAGATGGTCATGACCTTAGCCTCCCAGTGTTACTTTGATGATTATATTGTATTACATGGCAAAATGGATTGCGCAGATGTAATTAATGTTAATAATCAGTTGATGTGAAGACAGGAAGATTATCCAAGTGTACCTAATCTAATACAATGAGCTCTGTAAAATTTTATTTATTTTTGCCCGACTGTCTTATTTCTGAGAGCCAGTTTTCAAGCTCTGAGGTCCTTTCCTCAACTTGGTCCATTCTGTTGTTAATACTTGTGATTGCATTATGAAATTCTTGTGGTGTGTTTTCCAACTCTAGCCAGTCAATTTGGTTCTGTTTTATACTGGCTATTTCACCGATCAGCACCTGAATTATTTTTTGTGTTTGTTCCTTAGTGATATGGTTTGGCTCTGTGTTCCCATTCAAATCTTATCTGGAACTGTAATCCCCATGTGTTGAGAGAGGAACCTGGTGGGAGGTGATTGGATCATGGTGGTGGTTCCCCCGTGCTGTTCTCATGATAGTGAGTGAGTTCTCATGAGATCTGATGGTTTAAAAGTGACTGTCCCCCTTCACTCTCTCTCTCTTCTGCCACCCTGTGAAGAAGTTACTTGCTTCTCCTTCACCTTCAGCTATGATTATAAGTTTTCTGAGGCCTCCCCAGCAATTCAGAACTATGAGTCAATTAAATCTTTTTCCTTTATAAATTACCCAGTCTCAGAAGTTCTTTATAGCAGGGTGATAACAGACTAATACACTTAGCTTCCTTGAATTAGGTTTCGATGTTCCCCTGAATTTCAATGATCTTTGTTCCTATCTATATTCTGAAATCAATTTATGTCATTTCAGCCATCTCAGCCTAGTTAAGAACCCTTGCTGGGGAACTAGTGTGATCTTTGGGAGGAAAGAAGACATGCTGGTCTTTTGAGTTGCCAGAGATCTTGCATAGGTTCTTTCTCATCTGTGTGTGTGTGTGTGTGTGGGTGTTCCTTTAATTGCAGTGTAAATTGAGTACAGTCAGTAGACTTCTTTCCATGTTTTCAGAGTCCTAAGGCTTTGTTTAGGGCCTTTATTTGTAGCTAAATTCTTGTCTTTCTTTTCACAGCAGGGTATGATAGCAAAGTATTATTGGTGTTGAAGTTTTGGGGTGTGATCTAGTAGCTGGTGCTGAAGTGTAATGGTCACTGTGTAGGCTCCTGCTCAGTCATGTGGCTCCTCCGTATTTCCTCATGGGTTGCAGCTATGCTTCCTCTCAATGTTTTGAAAGTCAGTGTAGGCTCCTCTCCCACTTGAGTGCTCACTGCAGATCTTGGCTTGGTGCATCCAGGCTGCACACCATAGTTCTGAAATGATCATAGGCTTTATGTTACTTCCCCAGCTTGGAAGCAGCAGAGGAGACCCTGTGGCTCAACGTCTTTTCTTGTCACTTGGGGCTCCATTGCAGAAAGATGCAGAACTGCAATCAATTAGCATGATCAGCCTGACATGGGGCAGCTGCACTGTGAGCCCACGCTGGGGGGATCCTGTCTGGTGACTAGCAGAGAATGTGGGTAGGACCCGTGGGAGACAGACTGGCCTCCTCTCATTAGAGCAACTACAACTTGCGGGATAAAGCACTCGGAGTCTTTGCTCCTTCCCTAGTTCAAGGGTAAACAGGGAAGTTAAACTGGAGAGGCAGTGGCAGAGGGACTTTTGGTTGCCCCTGGGAGCTCCATCTCTGAGAAATGTGGAGCTGCTGCTACTGGGAGTGTTCAGCCAGAGGGTGAAGCAGCTGCACTGCTTGCCTGAGCTAGAGGCTCTGCTTGTTGGGGAACAGGGGGTCAAGGGCCCATAGCAGCAAGAAATGGGGCTTTTCTCTAAATGGTGGCTGTGGTGTGCTGTACGCATGGGGAGAAAGCAACCAACTTAGAAAACATATTTCAGGATATCATCTATGAAAACTTCGTCAACCTCTCTAGAAAGGCCAACGTTCAAATTCAAAGAATATAGAGAACCTTTACAGGATGCTAAAAAAGAAGTCCATCCCCAAGACACATAATCATCAGATTCTCCAAGGCCAAAATGAATGAAAAAGTGATAAAGTAAGCTAATGAAAAAAGGCAGATCACCTACAAGGGGCACCCCATCAGGCTAAAAGCAGAAATTTCAGCAGAAATCCTACAAGCCAGAAGAGATTGGGGGTCTATATTCAACATTATTAAAGAAAAAAAATCTTCATCCAAGAATTTCAGATGGAGCCAAACTAAGCTTCATAAGTGAAGGAGAAATAAGATCTTTTCAAACAAACACATTCAGAGGGAATTCATTACCACCAGACTGCCTTACAAGAGTTCCTGAAAGGAGTAGTAAATATGGAAAGGAAAGACTGTTATCAGCCACTACAAAAACACCTTTAAGTACACAGACCAGTGACACTATAAAGCAACCACACAAACCAGTCTGCATAATAATCAGCTAAGAACAGGATGAGAGGATCAAATCCACATATATCAATAATAACTTTGAATGTAAATGGCCTAAATGCCTCAAAGAAAAGGCAGAGTGGCAAGCTGGATAAAGAAAAAGACCCAATGGTATACTGAATTTAAGAGCCCCATCCTACATGCAATGACACCCATAGGCTCAAAATGAATGGATGGAAAAAAAATCTACCATGCGAAAGGAGAACATAAAAAAGCAGAGGTGGCAATCCTAATTTCAGACAAAACACACTTTGAACCAACAAAACTCAACAAACACAAGGAAGGTCATTACATAATGGTAAAAGGTTGAATTAAACAAAAAGACCTAATTATCCTAAATATACATGCACCCAACACAGGAGCACATAGATTTGTAAAACAAGTTCTTAGAGACCTACAAAGAGACTTAGATTTCTACAAAATAATAGTGGAAGACTTCAACACCCTACTAACAGTATTAGACAGATCATTAAGGAAGAAAATTAATGAAGATATTCAGAACTTGAACTCAATACTTGATCAAATGGACCTAATAGACTTCTACAGAACGCTCTATCCAAAAATGACAAAATATACTTTCTTCTCATTACCACATGACACATACTGTAAAATGGAACACACAATCAGACATAAACCAATCTTCAGCAAATTTAAAAAAAAAACACTGAAATCATACAAACGACACTCTCAGACAACAGTGCAATAAAAAATGTGGCACATATACACCATGGAATACTATGCAGCCATAAAAAATAATGAGGTCATGTCCTTTGTAGGGACATGGATGAAATTGGAAATCGTCATTCTCAGTAAACTATTGCAAGGACAAAAACCCAAACACCGCATGTTCTCACTCATAGATGGGAATTGAACAATGAGAACTCATGGACACAGGAAGGGGAACATCACGCACTGGGGCCTGTTGTGGGGCAGGGGGAGGGGGCAGGGATAGCATTAGGAGATATACCTAATGCTAAATGACGAGTTAATGGGTGCAGCACACCAGCATGGCACATGTATACATATGTAACTAACCTGCACATTGTGCACATGTACCCTATTATTATTAAAGTATAATAATAATAATAAAAAAACAAAAAAAAACCAGTGCAATAAAAACAGAATTCAGTACAAAGAAAATCACTCAAAACCATACAATTACATGGAAATTAAACAACCTGCTCCTAAGTGACTTTTGGGTGAACAATAAAATTAAGGAAGAAATCAAGACATTCTTTGAAAATAACAAAAAGATAAAACAAGCAAGAATCTCTGGGACACAGCTAAAGTGGTATTCAGAGGGATATTTGTAGTCCTAAATGCTCACATCAAAATGATAGATATCAAACTAAAAACCCAGCATTACAACTAGAAGTACCAGAGGAGCAAAAGCAAACAAACCTCAAAACTAGCAGAAGAAAAGAAATAACAAAAATCAGAGCTGATATCAAGGCGTTCGAGACATAAAAAAAAAAAATAAAAAGATGAACAAATCCAAGAGTTGGATCATTGAAAAAATCAATAAATAGATATATGGATACCTAGACTTTTAAGAAAAGGAGAAGCTCCAAATAAATACTATCAGAAATGACAAAGAAGATGTTACCACTGATCCCACAGAAAAAAAAAAATAACCACCGTAAACTACTTTAAACACCTCTATGTACACAAACCAGAAAATGTAGGAAAAATTGATAAATTCCTGGACACATACATCCACCCAAGATGGAAGCAGGAAGAAATTGATCCTTGAACAGACCAATAATGAGCTTCAAAACTGAATCAGTAATAAATAGCCTACCAAAAAAAAATGCCAAGGACTAGATGGATTCACAGCTGAATTCTAGTAGATATTCAAAGAATAGCCGGTACAAATCCTACCGAAACTATTCTAAAAAATTGAAGAAGAGGGACTCCTCTCAATCTCATTCTATGAGACTAGCATCATCCTCTATGAGAACAGCATCATCTTCATATGAAAACCTGGCAGAGAAACAGCAAAATAAAAAATAAAATAAAAAAATAAAAAAAAACTTCAGACCAATATCCTTGATGAACATAGATGCAACAATCCTCAACAAAATACTAGCGAACAGAATGCAGCAGGACATCAAAAAGCTAATTCATCATGATCAAGTAGACCTTATCCCAAAGACGAAAGGTTGGTTCAATATATGCAAATCAATAAATGTGATTAATCATGTAAACTAAAGACAAAAACCACATGATTATCTCAATAGATGCATAAAAAGCAAAAACCACATGATTATCACAATAGATGCATTCAACACTGCTACATGTTAAATAACCTTCAATAAATTTAGGCATTCAAATGACCACACTGCCCAAAGCAATTTACAGATTCAATGCTATTGCTATAGAACTACCAACAACATTCTTCACAGAACTAGAAAAAATCTATTTTTAAAATTCACCTAGCCCTCAAAAAAGACCCTGGATAGCCAAGGGAATCTTAAGCAAAAAGAACAAAACTGAAGCCATCACATTATATGACTTCAAACTCTTCTACAGGGCCACAGTAACCCAAGTAGCATAACACTAGTACAAAAACAGACACATAGAACAATGGAACAGAATAGAGAGCCCAGAAATAATGCCACACATCTACAGCCATCTAATTTTCAACAAAACCAACAAAAACAAGCAATAAAGAAAGAAGTTCCCATTCAATAAGTGGTGATGGGATATCTGATTAGTCATATGCAAGAAGATTGAAACTGGACTCCTTCTTTATACCATATATAAAAATCAACTCATCATGAATTAAATACTTAAATGTGAAACCCAAAACTATAAAAACTCTGGAAGATATCCTAGGAAATGCCATTCTGGATATAGGAACTGGCAAAGATTCCATGATGAACGTGCTAAAAGCAATCGCAACAAAAGCAAAAACTGACAAATGGGATCTAATGAAACTAAAGAGTTTCTGCACTGCAAAAGAAATTGTCAGCAGAGTAAACAGACAACCTAAAGAATGGGGGAAAATTTTTGCGAAGTAGCCTTCTGAAAAAAGTCTAGTATCTAGAATCTATAAGGAACTTAAACCAATTAACAAGCCAAAAAATAAAAATAAAAACAAACTAATTAAAAAGTGGATAAAGGACATGCACAGACACTTTTCAAAAGAAGACATACATGCTGCCAACGAGCATATGTAAAAACCTTAACATCCACTCATTAGATAAATGCAAATCAAAACCACAGCAAGATACCATTTCACACCTGTCAGAATGGCTATTATTAAAAAATCAGAAAGCAACAGATTTTGGCAATGTGGTGGAGAAAAGGGAACACTTACACACTGCTGGTGGGTGTGTAAATTAGTTCAGCTATTGTGGAACGCAGTGTAGTGATTCCTCAGAGAACTAAAAACACAATTACCATTTGACCCAACACCATTACTGGATATATATTCAAAAGAAAACAAATTGTTCTACCATAAAGATACATGCACACATATGTCCATTGCAGCACTATTCAAAATAACAAATACATGGATCAACCTAAAGGCCCATCAACAGTATATTGGATAAGGAAAATGTGGTACATATACACCACGGAATATATGCAGCCATAAAAAGAATGGAATCATGTCCTTTGCAGCAAGATGGATGGAACTGGAGACCATTATTCTTAGCAAACTAATGCGGGAACAGAAAACCAAAGACTGCATGTTCTCACTTATAAGTGGGAGCTAAATAAGGAGAACACGTGGACAGAAACAACCAACAATGGGGCCTACTAGAAGGTGGAAGGCAGGAGAGAGAGGATTTAGAAAGAATACATACTGGGTACTATGCTTAGTACCTGGATGATGAAATGTTCTATATACCACAGCCTCGTGACACGAGTTTACCTATATAACAAATCTGCACATGTACCACTGAACCTGAAATAAAAGTTAAAAGAAGGAAAAAAGGAGTCTTACCTGGCTTGCAGCCCGAGAAGTCAAAGTGATTTGAATCACAAGAAGGGTTCAGTGTATTGTTGCTGCCTTTGAAGACAGAAAGGGGCCACATGCAAGAACCAAAGGGTGTCTTCTAGCAGCTTGTGCAATCCCAAGTGGACATCCAGAGGAAATGTGAGCCTCAGTGCTACAATCACAAGAAACTGAATTCTTCCAACAACCTGAATGAGCTTAGAGGTGACTTTTCCCCTAGTTTCCAGATAAAAACTTAAAGTTAGCCATATCTTCAGTATCACCCTGTGAGTTCCTAAGTAAAAAAACTGGTGGAGTCTGCCTGGACTTTTGATGTACAAAACTGTTAGAAAATAATTGAGTTTAATGTTAAGTAAAAAATATGAGAAATCAAACCTACGTAATAATTTTGTTAATTTCTACAAGTCTTTCAAATCAAATAGGTAGGATTTTTAAATTATATATTTTGTTGTAAGGTTGTGTATTATTCTCTATATAAATAAATTCAAATTTTAAACTTTATTCCAAGGGTTGGTAAAAACATATATTATTATATTGTGAAAAATGATTATAATTTCAGTTATAGTTCTCAGTTGTGGTTTTATATTTTCTTTCGTATTTTTCTTGCGTGTTTTCTATGTGGTTTTCAAGTGTTTTTAAAGTTTTCCTCCATCCTGGATTTTCTTTCTCTCAATCCATGTATCCTCCAACTTTTTCAAATATCCCCATCAAATTGCCTCCCTCTCCACTTACTAATATACTCCTTTCAACTTTTCAGTTGTTTCACACTTTTGTTTTTAGTTCATATTTTAGTGTTTTAGTTTATTTATATTTTATCTTCCTAAATAAAAAAGTTCTTCCTGGAGCATTTATTGACATTCTCAAAGGATGAACCACTTCTATAGAGCTTAACCAACACATTTACTTACAGTTATATTCCCATATTATCAAAACTTTATACTACTCTAAACTTCTTTTTCTGTAAGCAAAAGCCAATTGGTAACTATAATTTGAATTTTCATGTAAAATGACTTGTACAATTGTTTTGTGCAAATGTTATTTTCCTTTTTCGTGTTGAACAATGGGACCAAAACATAAAAACAACCAAATGGCAAACATTTCTTTGACATATTTACTCTGTAAGTGGGCTATAAAGAGGTCTCATAAAATTATTTTTTCTTTAAAAAAATCCTTCTTTTCTGTATCTTCCATTTGATATTAAAATATAACATTAAGCTACTATTTTTTTTTTAGATGAAATCTCACTCTGTATCCAGGCTGGGGTGCAGTGGCACAATCTCGGCTCACTGCAACCTCAGACTCCACTCCCTAGTTCAAGTGATTCTCCTGCTTCAGCCTCCACAGTAGTGGGGATTACAGGCTCGTGCCACCGTGCCCGACTAATTTTTGTATTTTGAGTTGGGATGGGGTTTCACCATGTTGGCCAGGCTGGTCTCGAACTCCCAACCTCGTGATATGCCCGCCTTGGCCTCCCAAAGTGCTGGGATTACAGGCGTGAGCCATCGCGACCGGCCTTGTGCCTGTTTTACCTGTTATTGCTTACATTCTGTTCTCTTTACTATTTAATTCTATTCCATTTACATAGACTCAATGCCTAAATTTTATTTAACTTTGAATCATAATTTTCTTTAATTATCCTAAATTTTCTCTGCTTTCCTTCTTGACTTATTCCTTCTGGTACTTCATTTCAATTACTAAAATTTACTTGGTTGGTTATTGTTAACCGAACTTCTAATTCAATATAAAGTAGTTCAAAATTATGAGTCTTTATTTTTCAAAAGGTTTTCTTTTCCAGTCATCATCTAGTAATATGTGATTTTAAAATTTCATTAAATTTAGTCTATCTTTTAATTATCTTGGTTTAATGAAGGATTGTTTTAGATATATGTATTTCTTCCTCAATTTCCTTCCTTGATACTACTGCATTGCTTTGTGCATGTGCCCAGCTGTATTTCTTGGTATATAATTTTTTGAGAAGTGTGATGTAGTAACACTTCTACATAAGTGTGATGTAGTAACACTTCTACACTTCTACATATTTCTTTTACTTCTAGTAAAAGAAATAATATTCATGAAAGGATTTTAGAAAAACTTTAAAAATAGGTAATTTAAATAGAGGTTTCAGCAGCATGCCGATGCTCCTCAGTAAGAACTAGATGGCATACATAAAGTCAAAAGAGGTTTGACTTTGACTTCAAAAACAATTCAACTAGATAGAAAAGAAATAATAGGTAATTTAAAAATTACTATAGCCATCCCACCTAAATTGAAATGCAGAAATATGTAGAATTAGAAAGTAAAGTATTTATCAAAATATAACGGTTGATCCAAATTATTGCTTTTCTTGTCAGAAATATTCAGGAACTAGGAAATAATAGTCATTACTTTCCCAAGTCAGTTATTCTTTATGTTCATAAGTAATTGCTTATTTGCTATAGCCAATACTCATGGAAGCCTTTGTCTTCTGTGACATAGCAGGTTTACAGTTCTGCTTCAAATTTTTGAAGTTTTCACTGTTACATTCACTGGCTCATTTTATTTCATGATTTTGAGTCTGGGAGACATTCCCTTGGCTCAGTGTTTTCGTCTATTGTAAATTCACTTCACTCACAATTTGCACCTTTTCTTCATTTTTCATTATAATAAATAACAGTTTCTTTGGTTTGGAAATCTACAGTCAACCTTAAGTTTACATTCATATTATTTTAATTTGTCTCTATTTCATTCCTGCTCTCATAACCCTTACCTAATCAATGTCTAAATTGTGAAGAATAAGCATTGTAGTGACAAATGTCATGCTTGTCTACATTTCTTTAGACAATATCTTTTTATTTATTTTTCTTTCTTTTTTTTTTTTTTGAGATGGAGTCTCGCTCTATTGCCCAGGTTGGAGTGCAGTGGCGCGATCTTGGCTCACTGTAAGCTCTGCTAGGTGCAGTGGCTCACGCCTGTAATCCCAGCACTTTGGGAAGCTGAGGCGGGTGGATCACGAGGTCAGGAGATCGAGACCGTCCTGGCTAACACGGTGAAACCCCATCTCTACTAAAAATACAAAAAATTAGCCGGGCGTGGTGGCAGGCACCTGTAGTCCCAGCTACTCAGGAGGCTGAGGCAGGAGAATCGACAATATCTTTTTAAAACATAATTATTTGATTCCTGAATTGCCAAATCCCAGTCTGTTTTTTAGTCCTTTTCTTATTGCTTTCTAAGGCATAATAAATGTAACTACTGGGAGAAATGTATCAATGTCATCTTTGAAAATTTTTAACTATCTAAATTTGGTGAAATGATAAGATATGGATATATATATTAAAATATTCGCTTGAGCAATGACTCAGTACTTCAGAAACAAGTAGCAGGCTTTAAAACCTGAGGAAAAATTAGGCTTGTGTCACAACACAAACCACAAGAAATCCAAAAACAGTAAGGGTGACTGTGCAAGGAGGACAGAAAAGAAGTACTAAACCACTTTAACACTATCTTACATTTATCAGAAATAACAGAAATTATACATATATGCTCTATAGAATTTTAAACAAAGAAACAAAATGTGGTGCTTTTCTCCAGATGTTTTGGCCAGAGGACATAATCTGAATGATTTAAATTCCTTGAAATTGACTGTGACTTGCTATACAGCCAGCATATGGTTGTTTTATTTTGTAAAATATCCTATATGCTCTTGAAAATAATGTGCCTTCTGTTTCTAAGCCAATTCGGTTAAGTCAAAACAAAATTCTAACTATAAGATAATAATAACCGAGAATAAATAGTCACCTGCAGAGGACCAAAGCATTCTATCAAACTTTTACTGCAACTGGATTGCAAGAAGGTAATGGCATATTAAAAAAGAACCCAGAAATAAACCCTAATACCTAACAGCCAACTGACCTTTGACTAAGCAAACAATAACACAAAGTGGGGAAAAGACACCCTATTCAACAAATTGTGCTGGAATAGTTGGCTAGCTACACGTAGGAAATGAAACTGGATCCTCGTCTCTCACCTTCTGCAAAAATCAACTCAAAATGGATTAAGAAATTAAATCTGGCTGGGCGCTGTGGCTCACGCCTGTAATCTCAGCACTTCGGGAGGCTGAGACATGCAGATCACCTAAGGTCAAGAGTTCAAGACCTGCCTGGCCAACATGGCAAAACCCCATCTCTACTAAAAAAATACAGAAGTAAACCAGGTGTGGTGGCATGTGCCTGTAATCCCAGCTTGGGAGGCTGAGGCAGGAGACTCGCTTGAACCCAGGAGGCAGAGGTTACAGTGAGCTGAGATTGCACCACTGCACTCCAGCCTGGGGCTACAGCAAGACTCTAAGACTCTATCTCAAAAATAAATAAACAAATAAATAAATGAATCTAAGACCTGAAACTGTAAAAATTGTAGAAGATAACATTGGAAACACACTTCTAGACATTGGCTTAGGCAAGGATTTCATGACAAGAACCCAAAAGCAAATGCAATAAAAACAAAGATAAATAGGTGGGAAATAATTAAACTAAAAAGCCTTTGCAAGGCTGAAGGAATGGTCAGCAGTGTAAACAGGCAACCCACAGAGTGAGAGAAAATCTTCACAATCTATACATCTGACAAAAGACTAATATCCAAAACCTACAAGGAACTCAAAGAAATCAGTAAGAAAAAAAACAATCTCATCAAAAGTGAACTAAGGACATGAATAGACAATTCTCCAAAGAAGATATACATAATGGCCAATAAACATATGAAAAAATGCTCAACATCACTAATGATCAGGGAAATGCAAATCAAAACCACAATGCGATACCACCTTACTCCTGCAAAAATAGCCCTAAGCAAAAAATCAAAAAACAGCAGATGTTGACATGGATGCGGTGATCAAGGAACACTTCTACAGTGCTGGTGAGAATGTAAACTAGTACAGCCACTATGGAAAACAATGCGGAAATTCCTTAAAGAACTAAAAGTAGAACTACCGTTTGATCCAGAAATCCTACTCCTGGATATCTACCCAGAGGAAAATAAGTCATTACACGAAAAAGATACTTGCACATGCGTGTTTATAGCAGCGCAATTCGCAATTACAAAAACCTGGAACCTACCCAAATGACCATAAATCAACAAGTGGATAAAGACACTGTGGTGTGTGTGTGTGTGTATACACACACGATAGAATATTACTCAGCCATAAAAAGGAATGAATTCATGGCATTTGCAGCAACCTGGATGAGATTGGAGACTATTATTCTAAGTGAAGTAACTCAGGAATGGAAAATCAAACATTGTATGTTTTCACTGATAAATGGGAGCTAAGCTATGAGGATGAAAATGCATAAGAATTATACAATGGACTTTAGGGACTCAAGGGGAAAAGGTGGGAAGGGGGTGAGGGATAAAAGACTACAAATAGGGTGCAGTGTATACTGCTCGGGTGATGGGTGCACCAAAATCTCACAAATCACCACTAAAGAACTTACTCATGTAACCAAACACCATCTGTTCCCCAATAACCTATGGAAATATATTTTATAAAAAAATTATAGAAGGAAAACAGCTATAATGTAGAATTTTATATCCAAATGAAATGCTGTTGAACATTGAGAGCATTTTAAAAAATATTCCCAGACTCATCCTCCCTCAAGTGGTTTGCTACCCAAAGCAGGGTACTAAAAACATTTTTAGAGAAATTATTCAAACAAGAAATTCAAATATAGATGATATGTCAAGAACTATCAGATGTACAAATCATCTGATGTCATAATAAAATTTACTGTTATTCATTAATTTTCTTTCAAATAAATGTTTTATTGTTGTTTCACACCCCTAAAAAATATACAAATCATAAACATAGATCTCAATGGGTATATCATAATAAACATTCAATGGATATTATAAAATTAAAAAAAGTAAGCTACTATTTTGCAATAAACATAAATAACCATGCAGGTTAGGGAATTAGCTATTACTGACAACCCAGAATTCTCCTAAACTCATTCCTAGGATAATACTTGCCTACCTTTTCCAGGTAACTAATGTCCCGACTTTCAACAATTTTCTCATAATGCTTTCTGGGTTTTCATTTTCAGATTTTGTATTCTAGTTAGAAAATTAATTCCTGTATAATTGATGTTTCTGATGTATTGTTAGAGGTATCTTTTTTTTTCAAATTTCAATTTTAGAAGTTCTTCTTTCCTTAAAAAAGAAATGCAATTGATTTCAAATATTATCTTATAGGCACATACCTTGTAAATGTATTCATATAAGAGTTTATCTGTAAATTGTTCATTTTTTTGGTGAAAAATTATCTTAATTACTTCTCCTCAAGTTCTTATATCTTTTTTATTTCTTCTTTACTTTCTCACTAGCAATTTTGTCAGGTGTAAGGTTGAACAAAGTTGATCATAGTCAGTATCATTTTCTCATTCCCAATGTCAGTAGGAAAATGTTCAACACTTTGCCATTACAGAGGTGCTCATCACAGTCATTTTGGAGGTAGCCTTTAATAATTTAAATATTTTTTCATCATTGCAACTTAGGTAATAGGCTTTGTCACTCATAGACTTTGGAGTTTTTTTTTTTAGTTATAGAGAATGTCATATGATTTTTGGCTTTTATTCTGTTAAGAAAAACACACTGCAGTTTTAAAATTTTGAATATTAAAACACGTTCATTCCTGTAACAAGCCCAACCTATGTTTGTGGTTTACATATTGCGGAGTTTTATGTATAATATTTAAATTATTTTTAGCTAGGTTGTAAGAGAGACTGGACTGTTACTGTCTTTTCTTCTAATGTCCTTGTCACATTTCTATGTTAAAATTATCGGTAACCTTATAAAACAAGCTGAGAAATTTTTCAATAGGGGAAATATGTAAGTAATGTTAGTTTTCTTTCCTGTTAATATGTTTTGGAGAATTCTCTAGTGAAACATCTGGACCTAGAACTTTTGTACATATATGAGAAAAAGTTATTTATTATGGATTTTAAAAATAGTTACAGGAATATTCCGATTTTTATGTCTTCTCATGTCAGTTTTGGTAAGTGACTTTTTCAAGTTTTTTACAAATTTTATTGAAACTGTCAAATATGTACTGCAATAATGTAGCTCATAACTTTGAATTTCTTTCTTCTGTAGGATCAGTAGTAATACCTTTTCTTTTTATATTACTGTGCTCCCTCCCTCCCTCTCTCTCTCTCTCACACTTTTTTTTGGTCTCTGAATTTTGTAAAAGATTATTTTAACATTATTACAAGGAAAAACTTTTGGCTTTTTTTTTGATCCCCTTGATTATGTGATTCTTTTTGAATGTATTATTTTCCATTAATATCTCTTGTATGACTTCTATTTTCATTGGATTTGGTTTACTGTTTGGTTTTCAGCTTCTTTAAATGTACCATTTTTAAGCATGTTCTATTTTCAACCTGTGGGTATTTGGACTACTGGCATTTAATCTTTTATTCTTTGCAATATCACCATTAAGGCTATAGTTTTTTTAAAAAAATCAATAGCTTTAGGGCTAAAGGGTTTTTGGTTACATGGTTTATTGTATTGTGGTGAAGTCTGGGCTTTTAATATAGTCATCACCTGAATAGTGTACCCTGTACCCACTAGGCAAGTTTCCATCCCTCACTCCTCTGTCACCCTCCCCGCTCTGAGTCTCCAATGACCATTTTACCATCTGTATGACTTTGTGTAACCAAGGATATCCATTTTCTTGAGTTTCAATATGTCATACATTTATTCTCATTTTCTTTCTTTTTCTTTCTTTTTTTTTTCTTTTGAAGACGGAGTTTCACTCCGTCCCCCAGGCTGGAGTGCAGTGGCGCGATCTCGGCTCACTGCAAGCTCCGCCCCCCTGGGTTCATGCCATTCTCCTGCCTCAGCTTCCCGAGTAGCTGGGACTACAAGCGCCCGCCACCACGCCCAGCTAATTTTTTGTATTTTTAGTAGAGACGGGGTTTCACCGTGTTCGCCAGGATGGTCTCGATCTGCTGACCTTGTGATCACCCGCCTCGGCCTCCCAAAGTGCTGGGATTACAGGCGTGAGCCACCGCGCCCGGCTTATTCTCATTTTCTTAAAATATTTTCTAATTTCCATTGAGACTAATTTTGTGACTTGTGAATTATTTAGGAATATGTTGCTTGATTTTAAAATATTTGTGGATTAAGTTGTCCTTTTGTAAATGATTTCTAACAGTTTAACTGATGTCAGAAAATGTATTATTTCTATTTTCAATTATGAAAATTTGTCACGGCTTGATCTATGACACAATATAGAGCATTTGAATAAATATTAAATGTGCATTCACATTACATATTCAATTTTAAGTTTATCGAGTTTAATATTATGCTATATATATCAATTAGATCAAATTTGCTAATAGAGATATCTAATTCTTTATTATTCTTAATTACATTTTTTTCTACTTCTTCCAACCGTGTAAGAAAAGTGGGCAAAAGTCCCCAGTATGATATGGATGCATTATATTTCTCCCATTATTACATTAATACAAATTTTAAATTGTCACATCATGGTATACTGCTCATTTTATCATTTTGAAAGGTATTCTTTTGTCTTAGTACTGCTTCTTGCCACTAAATTTATTTCATCTGATGTTAGTACATCTATCTCAGCTTTCTTTTGGTTATGTCAGCCTAACAGACCATTTTTACATTTTTTTTTTCAGACTTCCTCAGTTCTTATTTTTAATAAAACACATTCAATTACTTTTAAAATTCATTTTAGATATTTTTATTAGCCGAAGTATGAAAATCATTTATATTTAACTCAAGATATTTTGATTGTGGTCTACCACTTTGCTATTTTTCCATCTGTTGTATTTTCGACTTGCTCTTTCTTGCCTTTTTTCTCAATTAAGCATTTTTTTCTCCAATATGCCCTTATAATCTCCTATAAGTTTAAGTATCTTTTGATTTTGCCCTAGATATTATTTCATGATTCCTTGACTTATTAGTGTCTGAGTATAAAGTAAAATTTTCATTACTTTTCTTAGACTATGAAGATCTTATAATACTTTTGATATTTTGTTAGGTAGTTTTGTTGATATTTATTTTAAATTTTATATGATGGATTTTATTTATATAGTCACTATTTATTTAGATTTATCCAGATGTTTTGTCCTTTCTTTTCTTGATTTCATTTCTAAATTTCTACATTTACATGTAAAATAATTTTTCTTCTGCTTGAAAGACATTATTATTTCATTTGGTGTAATGTATAAATGATATAGATAGTTCCCTTATTTTTTGTTTTCCTGAACATGAATTTATTTTTTTCTCATATTCCATAATATTTTATTAGGAATAAAATTCTAGTTACCAGTTGGCTTCCATTTGAGAAGTCATCCCTAAGTCATATTGCCACTTTTTGAAGGTAATATGCTTTTTCCTAGAACTATTTTTGAGATAGTCTCTTTGTCGTTAATTCTCTAATATGAGCTATGTAGTTGTCTCCATATTTATCATGCTTCACTCTGGCACTTCCTGAGACTGTGACTTACAGTTTTTCCATCTTTTTTTTATTTTTTATTTATTTATTTATTTTTGAGAGAGTCTCACTCTTGTTGCCCAGGCTGGAGTGCAGTGGCACGATCTCGGCTCACTGCAACCTCTGCCTCCTGGGTTCAAGCAATTCTCCCACCTCAACCCCCAAGTAGCTGAGATTACAGGTGCCCACCACTACGCTCAGCTGATTTTTGTATTTTAGTAGAGACGGGGTTTCACCATGTTTGTCAGGCTGGTCTGGAACTCCTGACCTCAGGCGATCTGCCCACCTCAGCCTCCCAAAGTGCTGGGATTACAGGCATGAGCCACCATGCCTGGCTTCCAACATTTTTGAAAAATGTTAAGTTTACCTATTTAAATGTGGCTTTTGCCCTTAATATTTCTAATATTCTAATGAAATTGCAGCCAATAGTTAATTCTGGTTAACTCTAACTCTGTTTTTTGGAGGGTTATCTAAGGTGTGTTACAGATCATATTCATATAATCAGTGATTAAGCTGGTTTGAGACCAAACTGCAATTATTGTGAATTATAATCTATTTATTTCCATTAATATTCCTAAACCTTTGAAGTGTCAAATGAAGCCTGGGGTGTATAAATCGGCCTTTCTCATTGATAAGTCTTGAGCCATATATTTTATTCTCTTAAAACTATAAGACTATGAATATTTCTGCTTAGGTTTTTGGTCTATCAATAGCCACATACATGTGAGAAAATCTTTCATGGGTCAAGGGATAGTCCATATTGTTCTCAATTCTCTGAAGTGCTGTTTTCTTCGGTATTTTAGCCCTGTAATCTTTAATGCCTTGGAATATTTTTGATACCTCCATGCATATTTTATACAATTTTCATAAGAAGAGAGTTGAGTAGAGAGTCAGTTTATAGTTTAGAGAAAAGAGAAAAACAAGGAAAAAAATAGAATGCAAATTTTAAAACAAAAGCAATTCAGAATTGAAATTATAGAAATTATCTATATAATGAGAAAGATGAAATTGAAATCTAAGAAACACATGACTATGACAAAGCAAATGTATCTTTAGATACAATATACAGATATCAATAGTTTAAGAAAGTAATATTTATTTTCTTATTTAAAATGTTAAGATAATTACCACAGAGATAAATTTAAATACTTGTTAAACTAATATAGTGAGCTGTTCTATAGACAAACAATAGAAGAAATGGGGAAAGGAAACAAACTAAAAATGTGAGTAAATGTATAATATGATGTAAATTGGCCGAACTAAGTTAAATGTAACAATAATGACAATAAATGCAAATAAGTTAAAAGCAGTAATTAAAGGATCCTGACTTTTATAAATTTTTTAATAAGAGCCAAAACATGTTGTTGACATAAGTTAAAATTTAAAAGAAAATATATATGTATATAACTACTAACATTAAAATTATTTTATAACACACCAGGCTTAAATACTAAAAAGCTAGAGGGGCAATATTTACATGACAACATGACATAATATAATTTAAGGTAAAAATATGTACATTGAAATACATTTATTATTAAAGATTAAAATTATACGAGCTCTATTTTTCAATTAAAAATTGGAGAAAGAGCAGTGGAGGAAACCCAATAGAAATAGTTAATGAACAAAAATCTTTAAAGCAACAACAAAGAATGTTATTCTAACCAAAAGTTAGTTTTTGAGAAAACATTTAGGATACAGAAACCTGTGGAAGGTTAACCAAGACAATAAGAGAGACTGTGTAATATGCACAATTAAAAAATTTTAAGTATTAAAATAGCTTCATTGTAATAAATGTGAATGCTAGAGATGGAAAGATGTAAGGACTGTAACAACTAAGATGTATTAATAATAGGAACTAAAGATAAAGAATATAGGATTTTACAGGAAGTATCTAACAATCATTTCAATATTTATTTCTTAGTCTATTAAAGATCATTCCTTCAAATCCTCAGATAAGTAAATTCTATCAGAATTTTAAGAATCTGTTATTTATTATGCTACTTCTGAATATAGAAAAACAAATTGCCTAGCTAAGGCTAGCATATGTTTTATTCCAAAATCAAGTAGGTAGCAGTAATTACTCTTAAAATAATATTTATGCCAGCAAAAGAGCACATCATTTTGTCCGACAATTTGTATGAGACAGCAAACTGTTTTAGTCAGGGGTTTGAGCTAGATATAGATTTTATCGTGATTATCATTACCTTCAGTCCACACAGGCTTCAAATTCCTATAGGAATGGCTGATGTTGGCTGGGTTTAAGGTGGGTCCTGGGGTGCTGGAGGATTTTGTTTAGTACCTCTGTTCCCCTCTCAGCTTTCAGCATCCTTACCTTCCTGCACCGCCGAGGTGTTCTCTGTCTTTCCTCTTTCCCTTACTCAATACGTAGACAGCTGATGCTTATTATTTGGTATCAGGCTTGGCATAGGGGTAAAAAGTGGGGTGTTTTATGTTGCCCTGTCTCAGCCTCATTCAATCTTAGGTATGTCCTGTGTGAAAAAAGTCCAAGTTTTCATTCCTTTTTGTCTTTTTGTTATGTTGGTTTTAGACTACTGTCATTGAATTAAGCTGAATTTTTTTTTTTCTCAAAATGGGGCATTCTTAGTGTTCTTGCATTGTGTCCAACTCATCTATGACAATGAAACTCTGTCTTGGATCTGTGGTTGGTTTTGGGTGGAAATATTTACCACTCTATAGTAGTTAAAGGCTTCTTCTTGTTATTGGTATAGAATCTTAGCCACAACTGTTTCCTAGCACTCTTCCAAAGATATAGGATGCATTCTTCCACTTGTTCCCAAGCCTCAGTGCATCTTTGCCTGTGATTAGTGGAAATGACAGTTGTGCTGTCTCTTCTATAGTGGCTTAAAGCTTTGCTTCCTAAGAAAGAATGTTCTGGGGTAGTGGGCAAGGCTTTTTGCCAGTCCCCCAGCAGCAACTGATTATTACCCGAAGCCTGCACTATGCAGCAGGGTCTCTCTCATCTTCTGCCCAGTTCCCAGTCTTTCCCTTCAACAGACAAAGTTCCGTGTAAAAGAGTTTAAGAAATGACCATTTCTTGTGCCTGAGGCCTCCTGCTATTCTAAACTTACAATTTACCCACATTTAGCCTTTAAGAATTTATTAAAGTTTAGCTGATTTCTTATATGATTATATGGTGACTTCCTCTTCATTTTTTGATTGGTCAAAGATGAAACTCATTTTGTGTCCTTTCCATCCTTGAGGGCTTGTCCCTCTCTGGAACCAGTTTACTTGGTTGCCATGCAACTTCATCTCTGATGGGCTGAAAACAACTTATGACTTTGTAGATAATTCAAATATTTCTCACCTTAAGGGTGGGAGCATCATTCTTTTCACCTTTCTACATCCTAATCAGAAGCTGAAAATCACACTGAGTTTTTAGAAATTACTCTTCCAAGCTGCAAAATATTAAGAATTTCCATTTTAAATCTTAGCAGAAAAAAATTACTCTAGTTGGAGTTTCACCAAATAATCTTGTAAAATTTGAAGTTTTCTTGAGAGACACCTGCCTTCATCTGGTGTGAATTATGAAAACCTTAGTTACACTTGGAAGAGTAAATCCTTACAAATCAATATATTTAACATTGGTAAACAGACAAGCAATAAAAATAAATTATAAAGAAACAACAAAAATAAATCATTTAGATATCTAACATGATATATATGAGGATTTATCAAATTTTACCTCATGGTTTAATAATTTCTTCAAATTAAAGAGAATACCTTAACACTAATCTGCCTTTAACAAATAAAATTTATTGCTTATAGTTCATACATGTTGTCTTATTAATGCATTAGAAAAAACCTTTTAGTATAATTTTAAAAATTATTTAAAAAATATTTAAGTATGTTTCAACAGAATTGGTACCTTTTATAATACTGTGCTTTCCTTTATGCATTTTCAAAATTGTGTTGAATTAGAAATCAATAAAATTAAAACCAAAAAATAAATAGAAAAAAACTGATGAAAGAAAAAAGCTAGTTATTTGAAAACATCAATAATATTGATAAACTTCTATCAAGATTAACTAAAACAAATAGAGATGACATAAATTATTAATACCAGAAATGAAAGAGAGGACATCATTAGTGATCCCATGTACATTAAAGGATAGTAAAGGAATATTATGAACAACTTTATGCACAAAAATTTAATGACGAGGGTGAAATGTACCAATTCCTTGAAGGACACAATCAACCAAAACTCACATGAGGAGAAATAGATAATCTGAACAGGCCTTTATCTATTAAAGAAACTGAATTAATAATTAATACCCTGCTAAATAGAAAGCACCAGGGCTAGATAAGTTCACTGCTAAATCTTACCAAACATTTAATCAGGAAATTATATCGATTCTGCACAATCACTTCCAATAATAAAAGTAAAAACAAGTTATTCTGGAAAGAGGGACCATGGCACAAGAAATGTTTGGCACAGCACAACCAGTCCCCAGAGACCAAAGCTAGGCCATATCTTCAAAGCCCAGAGTGTGCATAGCCTGAGTCAAGCTGAAGGAAGGAATAAAAAAAAATGAGGAGAAAGTCAGGGAATATATGATGAAGCAAAATCTTTATGTCTGATGTTCTCAGAATGAATAAAATTATAAAATGCAAAGTGCATATATCACAGTTTCAGAAGCAATATTGGTCCAACTGCTGATTTTCTAAAATGGAGAACAGATCAACCTCTACACAAACTGATAGTGAGGCAGAATATCCTGGTCTTCTTATTGTAAGAGAAGAAAACGTCTTTCATGGAAGTAACAGTGAAAGAATCCGTTATCAGAACATAGGACAGAACGTTTAGGGGTATTTTCCCTGCAGGCACTAATTAGATATATATCATAAGAGCTATGAGCACACAGGTTTACTATCAGTGAGGCTGAAGCAGTGTAATTTCTGGGAATTATAGGCATGACACACATTTGTGACAAATAAAAGACAATACAGATTAAACTGCTAGATCTAATGTCAACCTGTTTTTTGTAGAAAGCCTAGGGATAACTGCCCAAGGTAAATTTTTACAATATGAGCACCTAGTATTTCCAGGGACTTCTTTACTCCTTTCCACATTGCTTTTTTGATGTATGACACTTTGATTTTGTCTCCGATACAATGACCACAGCATAAAGAATTAGTGCCAGTAAAGTTAGATTATAAAATCAAAAATTTGACTAAGACCATAGGAAATAAATCAATAGAATTACAAGATGTAGATTTTAAAATTACTTGGTAAGAACTTGCTTAACTCAAAATACAAGTACAAAATGATATATCAGACAGGAGTCAGACAGGGGAGCAAAGTTAGTAATGTGTTTTATGGGATAAAGGACTTATTAAAGGAATTAGATATGTAGAGCTGTACAAGTAGCTGGGAAACTCAAGGTCTGAAAGGGAAGTTCAAGAATCAGAGGACCTCTCACTAACAAGTCAATATGAAATACCAAACATATCTCTTTATGTAAGGGTTGCTCCTGGGATGCCCTTTGAGAGGCTGTGATTTTGTGTAGCTACAACCTCTGTTGATTCACATCTAAGAATCTTTTGGTGAGTCTTGGGCTGCTGTTGATGGACAGAGGCAACAGTAGGCAAAGGTGTTGAACGTGGAATAGAGCAGATTTAGGACAGGTTGCAAGCCGGCTGGAACCTCTGCATTGATCCGATACTGCATTTGATTATGATGACCTTCAGAGAATAAGGGCCACCACCTTACTTCCTTTTTCCTAGTTACGTACAAGTTCCTCTTTTGGATAATACAGAGAAGGACATCTTGAAAAAAAATGTACTTTTTTGCCTACTCAAGATGACACAATGCAAAACACCACAAATAATTACCAGAATTGAGGAAAATAAGAATTTTCTTTCTCATGAAAAGTTTAGTTGGGAAAGGTGTTCTAGAATAGCCACATTGGATGGGAGGGTAGCAATGTTTCTCCACTCAGGTGAGGGGAGAGTATTTATAAAGCTCGATGAATATCTCCAAAATTTAGGAGTGGCACAGGAGTCTGATGTTTAATTAATTATTTTCCAGAATTAGAGTAAAAGACAAAGGCTGATAAGCTGTTTTGCTGGTAAATTAAAGAACAGCTGCTAATACATTTAGATTGTCAATTTCATGGGTTTGTGACCACTGTAGTTGTATAAGAACCCACATTCAGTGGATCCTTCAAAACTTTACTGTTACTGTCTTGAAATCCTTAATAATTTTATCTTTGAATTTGTGTTTTGTAAGTGAACTCTGATGGGACAATGGAGCATGAGCCAGGAGCATGGGGCCTCAGCTCACATGTGATCTCACCTTTTGCCATCTTGCTCCCCCACTGATACCTAGAGACCACTACACCACCTCTTACCCAGCAGGGGTCTGAGGCCAAATACAAGGAGACTCAGGGTCATATCCTGAGTAATTTTGAGCGCTCTGTGAGCATCCCTGTTTCCAAGGCAGAGTGAAATTAAGAGCAAAGAAAAAACATCATGACAGGTCAAGAAAGAAACCATAGGAAAAAAAATTCTATTATATTTTCTTTTGTTTGTAAAAGGGATCCTGCAAATTAAGTAGCTGACCTGGGGTTTCACTTTCTGGATTTCAGGGCCCACGAATGCATTACCTTTTAACCCAGATCGGAAATGATCCACATGAGCAATGAAAGATGGCAGATGGCTTGAAGCCAAGTGTGCTTTAAGAACACTTGGGTGGGATTCCATTGCATGGAATGAACTTCTAGAACAGGGGTGTTCAATCGTTTAGCTTCTCTGGGCCACACTGCAAGAAGACGAATTGTCTTGGGCCACATATAAAATGCACTAACACTAACGATAGCTGACAAGCTAAAGAAAAAAAAATCACCAAAAAAAATCCCATAATGTTTTTAAAAGTTTACCAATTTCTATTGGGCCTCATTCAAAGCTGTCCTGGACTGTGTGTGGCCTTTGGGCTGTGGGTTGGACAAGCTTATTCTAGAAAGTGAAAAGTTTCATGGGAATTGACAGTTGTAGATTAAATGATCACTTACTATCAGTTAAGAAAGAAATTTCTCTCTTCATTACCACTCCTATTTCCAGACTTCAGTCCTAGAGTGGTCAGTAGAAGCAGTTATCCAATAGGAGAGGGGGTAAGTAAGGTGAAAACTGCTGAAAAGGAAAAGAAACCAAGAATGACCCCTTCCCACAGCCTACAGATGAAAGAGGTAGGGGAGAAAACATATCTGAATTATATTTTAATTAAAATATAGAAATTCATATTATAATTTCTGAAATAAAATTGTGGTTTACAACATAATATAACTATCTGTTAAATACCAATAACCAAAAGAAGTCATGAAAGCTGCTAGATTTTTTTACAGATCTGGAAACTTTTCCTGAATACATATTTAAAGAACTACAGAAGACAAAAATGAAATTGCATTGAATGACAATTAGAGACAAGTTTGTTCTTTCGAAAAAATTGGATATTTGCTTTGTAATTTTCACCAATTTTATTTTCCTGAATTATTTCTATTTTTAATGTAGAAACAAAAGTATCTGAGATGGGTCTAAGATATCAGAGAATTATCTGTATTTGTATTGAGATATATCAAAATATAATGTTAATATGATTTGTCACTGAACTATATGATAACTCAGTCGTACTTCTGTCTTTTAAAATTGGCTACAGTTAAACTTCAATCTGTCAATAAAGTAAAAGCTACCAAAGTGGGAATTCTAAAATTATAACATGTGATAAAATCTCAGGGAGAAGTTTTGGATTCTGTTGTTTTTATTTTCTGCCATTTGTGCCGATTTGAGCGGTAACTGACCTCATGAAACATGGAAGTATTATTTATGTACAAGGAACTGACCCCTGAGAAATTGAAGGTCAGCACTAAAATAAAAATGTAGGGGGAAATGCAACTAATAAAATGTAGGAAAAAAAATGTGAACAGAAAATATAATAAACCTACATGGTGGTGCTTACGTAGATAAAACTGAAAGAGGATTGTAAATAGAACTGTAAGAATGGATTTGTCTACCATTTATTATATTTTGTTAAAAATAAAGAAATTCAATTTACAATATTGAATTTTACTAGACTTTCTGGTTTGAAAAGCTAGAGTTTCTTTTTCCTTTCAGAAGGCTTGTATTCAGGTAATACTGATGAAGAGAATCCTCAAGACCTTTACACTCTGGGTCAGTTCCAAGATGGCTGAGAGCTGTTTCAAACAACCAAAAAACAACTTGATAGGATTGACAATTTCATGTTTTTTAATAAGTGTTGAATGAGACTGCTAACTACAATCAGCAGATATACATATGTGGTGTCATAGATGTTAGGTTTTCAAAAATAAAGAATGTGTTAGAAAAATGCCTGCAAATCATTCGAATGTTACAACCTTTTAAAAAAAATCTGGCTGTTGAGTGCAGACTGTGCTGTTTCACCTTTTATTACAAAGACTCAGTGAATGAAACATATTTGATAGCTTGGTAATAGAAGAAAAATTTGTATTTAAATGAGGACAGAAGACACTGGGCTGGAATTGATATGATTATGCCACAATTGATGAGTCATAACTAATGACAAAGTCTAGAGCTCAGGAAGCAAATCTGACAACGGGAGTGAGAGGAATGCAATCAGCACACTGGGAGGAAGGCAGGTGCATGCCCACAGGTCGTGCCACAGAGGGGTACTTAGCACAACACTTGCTCCTCATTGTGTATCTCTTGGTTTCTAAGCAAAGGTCTTTGGGGAGAAAAGATGTTATTAAATACTATAAAACTGAAACAAAAATAAAATTGAGCCTAGCTAGGCACTTGAAAATATACTAGTCTGTGACACAGTAAAAGAAAAATCATGTGGATAGGCAACAGATAGTTTTGGAAATTTAAAACTCAGGTTTTGTTTTATGTCTTCATATATGATGCTGAGGTAACAGATATAAAATTAGGAATTTGTCAGCAATAGCTCCTCCTGCCTTTATCATATGTTTTAAATGATTTAACAGTGACATTTTATTGTATTTTCTTTTTTATTGAGATTCATTTCCTATCTTGTCTAATATTCTCCTATTCTCCTGATAGTTTACACACAATTATCACAAAACACTAGCAGTTCCATTAATTTTGTCTTCACTATCCTCAGAGACTTTCTGAGGAAATAATAATATTGTTTCTTTTATCTTTATCTCTGGAGCTTAGTAGGGTACCTTGCCCATTGTAGTTGAGAAATGATAAATAGGAATGACTGAAAAAAAATACATTTGAAAGCAGCTTGAACATAAGAAGAAGCTTGAGATATTTATAATATGGACACTTGTTTTTTTCCTAAAGCAAAGCTATTACTATTAGTTAGAGATTATGTAGATTTTAATTTCTTTATAGAAGACAAAATAAAACTAGTAGATTAAAAAAGTTAGTTCCTGCCACTATTCTTCCCCCAACAAGATATCTGGGGACTGAGTGCCAAAATGAGCAAAGAAAGATTCAAGGACCAAGACTGGTGGAATCCTCTCACTCCAGTATTCTTAGAGTCTTGCTTAGGCTTGAAGCATAACACTGTTGTCACATCACTTGACAATGCATTTACGGAATAAGATTCAGTGAGAAAGAACAAACAAGAAGTGATTATATCCTTTAAAGAGCTTTCTCAGAGGCATCGGCTAGTATCTTGTTTGCTTCTCATTTGCCAGAGTTGCATCAAGTAGCTTCTCCCAACTGCTCAGGAAATTGGGAAGTATAGTTTTCTCAACATTTTCATACCACCACAAACACTCCCAAGAATGTTCATAAGCAGTCTGTAATACACAGGACACGTCCCAATGACCAAGAATTATCTGGTCTGAAATATCAATAGTGGTGAGGTTGAGAAAACTTCCTCTGAAGCACCCGGCATTGGGATAAGGTCTCAAAGGAAACGTTAAAAGACAATGCAAAATGAAGAAGAATATGGGGTACCAAAATTATAGTTATCAATCAACCACAGAACTTAGTTTTCCCCAAATATCTGAAAGGTTGTTTGACTTGTCAAAATGGAAACAATGTATTCAGTACTGCTTCAGAAGGCAAACCTAAACCAAAGTTTGAAATCTGTGATGATGAACATATTAAAATTATAGAATCATTTGAAGGTTATTATTATCCAGCAGTAACACAGTAGATGCCTTTACAGAACTGAATGTAATGAGAGACTAGTATTGTGTCCCTTTGTGAAGTCTTTAAATTATAACAGTTTCAAAATATATGAAGATTTTGACCAAATCAGAACAAAGGCCATTCATGATATAAACCACTTTGAGACAGTAAGAGCTATTGGTTGGGTCTATAGGGCCACTAGTCTAGGCCTCCGATAATTTATGCACCAGGAGAAATGTCTTTGAGGAACAGATAATTGCCTGCATGCCTCTCCTAGACATGTTGGTGGAAGCTGCAACAGGAGTGGTTATTATTAATCCCTTTTAGAGGACAATACTAGTCTCACCTCTGAACCACCCATCAATATTGTGCTCAATTAGCACTTTGTTTCAATTGACAATGAAATTATATACTGAAAACAGCATGAATCCATGACCTGACCAGAAGCATTCTCTAGCCAGTGAATGATTTTTCTATCCTTGCCTCCTTTTCAATTTAACAAAAGAGGATAACACTGAATTCAGACTACAGGTGTGCAGATCCTCATTGTTTTAAGTCATCAGAAAGAACACAATTAAAAATTAATTTAAAAACTAGGAATATTTATATCGTCTTTCCTCATAGTTTTCCTCTTCTGGTCTTTTGCCTTAATAGTTATTTACTATTTCTCATTCATATTTGGTAGAAAGTGTCATTATACAATGTATAACAAAGGTCTTGAGAATACAAATGTATAACTCTTTCATATAATTATAATCCAAAGAAATCTTTAATATATTCATGTTAAACATCGGTTTATATGATATTTGCAATCCATGTGAAAAAACCATTTTACAAAAACATTAAAATAAAGCCCAAGTTTTTGTATTTGAGTGATTCAGCTTAAGAAGACTTATATAATTTATGAAATAAATACATATCATTTGAGCATAATGCAACACACCTTTAAAAACCACTTGTTTGAAAAGAAGCAAGGCATATCCACTGATTATATACAACTACTGCTTTCAAAATTTTCACTTTTAACCAGTAGACTTTTCATCAGTGTTTTATATTGTCAGGGTGTTTTTTGTTTTTGTTTTTATGATTTAATGTATTTAACTTGTTTCTCTATTAGAACAGAAAAAACACATACTTCTTTATTTCTTCTGCATTCCTTTCCATTTGTTGGCCATGACAGCAGTTAGATTATACCCCTTTCTACTGAAGCGTTGTGCTAAGTTTTGGGAGGGCAGGAGAAAATATCTTCAGCTTGAAAAAAAAAATACTTGAATAAACAGGTAATTTTTGTATTAAGATATACAATGGTCACTTTCTTTAGTGAGTTATGACAATCTACCTCTGAAGTACAACATGTTAGAGTCATTTGCTCTGGACAAAGTCACTTTCAGGAATGGTTTTATTACAATGAAAAGGAATAGGTATACTGGCTCTTAAGTGCCACTATTGCCCTTTATGAGAATGAGAACTAGATTAGCTGGCACGCTTATATCCCACACTCTTTATGAGCCTTATATGTTTTGGGGTATTTTCATCATTTTAATCTGGATGATGTTATTTTCAGAAACATCCTAAAACAATTTTCAAAGAAGCAAGGAAAAGGTTAACACTGAACTTGCATAATATTCAGTCATGAAAATGCATTTGAATACATTTGTTTAGCAATGCTAACATAGCAATCTTCAGAAGTTGCCCAGAGATATCTTTTGAGGTTTCATATTATGTTAAACATGCAAAAGCATAAAAACAGGGAAAAAGGAAATGGTATAACAATAAAAAGGTTTAAAATGATGAGGAATATTCATTTGCTTCCCTGATTAAAATTAAGTTATATAATTATATAGATACCAATATATTAGAATTGTTATATACAATCTAATTTAAGGCATAAGAGATAAGTGTGTTCAAGGGGAGTAGCGAAAAAAGTGCTCTTAATTTTTCTTTTTGATTTTTTGCTGTGGTTAGTGTTAATACATGTATATTGAATGGATATCTTATTTTTAAACAACAAAACCTTATTTCAACAACACCAATCTACATATACCTGATATTTTATATAATGCACTAATGAAAGCATTGTGATGTTAAAATTAGCATTGTAGAAAGGAAATTGATAAATGTAACTAGCAAACATTAATTTTGGGGGATGAATATTTTCTAATCTATTTCTGAAAAACTATTACTTGGTTATACTAATTTATTTGAGGGTACCTTCCCCTGTATCATTTTTACCTCCACTTTTGAAAGAAGCAAACAATACTCCTTCTGAAAAATAAATTTTAATTCTACAGCTTTCTATGACAACTTTTTTGTTATTCATACCAAAGATGAAGCTATGCCCATACCTTATTGATTATATATGCAAAGAGTTCTCTATCAGGAAAGTTTCAACATGAAAGATTTCTTCCCACTGAGGAGTCTCTCCATTACAGAAGGTCAACTGGTAAATGTTATTCTGTTTCCACTAATAACCATTTGATCCTCTTTTAGATTTTCATTCACTCTAGTGTTAAATGAATCTTTGCTGAAAATTATTAAATCAAAACTATAATACCTTAATAGAGAAAAATGAATGTTATGAGGCAGTATCTCACCATCAAAGTTGCAGGGACATGTCTTTTCAAAGTGAAATATATAGCTTATCTAGTTAACAAAAGGGCAGCAAATTCCTTTGCAGGTCTAAAATTGAGCCAGCAAAGTGGTGGTTTACAAACAGATGCCAGTTTCAATTTTCATGTTAGATGATCAAATATATATTGAGTCTGCATAGGAAATGCTGTTATCACAGGATTCAACACACAATGTCGAATTCCTGCATAGAGAAATTTCATTTTTTCATTACGTTCTGTACATGCAAACTTCCTAGCTAGTGTGGAGAAAACCTAGGAAAAAAAAAAGTTTAAGGTGAACCTTGAAGGATGAGAATGAATGAAGTACAGACGATTATGTAAGGTTTGAAGGCATGACACTGTATACAATTACTGAGTAAGGATGGAACACATCCACACTAGTGATGAGAACAAATTTATATTTTGAGTGCAGTACATCCATTCATTCTTGATTCCTTCTTAGACATTATTTCCTAAAATTGAGCCACAGGATGGTCAGAATGGTCAGATCTGCTACCACAGGGAACTGGGACTTTTGTTTAATAATACATACTCCACAAACATGCACAACCTCTTCTCCTCTTTTCCCCCAGAGTAGCTGATTCTACTACAGTGATTCATATGACCTGGATGGGTAAAGGGGTATATGCAATCAACTGAGTTCATTAGAATAAGTTTTAAAGTGTTAAAGAAATGATGAGGCTGGGCGTGGTGGCTCACGCCTGTAATACCAGCAGTTCGGGAGGCTGAGGCGGGCGGATCAGGAGGTCAGGAGATCGAGACCATCCTGGCCAACATGGTGAAACCCTGTCTCTACTAAAAATACAAAAAAAATTAGCCAGGCGTGGTGGCAGGTGCCTGTAATCCCAGCTACTCCGGAGGCTGAGGCAGGAGAATCGCTTGAATCTGGGAGTGTCGGAGGTTGCAGTGAGTCAAGATCGCCACGGCACTGCAGCCTGGCAACAGAACGAGACCCCGTCTCAAAAAAAAAGAAAAAAAAGAAATGATGACTCCCTGTAACAATTGCCTGGTGACTATATTCAACTTAGATCAAAACAATGCAAAAAATCTACTGTAAACTGTGCCATTTCTGTATCAGGATTTTACCAAGTTAGCACAGGAGTAATTTATATTTTGAGTTTAAACTTTAGAGCAGAGGTTTTAAATGGAAAATTCTGTGACAATAAAAATTTCTATAATATACTGAAACCTTGGAACAAGAATTAAAGGCATACAATGGTATATTTATGGAACTTTTATTTTATTTTGATTAATTTAAATACAAATGTAAATAACCTCATGCGTCTATTGGCTACCATATTGGATAGCACAACTGTACAGCATCAGTAAGATTTAAACTCATACGAGTATTATCAAATCTACTAAAAATAGATAAGACTTTTTCCTATCTTAAAATAGAACTAAGGTGACATTTTTTTTCCACAGCCATATTAATGGATAGCAACCTTTTCAATACTGTTTCCTCATAAGTGTATGGATAAACGGATTCCAAATATATTTGGTTAAAAGCAAGGCAAACAAATATATTGAATTCAGATAAGGACTCTAGGTCAGAGATCAATCGAAAGTGGGTCCTGATTTCAAGACTACATTATTTTGTGCTGAGTGAAACAAATGAAAGCTAACTAAAGTAAGTATAAATGAAATAAGATTTGTAATATAGGTAAAGCAAAGTGCCCTAGGAGAGCAGGAATATTTCTTTCCATTGTCAGATATAAGCATGATATTTGTGGTGGGCCTTGAAAGACTAGAAGAATAAGAGATGTAAACAACAAGACTTAAAGGCATAAAATGGTATATTATATTTATGGACACTTGGAGTTCTCACTATTAAGTGGGAGGTATTGATAAGAACACATGGACATGTAGATGGGAACAACACACAAACCGGGGCCTTCTGGAGTGCAGAAGTTGGGAGGAGGGAGAGGATCAGGAAAAATAATTAATGAGTATTAGGCTTAACACCTGGGTGATGAAATAATCTGTACAACACATCCCCATGACACAAGTGTACCTATGTAACAAATCTGCACCTTTATCCCTTAACTTAAAAGTTATATATATATTAAAAAAAAACAGTGAAGTTTGAAGTGATGCTAAAAGAGCAATCTGGCAATAGGACATGAAAGGTCATGATGCTATGTCTGGAAATCTGAAACTTACTCTGTGGATGATAGAGCCAAAAATATTTTAAGTATAACAACATGATTTGATCTCTGCATTAGGAAGATAGCCCTATGGCAATATCTGGGGATGACTGCAAAGGTAAGAAATTACAGGCAAGGAAACCAGTGAAGAAGTTACTAGCTATAATTCAAGAATGATAAATACTTGAATCAGGCTAGTATTTTAGAAGGTATGCAAAGTAAAGGCTATCTTTCTGGGCCATTGCAAAGTTGGGAGGTGATTACTGAATAAACCAAGCATCTTCGGGAGAGGAGACAAAAACAGTCTGTGCCATTTCATTTCGAGGCCTGGAATAAAGAGTGATGACACTAAGAGAAGGTTTGGTTCTAAAATACTTCTTTATTTTCCTGATTTTTAGGTTTTTTGTTTCAATTGGAAAATTCCTAGTATTTTTGTGATGTCAGTGAAGAAACTGATGATTAAAGAGAAAGAACATGAGTTAAACAGAATGTACAATTCAGAAACTAGGTTTTCAATTATAGTTATATTTTTAGGAAAAAAAGGTAATGCAAATCTAATTTTAAAATTCAGTCAATACGAAAGTGTGTAACACAAAATAAAAAGCAAAATTAACCTCACACCTACCTGTTAAAAGAGTTTCCACTGTTAGTAATTTGCAGTATTTACTTTCATAACTTTTTCTACATATGTATAAACATATATACATTTTTAAAATATGAATTATTTCTCTTCACTGTATATTTGTATGCAGAAATATCTATAATGCATACCTAATAGCACTGCTGAATTATATACTTGCTTGAGTTGCATAATGTTGCAGCCCTACAGGTACATATTTTTATTTACACAACTTGGATGATTTTCATTCAGTGAAACAATTTATTAATTTATTCCTTCCATGTCAATGTACGTAGAGCTTTATTATTATTTTCCATGGTTTTCAGGGTATTCCATAACACAGACACATCACCATTTATTCTTTCTGTAGTAGACATTTAGGGGATTTAAAATGTTTACATTATAAATACTGACAATTTAGTAATTAGTGTCTTAGAGAATTTATTCCAAGTTAAAAACAAAAATAGAGATTTAATGTAAGTCCAACTGAGAAATCTATAAAGTAGGCAAAATTTTAAAGTTATCATACACATAAAAATTCAAATGTATTCTTATCTACTCGTAGTTTTAGTAACTCCTCTGATAAAAAAGAGATCATAGTAGAAATAATCAGATATGAAAAAAATTAAAGATTTAAAAATTTGGTATGTATTACTCTCCACTGAAGACATGATCTTATTGGTAATTATTGGAACATCATGCTATCTACATACCTATTATTTTAGATATTTATCTATCCACATAGTTTCCACGTCATGCTGACACACACACATCCAGGTGTACACACACAATTTGGGCCCTTTTACACTATATCATTTTAAAGTGATACGTGCTGAGATTTCATCTATGAAATAGTCACCCAATTACAGTTCAGAGAATCTCCATCTGAAAAGAGGTGAACACAATTTTCACCTTGTGAATATTCAGAAATTGAATCCAGGGAAGAAATTTACTGCTAGTGAACATTGTTTGTATATGAAAAATGAGAACCTAGGAAGTGGCTATTTTCATAATGATATAAATCTGGAAACACAACTAGAAATACACTTCAGCTAAGTAAGAATTGCAAAGAAATTTGTACTCGTTCAAATGAAATTATTTCCTGGCAGGGAATTTCTTTTTTCAGTTTCTCTTTAATTTCATTCAGCTCAATTCTATTTTGTAATTACCACCTTCATAAAAAGTAATCATAATAACCAGTTCTTCTGAAGATAGAGAAACAAGAATATGGCCAACTAATTACAAACGTTTGGGAACACTTATCAATAAAATGTATAAAACCAATTCATTTTCTGCCAATAACATGATCATGTATGTCTCAAATCACAAAAGACGATGAATTATGCAATTATTTTTCTCTTGAGATCCTTAAAGATTGGAGTAAGAATAAGGAAGTTATATTATTTTTCCATAGGGACTAAAACGTAATCCACATGCTTTAATATAATGGGCTGCTTGTTTGCCTTTCTGTGAGACAAGGCAAGCATATCCACCATACACATGGCATTGATCAGTCAATAAATCTTGCTATGCCAAAACCACAAATTTAATTGGTTCAGCATTAGGGATCCCATATATTAGTTTTTCTCACGACCAATCCCATTTGGGAAGATTCTAATACATCTTCAAATGCAACTTCTCTATTGTAAAACTGATAGGTCTAGAAAATGTGGAGAAATACAGTGGGAGGAGAGGAAAAGGGGAGAAAAGAGAGATGAGAGAGGGGAGAGGGAAGAATGGGGAGAGAGACAATATATGTTTTTAAACATTTGGAAACCATTTGCTTCCTTTTTTCTTTTACATAAGGCAAATAAGACAATATGCATAGAAGTACTTTATGTTTCAATTTTGAGAGGAATAAGTTAAGAAATGTGATCCTAGGCTTATTGTAAGGGATAGACTCATTCTCTTATCTTCTAGGAGCAATTTTTCTTAATGGTTTTTGAAACTGCTGACCAACCATTGTCATTAAAACCCTCTCTCGGTTTCTAAAATACTGAATTTTCCTTATACCTTATAATCTTCTTGACTACTTTGACTTAACTTTTGACTTAGTTTCTATTTACGATCTACCATAAAATAGAAATGTTTATTTAATAATTATTTATATTCTCTCTGTGTGTACACATAAACACACACACACACTTCCACAATCCTGTTAGAAAGTTATTATTTCTAATTTATAATAAGAATACAATGAAATTGTCCATTTAATAGGAAAGCCCAAGATAAGATAGTAAATCCTGAAGCCACAATACAAACACAATTCAGTCTGATTTCTAAGACTATGTTCTCTCGTCACGCCATGCTACATGTGCCCTTAATACCATGGTTCAACGTTCTTCAGTTCTCTTACTGTCATCATTTATAATTGCCTTTTGAGAGATCTCATCCATTCTTAAGATTTGAATGTCCACTTCTGCATGGATGGCATGCAACATCTCCAGTACTGGCATTTTCCATATATTGCAGTACCACTTTGGAAATGCACTGACTCTTTAAAAGCCACATAAATGTTCAGCCATTAAATTCAAAGTTATTATGTCTTAATAAAAATGATTTCCTCCCATCTCAAATCATTATTTTCTTTCAACTATCATATACAATAACCTGTTACACAAATCCGTACGTTGTTTATGGTATTTTGAAACCATATTTTTATCTTCATTCTTGTTTGTAAAAGATAATCTATTATTGAATTCTTTCACACATCACTCTAAACTCCTTTGCATTTTTCTCTTATCCACTTTTACTTTCAAGATTTTTATCTAACCGCTTTATCCCCTACATTGTGATTCATACGCAGCCCCTGGGAAGTGAGGAGTGCCTCTGCCCAACCACGATGCAACCCTCCAGGTGTGAGGTGGCAGCCTTATGTGTGATCTTTCTGCCCTCCCCAAGTTTGCATTTTCGACACTAAAGTTTACTTTTACATTAAAAATAATAATAATAATATAGAAAAAGGTTTTCCTATTAGAGTTTCTGTTTCTAAATTCTGCCTTAAATCCAGGTTTTATAAAACTATCGTTCGGGCATTGTGCCTCACACCTGTAATCCCAACACTTTGGGAAGCCGAGGCAGGTGGATTACCTGAGGTTAGGAGTTCGAGACCAGCCTAGCTAACATGGTGAAACCCCGTCTCTAGTAAAAATACAAAAATAAGGCAGACATGGTGGTGTGCACCTGTAGTCCCAGCTACTCGGGAGGCTGAGGCAGGAGAATTGCTTGAACCCAGGAGGCAGAGGTTGCAGTGAGCCGAGACTGCACCATTGCACTCCAGCCTGGGTAACAGACAGAGACTCATTCTCAAAAAATAAAATAAAATAAAACAAAACTATCAATATTTCTAGTGAAATTCATATCACTCTAATACCTTAAGATATATTATCAAAATCTCCTACTTAATCAAGCCCTGTAATCTCCCAGCAGTGAAACTCATACATACGTGGGACGGGGAAAAAAACAAAAAAACACCTTTTCTTATTGCTGGAAACCTAGAGTAGTTTTGAATTAGAAATTCAGAGTTGCTTTGAGTTACTGTTATTCCATGAGAAAAACAGTATTTTATGGATATTTCTAAACTTAAAAAGATAGATCTAACCAAAGATGGCTTCTCCCAGTGATTTTTGATCTTTCTAGGGGCAGTATATAATCCATTGCAGGAAGCTGTGGTGCTATCAGAAGCTGAAACATCAAGAACCCAGATTATTCACATTCCCCTGCCTCCTATCTCCTCTCTCTCTCCTTCCCCCACTGCCCCACTCATTGATCATTTACTATTTCTTTTCACAGTGAATTATGCTTTTATCATGAATAGTATCTAGGTTTATAAGTGTACAGTAATATAAATTCTAAATTCTTCGGTTTAAATGTATTAATTTTCTCTCATACTTTACATCCTAGAATGATTATCTTGGATTATGGTGTTCCTAGACATTCTTGGAGTATTCTTTATCCCAAACTATTTCAAATTTAGAGCTTCAATATCTAAAAGACTGTTAGTAAAATTAATTTATTATTTTACCTGCTCACCTCTTTGCTACACTGGGTCTTTCCTATCTGTGGATTCTATATCCATGGACTCAAAGGGACACAGATTGAAAATATTTGAGAAAAAACAATAAAAATAGCAATACAACAATAAAAATAATACAAAAATACAGCATAACAACTATTTACAGAGCATTTACATTGTATTAGGCATGATAAGTAATCTAGAGTTTATTTAAATTATATAGAAGGATGTGTGTGAGTTTTATGTAAATACTATACCATTTTTAATCAGGGACTAGAGCATCTGCAGATTTCGATATCTGAGGGGTCTTGAAACCAATACTTCACAAATACTAAAAGAAGATTGTACTTCTGTATCTATCTGTTTTTTGTACAATTGAAAGATTCAGATTCTTCCCTTTTTATCTCAGTTTATAAGCACCCCCCATAGTTTTTCTTTCATCTAAACAAATGATGGACCATTTAAAACAGAAATTTCATGCCCACATTCTTAGTGTTTAAATCTCTTCATTTATGTTCTACCTTCCATGATGATCACAAGTACTGGATCACTGTACCAATTTTTTTTCTCTTTCTGTATCTTGATATCAGAATGACATTAGAGGAAACCACGTATTTGTGTAGATTATGACACTCTAAACCTCATCTGGTCTATATGAACTAGTTAAACATGATCTTTATCAGTCACCTTTTCCATTTCCCACATAAGTTATTCCAAATGGATACAAAGCACCTCAAGTCCCTCATATTTCCACCGCTACAAATGCAAAGGGTGAATATAATCATATGGGAAATTGTGGTTATTAGTAAGATTCCTTCAATGTCCTGTCTGTATCTCTTTATATAACAAATAAAAAGAAAAGCAGCCGAATTAGAATTTTACTCATTTTCACATCTTTTTCTATAGGCCCACAGGATGAGCTTTTCACCATTCCCTTTTTAGAGGGGATTTTTCCACCAGTGACTTTGATTTCTATACTTTCATTTCTACCATAACCTGAATTCTGATCTCAAGTATTTTCAACTAATGTTCAGACACGGTGGCTCTGTCATAGTTCTTACAGTCAAGTCTCTTATTTTTCTCTCACAATTTCCACCTCCGAGTAGAAACTACCCTAAATCCTCGCCTTTCATTTTCAGTCAAGTTTCTGAAAAGAATATTCTATGAAATGTTTTTCAAATCTGGCTTCACATTAGAGTCACCTTGGGGAGGTTTTGAGCCACACTGATGTCCTTTTCCCTCCTCAAGAAATTCTGATTCCGTTGGTCTAGGGTACAGTGACAGGCATAATTTTGTTGTTGTTGTGGTTTTCTCTTTTGTTTTTTGTTTGTTTGTTTTTAAACTTCCCATGGGATGGGATTCTTTTTTTTTTTTTTTTTTTTTTTGAGACGGAGTCTCGCTCTGTCGCCCAGGCTGGAGTGCAGTGGCGCGATCTCGGCTCACTGCAAGCTCCACCTCCCGGGTTCACGCCGTTCTCCTGCCTCAGCCTTCTGAGTAGGTGGGACTACAGGCGCCCGCCACTATGCCCGGCTAATTTTTTGTATTTTTTAGTAGAGACGGGTTTCACCGTGTTAGCCAGGACGGTCGCAATCTCCTGACCTCTTGATCCGCCCGCCTCGGCCTCCCAAATTGCTGGGATTACAGGCGTGAGCCACCGTGCCTGGCCCTTCCCATGTGATTCTTATACGCAGCCGTATTTTGAAACCACTGTTCTACTAACTCAGACAATGGTTTCTCATTCCTCTCTCATGTACTCCAAATACTTTCTACTTCTACTTCTCCCCTAAAACAGTTCTTTTGAAGGGCACTAATATCTCCCTTGATTTCCAAGTCCAGTTAATTATTTTTAGTTTTTGTATTATTTTTTCATACTGAGTCTCAACTTTTCTTTAAAAGCCTTGCTTTCTATGACATCATTCTTTCCAAATCCATTTCTATATTTTTCTCAGTTTTCAGTTCTGGTTCTTTTTATCCTTCCTTCCTCTCAAAGGCCACTGTTTCCCAACCTTCTGCTCTTTGCTCCTTTTTCGTCCTTCTTTGTAAGCACCCTCATGACTCCCTCCTCTTGCAGGGTTCCATTATTACACATTATGTTTCTGTAGCCCGTACAGACTTTTGCTGTATAACATCAGATTCACATTTAAGAACCTACTAATGGCTGGGCGCGGTGGCTCACGCCTGTAATCCCAGCACTTTGGGAGGCTGAGGCGGGTGGATCACGAGGTCAGGAGGTCAAGACCATCCTGGCTAACACGGTGAAACCCCGTCTCTACTAAAAATACAAAAAAAAAAAAAAAAAAAAAATTAGCCGGGCGTGGTAGCGGGCGCCAGTAGTCCCAGCTACTTGGGAGGCTGAGGCAGGAGAATGGCGTGAACCCGGGAGGCGGAGCTTGCAGTGAGCCAAGATAGCGCCACTGCAGTCCAGCCTGGGCGAAAGAGCGAGACTCCGTCTCAAAAAAAAAAAAAAAAAAAAGAACCTACTAAGTCCTTCCAGAATGGTGTTCCAGATCCACCTCAAATACCACGTTTCTGTCAAACAGCAGCTTCTCCACCTGAACTATTCTTTCTTTAGTATCATGATTCCCCAGCCCTGACACTCATGAGAATCACTTGAGGAAATTTAAAATTCTGAGACTGGGCTGGGTGCAGTGGTTCAGGCCTGTAATCCCAGCAGTACCTTTGGGAGGCCGAGACGACAGGATCACCTGAGGTCAAGAGTTTGAGACCAGCCTGGCCAGCGTGGTGAAACCCCATCTCTACTAAAAATACAAAATTAAGCCTGGCATGGTGGTGCACGCCTGTAATCCCAGCCACTAGGAAGGCTGAGGCAGGAGAATCACTTGAATCCAGGAGGCAGAGGTTGCAGTGGGCCAAGATTGTGCCACAGCACTCCAGCCTGGGCAACAGAGGAAGAAAGAGACTCTGTCTCATAAAATAAAAATAAAATTCTGAGTCTGACTTTCAGAAATGTTGATGTAATTGATCTGGGGTACCTAGACATTGAGATTTTAAAAATATTTCAGGTGCCCCTAAAAGGTTCAGGCAATCTGAAAGTTAGGAAGCACAAGAATGAATTTTAGTATCAGGGTATTCAAAGGTGGTTTCATATTAGAATCACCAGGAGAGCAATTTTTAAATACTATTGTAGACCCAAACCCATTTCAACTGAATAAGAATCTCTGAGGTTGGATTTCAGGAATTCGTATTTTTTTAAAGTTCCGCAGGTGATGCTTATGTGTAGGCAAGGTTGAAAACCATTGCTTTAGTAGTTTCATCTCAATGAATGGCACTGTTTTCCACACAATTGCTCATCCAGGACTGGGAGTCATGTTAAACCCAGACTTTATCCTCACCTTTCTCTTATTCCACACTCAAATAAAATCCACATCCCATGAATCCTACATTTATAAAATATTCCTTTTAAACATCTTCTTTTGAATGTCTAATGGCCATTTCAAGTTTTAACATACATAAAATTAAGTTTTTGACATTTCTACCCAAAACAGGACTTGCAAAGTCCAAAATATCATTTTGACATTTTTTCCTAAAATAGTACTACAAATAAAAAATCAGTATTGCCAATTTTTTGAAGCGAACTTATTTGAATAATATAGACTTTTTAAAAAGATCTTTGGATTTTGTTTTTCTTTGTTCCTTTAGGAAAGAGTATTAAATAATAATATTTAAGATTATAGTACTTTGAGTATATTTAGATAGAATGATAGAACAAGAAATTTAAAGAACTTCTGTTGTTGGAAGAAAAAAACTTATAAAAAGATTTCATCTCTTTGTCATGAGTTAAAAACAAACATTTTAAATGTCAATAAATTTCCAAAGGAAATTTGGCTTATAGTAAAAAAAAGGAAGAAGTAGTAGTATATTGAGAGTTAGTCTCAGCTCCTTGAACTTGAGATGTTTCTGTCTATGCCCGTTTCTTGTCTTTTTAAAAATAATTTAAATTTAGAGCAATAATCTGTTATATTATCCTCTGTTTTTAATATTGATTCATATAATTTCTTAGTGTGCTGCTTCTTTTGTTCTTTCAAGAAAAATGAAACTACCCAGAGATGGATTTGCAATCTAGGTTTTCACTACCTTTTGTGCCCCTGAGAGCCAGTAAATCCAGTCTGTTTTGATAATATTTTAGCCATGACACAGGCCAGTCATGGCAAGGAAAAAAAATGAATTCATAAGAAAAAAATCTGTATATTTGTGAAAAAATCAGGATCTATCATATCCCAAGTTTATTTGGTGGCATTAACATATAATAGTCCATTTGCTTACTCCCCATAAATATGTAAAAAGGCAAAGAGAAAGTAAAAAATAAAATTATTCTTCCACTCACACAAGTGGCTGAATAGGCCTAATCAATATTAACTTCATTGTTCCCCCATAATTCTATATGTTTAGCTTTTAAACCTCTATCTTTTAAATATGCTATTTTTATTAATTTGAAGTTAATCAACTAAAATAGGTTCATTCCTTTCACTTTACCAGTATTACAAGTGACTGTCTAGGAGCCTGAGTTCTAATGAGGCAGCCATTCCAAACATGTACAGACAAAGCAGTGGTTTCCCTGGCAACGAGAACCATGAAAAAGCTCTTAGAATAGTTATTCCCACCCTTACACACAACTCCTTTTCATTTCAGTAAAGCTTCCTGTCAGAACACATTCATCAATGTAATTTGCCAACAAAGTTTAAGAGATTAAATCCCCCTCCCCACAAGAATGTAAAAATAAAAAAAACAAAATAAAACCTACAATCAAAAATCAACAGCTATGCTGAAATTGTAGTTAGGTCATGAGGTAATGCTTCAAAGGAAGTAAAGGACATCCTAAGACTCCTGAATACAGTTAACACCACTTTGAACCTGAGATTAATTTTCATTTGATTTTTATCAGAGGATACAGAAGGTAGATGCATCAGGAGGAGGGGCAGGTGCCTTTAATCATTACCTCTAGCATTATCACTTACAACCTCAAAGCAGCTTTTATTTAATTTAGTAAAAGTTTATAAAAATTTAAATTATTGTATGCATCAAATTAAGATTTAAGATGTCCTTCATAAACATTAACCTTTTGTTGGTGATGTTTACCAAGAAAGGTAAACTCTGAAAACATGATGTCATCGTTTCAATTGGTGGAATTAAGTAAAAGATTTTCAAATGAAACACTTGAACCTATTTTCTATCTATGCATGCAGTAGAAAAAAGCACACAAAACAGGCAGCATTTTGTGTCATGTGGCATTTCAAACAAGAGGGAAAACACATCTGGAAATAAAAGGTGTTTAGTTGAAAGAATTGACCTTAAATAAAACAATTGCAACACTTGATTTGGGCTTCTTACTGGAAATCAAATTCTTTGAGTTTAAAATACACCTACTAAATGTAATACAAAACCAAAATAACACACTTTCAGCATTTCTCAAAATGTTAGCACCCAGCAAATGCAGAGTTTACAGTTCTAGTGATTTTCCCTGTTCTTTTCATGGAATGCATATCTAACCCGTTTTTCAGCCAGCATGCTACAGCAAAGGAAGATTCATGTTGTCCAGGGCTATTTCTTTAAAACAGTATGGAAATTACTTTTACCATAAATTAGGTTGTGCTTTAATGCTGAGAAAGGTCTATTTTGCCTTCATTTTGACCCATGACATACTTAGCCTTACAACAGCATAATGAGCATAATGAGGTCAAAACTAACACTGCAAAATAAAACACACACCCCCACACAAACACACATTATTTCTCAAGGAAGATGAAAAAAAAAAAAAAGGTCACATTGATTTTCTTTTTTTTAAAGCGGGACATTCTCACTACTTTTTTCACCTGAAGATTGAAAAGGAAACTCATTTCAGTTTGTAACATTGCACTGACTGTTCCAGACACAAAATGAATCAAGTCTCCTGTTGGATTATGTGGTTAGCATTTCTTCTCTTCTCTGGTGAGATAATTCGTTACTTAGGACAGCTGTGGTATAAAAACTCAAACATTGTCTTTTGCAGAATGGATTTGAAAAGTGGGCCCCCATTCTATTTTTGTTAGAAAATAATAAAATCACAAATTTTATCATGTATCAAAAATGAAAAGTGAAATATAAATGTGAAAGGTCTGATATTTACTTAATGAATATTTACCAAATACTTAGCATTTGCATATTAAGTACAAGCCTCAGGGAAAAAAATGTAGCCGTGTTTAAATCTCAACTTTATTTCTTCCCCTTGCTTTATTTTTTGAAAAATAAGAAATATTCACATTAAAGAAAAAAGAGAACATATTTAAAAATATTTTCATCTATATTCTAGTCTAACCAGAGTATCTATAATTTATATTAGTTACCAAATGTATTAGACAAATTAAAACACAAGAGTTTTTATTATTATAATGCTTTTTTAAAATATGGACATTCACAATTTTATGCTTACAAGAGAATATATAATTCAAGTACTCCCATGAAATAAAGTACCAGTTCTCTACAATCAAACCTACAGTGCTAAACGTCAGCTGAAAATTACTTATAAAACTTTCAATTAAACTTTTACTAGTTTAGGTATTCTCTTCATAGTTGAGAATATAATGCAAATAAAAGTTGAGTATGCCTCCCTGCCTCCAACTAGGACATAAAGTTGATCTTCCATGTCATGTTTCTTAAAAGTAACTCTAAAATAAGTTTCTTTCAAACCTTCTAAATTATTCTCTTTCCCTAATGGCTTGTTGTATTCTTCCCCAGCAGAAATGACTAAAATAGCCCTATTGCACTTAATCTAATTAGGGATTTTTGGAGAAATGGTGGTTACATAGTTCTCATTAACTGACTAAAAAACTGTACCATCTCCAGAGGTATAGATATTAAAAAGCGGGGGAGGGGGATGATTCCTTTTAAAGCTCCAGAAATGAATGTAAGTGTTCATATTCTGGTACATTAACAGTTTGTTCCAGTACATTGATATTTTATGTGGAAGCCCTACTCTGCAATTAATATGCCTGATGCAAATTGAAAAACCCATAATCCATCCTTCTCTGTTGGAATGTAAGAGTATATTATTATTGAGAAGCTACAGGATACCAGAACCATTTTTTAAACTTGACTGCTCACTACCTTAAATCTGCATATAAAACAGTTTTGCATTCAGACGAGGTAATACATACCGGAATATATTGTGGCGCATATTAAAAAAAGTGCTCCAAATAAAAACGACCTGTGGGCTTCCTTTGTAGAAGAAATTTATGCAGTTCCAGGCATTAGGGATTAATGATAGCTAAGAGCAAAAGAGAAGGAATGAGCATTAAAACATTGTGCCTAACTTTCCTGACTACCCCAAGGCTAAAAGACAAAGTGAATTGTCAAATCTCCTTAAAGGTAAGGACTATGAATTTATATTAAGTAAATATGATATTTGGGGATTGCATCTGGTTCTGTCACATTAGTATTCAGAATATTTCTTATAGCTTTAAAGGAGAAAAGACAACCTTAATGGAGGTATGAGAGAAGAAAGATTTTAAAAATCCTTTGTTTCTAACAGCTTAGAGAGCCTCTTTCCTTTGTCTTGTTTCCAAAATTATGCATACAATTCTTCACAGGACATAAAATGCTATTGTCTGCTATGACTGACAAAATCCAAGATTTTAATGAAATTATACTGTAACTATTTTAAAGGGAAGGGGAATCACACATCCCTAAGAGATTCAAATGTAATATATTCTCAAAAATGGAAAGATCCCAGGGATACAGATTTCTTTCTTTCACGGATTTCTCCTAAGCCTGTTCAATTCATTTGATCATCACCGCCTGTGATCTGGGTTTTATTAACATTTCAGCATTTGATTGGACCCTTCTTACCTCTCTGTCTATCCATCACTTAAGACATTTAGTGCTGCCTACTGGCAGTTATCTGTGTAATTGTTTTATTTCACTCACTAAGTGATAAGATCCTTGAGGCAAGACGCTATGCCATATGGCCTGTATCTTCCACAACAAGTAATCACATTGATTCAAAAGATTCCCTCACAATACATTTTTATTGCAAAAATGATTTTGTATTTATCCATTTTGGAAAAGAAATTTTATCTCTTGAGCCCCTAAAAATGGAATTGTACACATTAAGACCCTTACACATATCACATAATAATCTTCAGGGTCAAACATTATAGTTTTCACCTGCTGCTATTCCTTTGCAGTAGACTAGAATAGAGAATTATATAAAACTTCTATGACTGTCAAAAAAATGATATATTTTTTGAAATCATGTAAAATCAACCTTCTTTATTTTACAGATATAGAAATTTAGATCTGTAAGGACCATCAGTGTGGTGAAGGTCACATGGTAAGTTAATTACAGAATCAAATTTTTCCCTTTCATTTCAATCTGTTTTTAAGTTTTACATGATTCCACTTTCAGGAAAAAGCAATTAAAATACAGACTGGCTTTGGTAAGAGTGATATATATTTTTATGTTTCAGACCAGCATGTTGTTTCATGCTGATGTTAAAAGATAATGGTTGATATCAGATAAATACCCACACATACACACAAACACAAACTAACTTGGGGTCCAATAAAATAAGACTGGGTGGTTCACATATTTTTCCATTAGTGCAAATATTTTACAGAGATAATTTTCTTTGATAAAATCTGTGTTCTTAAAACTGATTAACACATAGTCCTTACTAGAAACTCTTTACAAAAAAAAAAAAAAAACAACAACAAAAAAACAAAAATGAGAGTGCAAAAATTGAGAGAATAAGTCAAAGGAGAAAGAGAAGTTCTCCCATAACTGAAATTCATTGTACCTGTACATTAATCAAAGAACAAAATTGACTGTCATGTGATTTGACTCATGCTAAAATGTCCCTCACAATGAAAATAATCTCTTTTATTGGCCCCTCACAGTGTTTAAAATTTTTCACCATTTAAAAAAAAATTGACTTAAAATACTTCATCTTCTGACATTTTTGTTCACAAAAATAGTAAAAGTAAAGGAAAAAGGTAGATAATATACCAACTTTGCAGGGTATTGCAGGAAGTTCAGAGAGGGAAAGAAAGAGGAACTATAAATAGTTATCATAAATTACAGCTAAATATTTTAGTTTAGCATAAAGAGGGTATGATGAATGTAAACAACATCACATATAGTTCAAAGTAGAGTTGTGGAATTACTTTTCCATGACAATGTTTAAGAATTGTACAGCTTTGCTGTTATCTAGTGATGTGTCCCCACCCAAATCTCACCATGAATTCCCATGTGTTGTCAGAGGGACCTGGTGGGAGGTAATTAAATCATGGGAGCAGGTCTTTCCCATGCTGTTCTCATGATAGTAAATTTCATGTGATCTGATAATTTTATAAAGGGAAGTTTCCCTGCACAAGCTCTCTTCTCTTGTCTGCTGCCATGTGAGACATGCCTCTCACCTTCTGCAATGATTATGAGGCCTCCCCAGCCACATGGAACTGTAAGATCATTAAACCTCTTTCTTTTGTAAATTGCCCAGTCTTGGGTATGTCTTTATCAGCAGTATAAAAACAGACTAATACAGTAAATTGGTACCAGGAGTGGGGTGGGACTCTGCTCTAAAGATAACTGAAAATGTGGAAGCAACTTTGGAACTGGATAACAGGCAGAGGTTGGAACAGTCTGGAGGGCTCAGAAAACAACAGAAAAATGTGGGAAAGTCTGGAACTCCCTAGAGACTTGTTCTACGGCTTGACCAAAATGCTGATAGTGATATGGACAATGCAATCCAGTCTGAGGTGGTCTCAGATGGACATGAGGAACTTGTTGGAAACTGGAACAAAGGTGACTCTTGTTATGTTTTAGCAAAGAGACTTGTGGCATTTTGCCCCTGCCCTAGAGATTTGTGGAACTTTGAACTTGAGAGAGATGATTTACGGTATCTGGCAAAAGAAATGTCTAAGCAGCAAAGCATTCAAGAGGTGACTTTTTAGCCGGACATGGTAGTGTGCGCCTGTAGTCTCAGCTACTCGGGAGGCCGAGACAGGAGAATTGCTTGAACCCAGGAGGGGGAGGTTGCAGTGAGCTGAGATCATACCCCACTGCACTCCAGCCTGGGTGACAGAGTGAGACTTCCAAAAAAAAAAAGATGTGACTTGTGTGGTGTTAAAAGCATTCAGTTTTAAAAGGAAAACAGATCATAAAAGTCTAGAAAATTTGCAGCCTGACAATGTGATAGAAAAGAAAATCCCATTTTCTGAGGAGAAATTCAAGCTGGCTGCAGAAATTTGCATAAGTAGCAAGGAGCTGAAAGTTAGTCACCAAGACAATGGGGAAAATGTGTACAGGGCATGTCAGAGACCTTTGTGGCAGTCCTTCTCCTCACAGGCTGGGAGGTTTTAGAGGAAAAAATGGTTTCATGAGGCAGGCTCAGGTTCCCTCTATGTGCAGTCTAGGGACCTGGTGCCCTGCATCCCAGCTGCTCTAGCCATGACTAAAAGGGGCCAAGGTACAGCTCAGGCCGTGGCTTCCAAGGGTGCTAGCCCCAAGCCTTGGCAGGTTTTACATGTTGAGCCTGAGGGTACACAGAAGTCACGAATTGATTTGGCAACCTCTGCCTAGATTTCAGAGAACGTATGGAAGCACCTGGATGTTCAAGCAGAAGTTTGCTGCAGGGGCAGGGTGCTCATGGAGAACCCCTGCTAGGATATTGTGAAATGGAAATGTGGGGTGGGCACCCCCACACAGAGTCCCCACTGGGGCACTGCCTAGTGGAGATGTGAAAAGAATGCCATCATCCTTCAGACCCCAGAATGGTAGCTGTACCGACAGCTTGCACTGTGCACCTGAAAAAGCTGCAGACACTCAATGCCAGCCCATGAAAGTGGCTGGGAGGGAGGCTGTGTCCTGCAAAGACAGAGGTGCAGAGCTGTTCAAGACCATGGGAACCTCCTCTTGGATCAGTGTGACCCAAATATGAGACATGGGGTCAAAAGAGATCATTTTGGACCTTTAATATTTGACTGCCCTGCTGGATTTCAGAATTTCATGGGGCCTTTGTTTTAGCCATTGTTTTTTCCATTTGCAACAGCTGTACTTACCCAATGCCCGTACCCCCATTGTATGTAGGAAGTAACTAATTTTCTTCTTATTTTACTGACTCATAGGTGGAAGGGACTTGCCTTGTCTCTGATAAAACTTTGGACTGTGAACTTTTGAGTTAATGCTGAAATGAGTTAACACTTTGGAGGACTGTTTAAAAGGCGTGATTGGTTTTGAAGTGTGTGGACATAAGATGTGGGAGGGGCCAGGGTGAAATGATAAGGTTTGGCTGTGTCCCCACCCAAATCTCATCTTGAATTGCCATGTGTTGTTTGAGGGACCCAGTGAGAGGTACTGAATCATGGGGGCAGGTCTTTCCCATGCTGCTCTGGTGACAGTGAATAAGTCTCATGAGACCTGATGGTTTTATAAAGGAGACTTTCCCTGAACAAGCTCTCTTCTCTTATTTGCTGCCATGTGAGATTTGCCTTTAAACTTCCAACACAATTGTGAGGCATCCCCAGCCACCTGGAACTGTAAGTCCATTAAACCTTCTTCTTTTGTAAATTGCCTAGTCTTGGGTATATTTTTATCAGCAGCGTGAAAACAGACTAATACAGCTAGGGTGGTTAAGATAGAGATATGGGCAAGATAGAAATCCTTAACAATAAATACATACATTACATTGTTTCTTCCATCTAGGATGGTTCTTTTAACCTACAGGTAATCACTTTGTGTGTTTCATTAAGGTATTTTCAAAATCTCTTTGAACAGCATAACTTTTAAAAGCAAGTACTAATACTTTATAAAAGTATTTCATAAAGTAGTTTACAGTAACTGAGGTTGATTTGTGCCGTTAAGGAAAAAACTTTTACTTTTTTATTACTAAAAATGTATGTAAATCTCACTGGCACTGAATGCATTTTTCAAACAAATAAAGAGGCTTGAAATGGTGAACAGCTATTCTTTTCTGCCTACTAGGGATGAGAAAGTACAGGCTGTTTTCAAATTAAAACCGGAAGCATATACAATGAGACATTATGTGGACTGTTGTGACTATTAGGGTTGTTAGATCATGTGCTGTGTTACTGTGGGATGTTTGGGAGGATCCTTTGAATATATTTTATTATCAAAAATTTTATTTTTCTGATGTATATAATCAGAAACTCTTGAAGTAGACAACTATATAAATATTAAATGCTCACTTCCAATATAATATTCATTTGATTAATAAAACTGGAGACAATTTATCTTAGTTGGTGGATTATACTATACTCATCCTTGGTAGATTATACCATAAAACTGAAGTATTTCCACCTCAGGAAATATTCCCACCAGTTAAGTTGATGTGCATTGCCAGAGTATAGTTACTTTGTTGAATTTCCACATGTAAACTCTTTTATTGAATTAGATATGTAGAAAAGTCATTGTTCTATGCTTCATCACCAGTTACAAGTGGCATTTGTTCTTCTCTATATAAACTTAACATAGAAAAATTATAACCTACCTATCTGTATATTCTACACAATATAACTGCTAATTTTATCATCGGTGAGATGGTACAAATAATTCAACTGTCAAATTAGACTCATATGAAATAGAAATGTTTAATCATTTTTAGGATATAAAAGTCTAGTGTCTAGAGGCTCAGGGAGAACTAAGGTGAGAGGTTGAGTATTCACTGGATCTCTTCCTACTACGATAAATAAGTTCTGGCACATTACTTACACAAAAGATAAAAAGTATCAGTAATAAACACTTCCATTTTATAATCAAATAGGCACAAAGGATGCATAATATTTTCCAGGAAGCGATGCCCCATATATCCATAGATTCTAGGGTTGCTTTTTTTTTTTTTTTAACACAGGAGATGCTAAACAACCAAGTACATGCTGCTAAAAACACCTTGCAGATAAAAACCCTCCCACTAGCTAACGTAACTAGCTTGTTTGCAAAAAGTCTGCTTTTAGCATGTTTACAAATGTATTAGTCTGCTAGGGCTATTATAACAAAGTATCATCAACCAGGTGGCTTAAGAGTGGGAATTTATTTTCTCACAGTTCTGGAGGCTAGAAGTCTAAGATCAAGGTGTCAACAGGTTTGGTTCCTCCTGCGACCTCTCTCCTTTGCTTGCACATGGCTGCCTCCTTACTGTGTTCTCACATTGCCTTTTCTTGATGCAAGCACTTCACTGGTGTCTTTTCCTCTTCTTAAAAGGACACCAGTCCTATTGGACTAGGGTCCCATTCATATGACCTTAATTAACCTTAATTACCTCTTTAAAGGCCATATCTCCAAATGCAGTCACTTTGCGGGTTAGAGACTCAACATATAGGTTATAGGGGAACTTGATTTATTTCATAACAACAGGGATATGACTTTTATTTCCTTGTCCTCTATATAAAGGAAGAGCCTAGATAGCAGATCTGCTTCCCATCCTTTTTTTCTCAACGAAGAAGGATTTATGTTTTCCAAAAACAAAAAAAAACAAAAAACTCTTGAATTTTATCTCACGAGAGCAAATAAATTCAATCATTCAGCCCCTAAATGCCTCAAAAGTCTGTAGAATAGAGCAGCTTCAAAAGAACAAGTGGGAAGTAATGAGGAAGAGTAAGAGACAAAGCTTCACAAAGGCTGTGTTAAAGAAGAACTCTTACTCCTAGTGAATTCTGAGATGATATCACAGACTCAATTTATATGCAAACCTGAATTTAAGTGTACTAAAAATATAAAATTCACTTTGGAGCTAATGAAGTAACTTTTCATCCAAAAAAAATATATTACTTTAAGTATTTCTCCTGTAGTAAAAGTATTTACCGTTTTATTCATAGCTTTGGATTGAGCAAATATATCTTAAGATATATGTGTCATAATATAGACTATAACATAAAATGCGGGTGAACACAGTAACTCACTTTTACATCATAATCAAGTCATTAGCTTCTCATTTCCGCAATTAAAAGAAATATGTCTTATGAGCTATTCAAAATCTTAGGTTAGAGAAAGTTACCAAGTAATTAGCTGCCATTCTGGACACACAGAAATTAGAGTAACAAAACCAGTTCACACATAGATACATTCTTTGAGAGACAGAATAGTGGATTAACCACAAATATAAAGTAGAGAATGCAGAGAATGCCCCTGATGGAATTCTCAAGAAAACAATTTCTAGTGCACACAGTTGGCTGCCTAACCCTCTTACATTTTCCTTATCTTTCTTTTTTTTAACAGAATCCATATTTTATTCAGATATCCATTCTATCTGTAAATCGTCCCTGTGTTTAGGGAAAGATCAGCTTTATCCATAGAAGGGATATCTGAATAAAATAAACAGAACTCCCCAGTTCCAGAGTTGGGCCTCAGTTACTCTTAGACAATGTGGGTAATTATTTTCCCATTGCTCCTGGTTGTTTCAAAAAATCAGACATACATCAGTCAGTACCTGTGTTTGTAAATTGTTATCTGGGAATAAGCAGACAGTGCAAATAGTTTCTATTATAATATAAAGAAGGAAAGACTTCTATTCATAAAAGGGGAAAACTCTTTCCCTTGTATTCACTGGATTTGAATGAGAAATCCTGTACTGCTCATTGCTCTTACCAGCCATTGCATACTACAAGGGGAAGCAGAAGTAGGATGAAGCTAATAGGTGAACTGCAGGGTGGAGAGGCAGAAAGAATGTGCTTCCTTGCTGAGATCTCTGAACCATAAATCAAGCAGAGCTGAAAACTTTTCTACCTATCTACTTCAAATATATAATATACAATCTCTTCATTGTTTAGGTGGGCTTTATTTGCAGGGTATAAGCTGTAAGCAAGTACTAATACTTTATAAAAGTATTTCATAAAGTAGTTTACAGTAACTCAGGTTGATTTGTGCCGTTAAGGAAAAAACTTTTACTTTTTTATTACTAAAAATGTATGTAAATCTCACTGGCACTGAATGCATTTTTCAAACAAAGAGGCTTGAAATGGTGAACAGCTATTCTTTTCTGCCTACTAGGGATGAGAAAGTACAGGCTGTTTTCAAATTAAAACCAGAAGGGCCAAAGATGTAAATAAATGTGACTGATAGAGGACAGCATAAAAGAAAAAATAAGTTTTTTTTTTTAAAGCAGGACTGTGAGAATTTTAATAGAGTCTAGATTGGTGAATAAAAAAGAATAGAATATCCCAAAAAGTGTATATTAATGCTCAAACCAGTAAAGAAATATGAGTTACCACTTTGTGGAAAAATAACATGGGTAGATTCATATGCCCCTACTGCGTGTAAGATTATTTTTAAAGAGATTAAAGCATTAAATGTAGAAAATAAAACCACAAAGGCTCTAGAAGTAAACATAGGACATTTCCTTTATAACCTTTAAGTGGTTAAGGTATAAGTAATTATAACTAAAAGTCTAGAAGCTAAAAGATTAAAAAATGGGTATATGTGAATACAGTAACAATAACTTCATGAAAAAATATTGTAAACATTCACTTCTCAGTCTTTTGGCTAAGATCAAGTGAAATATTGTAAACAAATTGAAACTACAAGTAATCAAGTAAAGAATAATATTTACTCTTCATATAGTATAATTTCTTTACTATATGAAGTGTTTCTAGAAATTTATGAGCAAAAGACTCAAACTCAAAAGAAATATAGGCAAGTATATAAACAATTGATAGAAAGTAAATGCAGGCCGTCGCGGTGGCTCACACCTGTAATCCCAGCACTTTGGGAGGCTGAGGCGGTTTGATCACGAGGTCAGGAGATCGAGACCATCCTGGCTAAAGCGGTGAAACCCCGTCTCTACTAAAAAAAATTAACCGGGTTTTGTGGCGGGTGCCTGTAGTCCCAGCTACTCGGGAGGCTGAGGCAGGAGAATGGCGTGAACCCGGGAGGTGGAGCTTGCAGTGAGCCCAGAATGGCGTGAACCCAGAAGGTGGAGCTTGAAGTGAGCCAAGATTGTGCCACTGCACTCCAGCCTGGGCAACAGAGTGAGACTCCATCTCAAAAAAATAAATAAATAAAATAAAAATAAAAAATTAAGTAAATGCAAATGACTTTTAAGTATACAAAAGTGTATTCAAGTTCAACCATAATAAAACTACAAATAAAACTCTATCAATATTCTTTCACTTATTAGAATAGCATATTTAATAACACAAACTTCAGCAAACATATAGAGAAGTAGGTACTACCATTCATGCATCCACATGATTGGAGTATAAATTAGTACATATTTATCAAATAAAAAATGCATGTGTGCATGTCCAATCAATTATACTCTAGGCAGATTATCCTAAATAACTACTTACATATAAAACGACATATATGACTATATTCATTGCAGAAAAATATATAAGAACAAGATTCTGAAAACAACAAAGTTTTTAATATAGTACGACTTAATGATGACACATCCCTTTGATGTTCTGCAATAGTAAAAATACTGAAAATTTTCTATATGTATTAATGTGGAAAGTTTTTCAAGATAAATTGCTAACGAATAAAGCAATGTGCCAAAAGGATACGTGTTATGCTGTCCAAATAAAGGAAATCAATAATGTATTTTGTTATCTCTTATATATACATAAAATACTTAAGACACCAAGAAGCTGTTGTTAAGAGGTAAGAACTGGGCAGACAATAGAAAAGGATAGAATGTGGAATTTTCCAATTCTGTATCATGTAAATGCATCACCTGTTCAAAAAATAATGTTCACGGTTCCCTACATTTTCTGAGAAATATCCAACTCTTTAGCCAGTAATTTACAGCCTTTCAAAATTGTTCCGGTAATATTTCATTTTTCTTGCTCATGCTAAACCACCTTCTCATCAAACTATTCAGTACCTTAAATTCTACTAAAATTTCTTTGTGGCATCACACACATACCCATTTCGATACACTCTTTTTCTATTATCACCTGTAGAAACCTACATAACTTCACAGCACATCTCAGATGCCAGCTCTTTCAAGATCTTCTCTGATAAACCCAAGGAGAAATAATTTTTCCCTCATCAAAATCCTTAGTGCACTTGGGATTACATCACATATTCTTCTTATAGGAGTGGTCTTTCTATTAGCATTGAAGGTCCTTAAGAGCAAGATTGCTTTTTAAACATCTGTATTTCTTAAAGTATTCTGTGCAAAATACTATGCTAAACCCTGTATTTACTCAAACATTTTAGCTTAATGAATTAAAATATGACTCAAAATGGAATGGTAAGTTGTTCCATCTTAATATATTAAGAAATATCACCAACAGCAACTACATCAAGAAACCAAGAAGACGACCTTTAATGGAATATTTGATGGACGCTGAAGTGAGTCTATTAACAAAAACAAACAAAAAGAATCAGGGACTACATTTGCCATTAATTCTAAAATTGTTGCCATTTAGGGCCTCACTGAAATATAGGGCCAAATAGCTGTTGCTCTACCAGTAGCAGTTCTCATATTAAATGATGAATTTGCAAGGCATGCCCCCTAGGATTTCATCTGTTCTCCTTGAGAAAATGTCAATAACTTCTATAAAGAAAGAGTGGCCCTAGTTAGAGTTTTTTAGTTCCAAGTCTATGTTTAACCCATTAAGAAATAATTCATACTTAGTATATATTTTTAAAAAACACTAAAATATAGTCTAAATTTTCCTGATTTTTTAAACTATGTAGGAATTATATAATAAAATGTGATTACCTAAGAGAATGTTCTGGTTTTTAGGACATATACAATAAAGTACTTAGGATTAAAATAATAAGATGGCTCCAATTTGCAAATAGTATAGAAAGGAGAGAGAGAGAGAGAGCACACTACCAATATATTCAAATGTAATTTAGAAAAAAATCTGGATAAAAGGGTATATAGGACTTTCTTCTACTATTCTTGCAACTTCTTTCTAAGTTTAAAATTATGTCAAAATGGCTGGGCGTGGTGACTCACACCTGTAATCCCACCACTTCGGGAGGCTGAGGCAGGTGGATCACCTGAGGTCAGGAGTTCGAGACCAGCCTGGCTAACATGGTGAAACCCTGTTTCTACTAAAAATACAAAAAATTAGCCTGAATTGATGGTGAGCACCTGTAATTCCAGCTACTCGGGAAGCTGAGGCAGGAGAATCGCTTGAACCCAGGTGGCGGAGGTTGCAGTGAGCCAAGATTGTGCCACTGCACTCCAGCTTGGGCAACAAGAGCAAAACTCCATCTCAAAAAAACATAGTATATAAAAATAAGAGTTACACACACACACACACGTTAATGTCCAACCAGGCAAACTGAGTCTATGTTAAAATTCGGTCATCACCTGTAAACTAGTTCAACCATTGTGGAAGTCAGTGTGGCGATTCCTCAAGGATCTAGAACTAGAAATACCACTTGACCCAGCCATCCCATTACTGGGTATATACCCAAAGGATTATAAATCATGCTGCTATACAGACACATGCACATGTATGTTTATTGCAGCACTATTCACAATAGCAAAGACTTGGAACCAACCCAAATGTCCAACAATGATAGACTGGATTAAGAAAATTTGGCACATAGACACCATGGAATACTATGCAGCCATAAAAAAGGATGAGTTCATGTCCTTTGTAGGGACATGGATGAAATTGGAAATCATCATTCTCAGTAAACTATTGCAAGAACAAAAAACCAAACACCGCATATTCTCACTCATAGGTGGGAACTGAACAATGAGAACACATGGACACAGGAAGGGGAACATCACACTCTGGGGACTGTTGTGGGGTGGGGGGAGGGGGGAGGGATAGCATTAGGAGATATACCTAATGCTAAATGACAAGTTAATGGGTGCAGCACACCAGCATGGTACATATATACATATGTAACTAACCTGCACATTGTGCACATGTACCCTAACACTTAAAGTATAATAAAAAAAAAAATCTCAGAAACTAGAGTCAGAAGAATAGCCAAAAAAAAAAAAAAAAAAATTCAGTCATCACTATCTTTAATGGATGGAATGGAGTTTAGAGTAAATAGTGCAGGGAAGGTAGGGTTATGAGGTTTTAGTGTTCTCTTTCTTAATCTGCATTCTGATTACCAGATTATTGTTCACTTGATAAAATTTTATCAAATTGTGCCCTGATAATCAGAATGTAAGAATGTCACATTTTCTGTAAGATATCCTTCAATGAATTTTAACAAAAATATTATGAAAAAATAAATTTCTCTTTTTTTTACTTGATTACCCTATTATAGAATGCATATGTTTAGTGACTTTGTATAGTGATAAGAAAATACCTCAAACAGGATTTTAAAAAACGTAAAAAGATGTAAATGACACTTTTCTTTATTTTTTATTTTATTTATTTATTTATTTATGATAGGATCTCACTCTGTCACCCAGGCTATAGTGCAGTAGCATGATCACAGCTAATTTCAGCCTTGACCTTCTGGTCTCAAGTAATCCTCTCAAGGCAGCCTCCCATTTAGCTGGGACCACAGACACGTGCCACTATGTCTGGCTAATTTTTTGAATTTTTGGTAGACAGGGTCTCACTTTGTTGCCTAAGGTGGTCTTGAATTGCTGGGCTCAAGCAATCCTTCAGCCTCAGCCTCCCAAAGTGCTGGGATTATACGCATGAGCCACCAGGCCCAGCCACTTTTCTTTAATTGAAGTGCTATAGCCAATACCAAAGTTGATGGCCTCCCATCCAACTTACAATTTACAGTATAGCACCTATACATTTAGTCTGCTGCTCTAAATGTCTCCCAGTAATCAAACTGTGTGTGAAATTCATAGTATGGGGCATACTATTTTTTAATCATTCTAACTACTGTAATTATGTCCTTATCTGTATTCATGTCCTGAAAGTTTATGCAAGTAAAATTAGCATAATGACATTTAAGTTATTTCATGTTTATGTGCATGCATTTACTGGACATTGCTATTTTTTACAACCTTACATTTTAAATTTCTACTTTTCATCCAAGAACTCTCTCAAAATGTTTGACTTACCTTCTTTTGTTTTTACATTTTTCTGTTCTTCAATTTTTTCATTCATCCAACATATACTTAAATATCTAAGTTTTAAGGTAACTATATGTGCCGGTATATTTGCCTATAAATCATCATGCACATAGAAAACACTTTTAGAAGCTTCCTCTTTCATACCAAATTCAAACCATAAGGTCTAAAGGAAGTACTTAGAGGTTGTGGTATACACACATTTATTTTACTGAAAACTGAAAATAACGCAGACAAAAGGATGAAACTTATTGGGAATTGGTATGATATATAAGATATCTTTCACTCAGAAAAAAAGTAAGAATATACCATACTAAGTTCATTTTCTTCAAAAATTTGGATCCTTTCATTTTCTAGGGCTGCATATCCTTTTTCCTAAAGAGGAACTCCACATTTTATAAGTTGCAGTTCCCATAAAGACTAGATCTGTCCCTAGTTTTGATGAACTATACCTGGGAAACCAGAGGTATGGCAATCCTAAAACAAATATAGGAAAAGAGTTCCAATAGACACAGATTCCCTTCCCCTGGTGAAAATGAAGATAGAAACAACAACAAAAAAAGATATTATGTAATATAAAATAAAACAAATGTTCATTATATTTGAACCTGTATTCTCTTTTCTAAACTGAGTTTCAGAGGGCAAGGAACATGTCTGTCAGATACTACTTTCTATCCAGTACACATAGTAGCTGCACAATAAACATTTATGACATGAATTAATTAGCGTTTCTCTGGCCTGCCAATGCCCTGTATATAGAAAATCTGTAAATTTCCACTAACTTTAAAAATACTCATATTTTCCTGGAACAGAAAGTAAAGATTACATGGCAGACAAAATTGCATCTGTCTACTAATGATTACCATGTAATCTCTACTAGATGGCCTTGTGGTTCTCAGTAAGAGTCAAGTGACAAAGGAGACAGAGGGAGCAAAGCTGAAAGACTTTAATAAACTCTCTTTGCAAATAATGTTTTTATTCAATGTCAACTTCTTATTAAAACATCCCAGGGCTTGACTCTTCTGAGTCTTTTATATACTTTTTTTCTACAACAAAGGAGAAAGCAATCACTATTGATTTGGGCACATATCAAAAAATGAAAAAAGAGAAATAAATAAATAGTTGCATTTCAATTGTGGCCACCATACAGCTAATAGTTTATCATAACTCTTAAAGGTTGGTCCCTAGGCTCTTATACAGGTTCACCCTTTGCTGACCTCTTACAATCTTTCTGTCAGCATTTTGAATGCTACTGATTCTGTGAGTAATATTTTCAACGGAGGTCAGACAGGCCAGTAAGTCCAGCGTGCCCTCTCACTTACGAATTCCCCTTCTTTTGTGGCTTTTCACCATGGGTTCACATGTCATGGACTCTACATCGCAAACTGCAGTAAACAAATTTCAATCGTGAGTGAAAGGAGAAAAAAGCAAATCCTACTTGACTATTGCTAGCTTGTTTACACCATAGGGCTAGAGTAAGCTGAAATCGACAGAGTATAAAGAAAAGAAGGTCCTCTTGAAGTAACACACACACTCATTTTCAGACTCATAGTTTAAATGCAGTCTTTTATTTGTCACTACCACTGCATTGTTATCAGAGGATTTATATGCCTAGAGCTGCCAGAAGTGTCACCAGCTCTGACAATGCCCATTTTGGAGCTTTTTCCGATGGCTTATTTTATTTATAGTCTTGATGAAACTGGGGCAGTCACAAAACTGATTAGCGATCTGGCAAACAGGGCCTGCTCTGCTAATGATCTGTGTAAATATTGTGCTGTAGAGCCTTTCTGTGACAGGTCATTGCTGCTAACAAACCGCAGAATGCAAACAGAGACCTGTGCTGCCTTCACTGCAGATGCACAGCAGCCAGCTTACACTGACAAAGCAAATGAAAATCCTCTTATTGTCGATCATCTCAAGTAAAATGGCCTAAAAATCAATTCTAGGATAGGCTTTCTTTCTTTCTCGAAGCTTTAATCTGGGGATGATGACAGTGATAATGGTATTTCATTATACACATAAAGTAAGAGAGAAAAACGTAATAAAACAAGATATAAAAGATGAATTTAAACAATGGATTGTGAAAGCCTTGCTGTTTGCTTCTGTTTTTAAAAATATTTTGCTATTTTTTCTTGGCTGCTGCCGTTACTACAGTTGTAGTCTGCACAGAATGAAGCCTTAATCACACAGTCATGCTGAAACATGTTTACAAAGGTAAAATTAATGGGTTTATCTTAAGCAAGATGTCTTTCTATGGCATCATTAATATGCTTTAGATTTTTTAAATAAATGTGTTTTTATTCTTCCAGTACATCAGAATTGGAATTGGAGTCATGTCAAGATGTTCTCACTGGCAAAGACAGGAGGAGGTTAAAATAGCTCCTTGTAGGGCAGTAACCTCGGGAGAAAAAGAACTAATAGAAAATAAATGGCGAGTATTTTTTTTGAATCATTTGTATGATAAGCTTATAATGTACTTGTCTCAATGCAGAAAGCACAAGGAAAAAATAAATATGTCCTCATCACATTGGTAGACAAAGCACTAAGCACGTAGGTTGTCAGAAATTCGATATCCCTTTCTCTTTTCTATATCCTCTACCAAACAGAAAGTTCCACATACATCTGAGACTTCAGTGTCTATGTGACTTGAGTACAATTTCCTTTTTCATCTTTGTTTTTCCTTTACTTACTCGTTTCCCTTTATTCTTACCTGAGATATAGAGAATAAAAAATAACACTATAGAATCAACCTTTTTTTCTAGGTAATTTAGAATAAATTTTCCAGAACATAAAAAGGATAATGATGGCATTATGTAAATTTGAGACCAAAATTTTCTGAATTAAATTATTTTTACATAGATAATGGTTCACTTCTGATTAGGAACATTAAATAAAAAGTAATCTTAACAATATGACAATACAACTTAGCCTTCTTGCATTATCTTTTTTAGCCTAAATATTTAATTATTATAATTTGCACAACATCGAAATTATAGTGCAATTCTTTTCTTTACAAAATAATCACAATAAAGTATTTTAATCAAGCAACTGAGCACATACAATTATTATTCTATGTCCATAAAATTTTTTTGCAGAAAACATTTATATAAGAATTTCAGTAGTCAAACATTGAGTAGCAGGAAAATACTATTAAATTTTAAAAACCAAACAAGCATTGGAAACAGAAAAATGGATACGAAGAGAAGCAAGTATTCTCCTGTATTTATAATTGTGGTACTTTACAATATATGTAATATATCTTTAGAAAGATTAATTGTCTTTTATTCTCACAGAAATTCTATGAGCCAGGCAGAGGAACTGTTTTTGTTCCCATTTTACTTCTGTAAAAACTGAGTCTCAAAATAACTGCTCCCCAGAAGTATAGAATGATTAAAGGTCAGAAACAGAGCCTGCATATTTTCATATTTGTTACACTTTTTTAGCTATTGTTGTCCAAGAGTACTCTTACTTTTGAGATACTTTCTTTATTTCACTGTTCAGAATTTTTATATTTGTATGATTTAACAAAATAATTGGTAAATTTCATTTTTGGGGATTAAAAATTAGGTTGTGGAAGCTACATTAGGTTGTGGAAGTTGTGCCCCATCTGAGACAAATCTTGGATTAATCAGTGATTGATTAAATTATTGAAAGTTTAGTTATTCAAAGAAATTGGCATAGAAGTACATTAAGCTAAGCTTTATCTGGTAAGATGGAGAACTAACATGATGTGGGCTTCTTTCTGTGACCACAACCCTGGAAATGACACAGAAATCAGCATCTAATACTAAAAGATGTGAGAAACCTTTGCAGTTACAAACTACAGTAAAGTCTGCGAGTAGAGAAAAAAATGACAGCAAAGAGCAGAAAACTGAGATGTAAGGAAACCAGAATATGCTGGGGCGGAAGTTTTTAGTGGTCATCATTCCTTTTCATTGCATTCCTGTATTTTTTTCTGCTCTTTCAATAGTTAGAGTACCCACAGTGTGCAAGGCACTCTTCTAAATACTGAGAATACACTACAGAGCCAGAAAGACAAAACTTTGACCAAATGGAGCTCCCATTCTAGCAAAACTAGAGTTGAAAAGAGACCACTGCTAACTCCTTTAAAGCCATTTTGGAGTCGGCCAGGCAGAATATGACTCAACCTAGCTTGGAAAATGAGGAAATAGTGACAAATGCAGAAAGACCATCTGAACCCTAGGCATTCTCCTCTAACCCAGCTACTCCATACAATGAGTGTTAGGATGGTGATTAAAACTGAGGGAGACCAGTCTTGGTAAACAGCACCACCCAGGACACGTGAATACACCAACTTTTATGGAGGAGGAAGGCAAACAAAGGGTGGCAGAATCCAGTTATTTCCTAAGGAGTCCTTCATTCTAAACACTTCTGGTGGGTCAATCTTGAGCCTGATTTTAGTGCCATGTATTCTTAATCAGCATAATAAATCTTACTAGGAAAAAATAGGCCTCAAAGGAATTCAATGACTCTAAAATAAAATACATGTATATCAAAGACAACCAGATTTACAAAAATTAACAATAGTTTAAAATATGTGACCATATGTGGTGGTTTACATCTGTAATCCCAGCACTTTGGGAGTCCAAGACAGGAGCATTGCTTGAAGCTAGGAGTTTGAGATCAGCTCGGGCAACCAAGAGAGCCCCTGTCTCTACAAAATAAATAATAATTAAAAAAAATACCTAGGTGTGGCGGCATGCACTTGTAGTCCCAGTTACCAAGGAGGCTGAGGCAGGAGAATCTCTTGAGCCCAGGAGGTCAAGGCTGCAGTTAGCTAGGAGGCTGTCACCACTGCACTTGCTCCAGCCTGAGTAACCGAAAGACACTGTCTCTGAAGAAAAAAAAAAGTTAAAATAAATCCAAAAATATGTATAGTAAATGTTCTCAAAGACATAAGGCACAATATTTGAACCTGAAGAAGAAATTAGCAATCATAAAATATTTTTTCAGTATGAAAACCATATCTGTTGAAATGAAGGATTAAATATATGGTATAAACAGCAGAAGGGTTAAATTTGAGGAGTGCTCATTAGTGAGATGGAAGATAATGTTCAAATAATAACAAATTTTTTTTTAAATTTAGAAAACTAGACTTCACATGTACTGCTGATGGGAGTACAGACTGATGCAACTATCCAGAGAGCAATGTGGAGTGAAATGAAATCCAAACCTATGAACCAGCAGTCCTACTCTTGATCCACATGGCAAATAAACTTAAGTTTAAACTCATGAAAGGATATGATATCCAGTAGAGACAATTGTTGTTGCAGGGAGTTGGAAGGAGGCAAAGAATCTATCACTGTAATACACACACACACAATTGTTTATAAAAATGGAATACAGGCCAGGTGTGGTGGCTCATGCCTATAATCACAGTGCTTTGGGAGGCCGAGGCGGGCAGATCACAAGGTTAGGAGTTTGAGACCAGCCTGTCCAATATGGTGAAACTCCATCTCTACTAAAAATACAAAACTTAGCCAGGCGTGGTGACACGCGCCTGTAGTTCCAGGTACTCGGGAGGCTGAGGCAGAAGAATCGCTTGAACACGGGAGGCAGAGGTTGCAATGAGCCGAGATCACGCCACTGCACTCCAGCCTGGGCAACAGAGCGAGACTCCATCTCAAAAAAAAAAAAAAAGAAGAAGAAGTAATAGTGTGCTGTGCAGCATGAAAAAAAAATGAGGTAAAGATACACACGATAACAATAATAGGTCTTAATAATATAGTGTTGGATTTACAAAAGTAAAAACTATATATACAACATATAACTCAAAAACAACCACAAAATTTTATAGTTTTCAAAAAATGCATATTCAAGGGTCTACCACAAACACATGAATGCAATTGAAGTAAGAGGGAGAAGCAGAAGGAAATAAAAATAGAGATTAGAGATTAGGGCAAGATAAAATAATTAGATAAAATAAACCAAGAAATTCCTATTTTATTTATCATGATAAGAATGTACTTTAAAAAGAGGATGACTACATAAAATGAGTTAGGGAGGAGTACCTCTTTTTCTATTGTTTGGAATAATTTCAGAAGGAATGATACCAGTTCCTCTTTGTACCTCTGGTAGAATTTGGCTGTGAATCCGTCTGGTCCTGGGCCTTTTTTTTTGGTTGGTAGGCTATAATTACTGCCTCAATTTCAGAACTTGTTATTGATCTATTCAGGGATTTGACTTCTTCTTGGTTTAGTCTTGGGAGAGTGGATGTGTCCAGGAATTTATAAATTTTTTCTAGATTTTCTAGTTTATTTGTGTAGAGGTTTTTATAGTATTCTCTGACGGTAGTTTGTATTTCTGGGGGATCAGTAGTGATATCCCCTTTATCATTTTTTATTGTGTCTATTTGAGTCTTCTCTCTTTTCTTCTTTATTAGTCTGGGTAGTGGTCTATCTATTTTGTTGATCTGTTCAAAAAAACCCCTCCTGGATTCATTGATTTTTTGAAGGACTTTTCATGTCTCTATCTCCTTCAGTTCTGCTCTGATTTTAGTTGTTTCTTGTCTTCTGCTAGCTTTTGAATTTGTTTGCTCTTGCTTCTCTAGTTCTTTTAATTGTGATGTTAGGGTGTCAACTTTAGATCTTTCCTGCTTTCTCCTGTGGACACTTAGTGCTATAAATTTCCCTCTAAACATTGCTTTAGCTGTGTCCCAGAGATTCTGGTATGTTGTGTCTTTGTTCTCATTGTTTTCAAAGATCTTATTTCTTTCTGCCTTAATTTCATTATTTACCCAGTAGTCACTCAGGAGCAGCTTGTTCAGTTTCCATGTAATTGTGCGGTTTTGAGTGAGTTTCTTAATCCTGAGTTCTAATTTGATTGCACTGTGGTCTGAGAGACTGTTTGTTATTATTTCCATTCTTTTGCATTTGCTGAGGAGTGTTTTACTTCCAATTATGTGGTCGATTTTAGAGTAAGTGTGATGTGGTACTGAGAAGAATGCATATTCTGTTGATTTGGGGTGGAGAGTTCTGTAAATGTCTACTAGGTATGCTTGGTCCAGAGCTGAGTTCAAGTCCTAAATATCCTTGTTAATTTTCTGTCTTCTTGATCTGTCTAATATTGACAGTGAGGTGTTAAAGTCTCCCACTATTATTGTGTGGGAGTCTAAGTCTCTTTGTAGGTCTCTAAGAATTTGCTTTATCAATCTGGGTGCTCCTATATTGGGTATATATATATATATATATATATATATAATCGTTGGCACTCCTTGTTGCATTGATCCATTTACCATTATGTAATGCCCTTCTTTGTCTTTTTTCACTTTTGTTGCTTTAAAGTCTGTTTTATCAGATACTAGGTTTGCAACCCCTGCAAGGCTACAGTAACCAAAACAGCATGGTACTGGTACCAAAATGGATATATAGACCAATGGAATAGAACAGAGGCCTCAGAAATAATGCCACACATCTACAACCATCTGATCTTTGACAAACCTGACAAAAACAAGTAATGGGAAAAGTATTCCCTATTTAATAAATGGTGCTGGGAAACTAGCTAGCCATATACAGAAAACTGAAACTGGACCCCTTCCTTAACACCTTATACAAAAATTGACTCAAGCTGCATTGAAGACTTAAACATAAGACCTAAAACATTAAAACCCTAGAAGAAAGCCTAGTCAATACCATTCAGGACATAGACATGGGCAAAGACTTCATGACTAAAACACCAAAAGCAATAACAATCAAAATTGACAAATGAGATCTGATTAAACTAAAAAGCTTCTGCACAGCAAAAGAAACTATCATCAGAGTGAACAGGCAACCTAAAGAATGGGAGAAAATTTTTGCAATCTACCCATCTGACAAAGGGCTAATATCCAGAATCTACAAGGAACTTAAACAAATTTACAAGAAGAAAAAAAACAATCCCATCAAAAAGTGAGCGAAGCATACTAACAGACACTTCTCAAAAGAAGACATTTATGTGGCCAAAAAACACATGAAAAAAATTCAACACTGGGCTTTACAGAAATGCAAATCAAAACCACAATGAGATAAAAATGATGAATTCATGTCCTTTGTAGGGACATGGATGAAGCTGGAAACCATCATTCTCAGCAAACTATCGGAAGGACAAAAAAACAAACACTGCATGTTCTCACTCATAGGTGGGAATTGAACAATGAGAACACATGGACACAGGAAGGGGAGCATCACACACCGGGGCCTGTCGTGGGGTGGGGGGAGGGACGAGGGATAGCATTAGGAGATATACCTAATGTTAAATGATGAGTTAATGGGCGCAGCACACCAATATGGCACATGTATACATATGTAACAAACCTGCATGTTGTGCACATATACCCTAAAACTTAAAGTATAATTAAAAAAAACCACAATGAGATGCCATCTGGCATAAGCCAGTTAGAATGGATATCATTAAAAAGTTAGGAAACAACAGATGCTGGAGAGGATGTGGAGAAATAGGAACGCTTTTACACTGTTGGTGGGAATGTATATTAGTTCAACCATTGTGGAAGACAATGTGGTGATTCCTCAAGGATCTAGAACCAGATATATCATTTGACCCAGGAATCCCTTTACTGGGTATATACCCACAGGATTATAAATCATTCTACTATAAAGACACATGCACATGTATGTTTACGCAGCAGTATTCACAATAGCAAAGACTTGGGACCAACAAAAATGCTCATCAATGACAGACTGGATAAAGAAAATGTGAAACATATACACCATGGAATACTATGCAACCATAAAAAGGATTAGTTCATGTCCTTCCTGGGGACACAGATGAAGTGGGAAACCATCATTCTCAGCAAAAATACACAGGAACAGAAAAACAAATATCGCATGTTCTCACTCATAAGTGGGAGTTGAAAAACGAGAACACATGGACACAGGCAGGGGAACATCACACACTGGGGCCTGTTGTGGGGTGGGGAGCTAAATAAATATAAATATAATTTAAATATATACATAAATATAATATAAAATGTTATGACTAAATTCTTTGTTAAATAAAAAGTGAATGAACAAGTAAACAAATGAATCAATAAAGGTAGATCAGTAAGATTGGACCTGTTACGTTTCTGATACACTTCTGTCAGCATCTATGCCAAGCTTTGCCTAATCACCTTAAGCTCCCAATGGTCCCAATTTCTTTATTCTTGACAAATGAACTCATTTCTATTTTATTGAAACCATCAGTGACCATCTATAAAGAGCTCCTTTATGTACCTATAAATCATCCTAGCTCACATTTTCCTACATTTGAAATCACCCATTCTTGAATTTTCAGTGCCCATTGTCCAGACTAACTTTTCCACTAGAACTTTAAATTCAATCAATTCCTTTTATCTCTAGCATCAAATATTCTCTATCAGCTTTAAGCTGTTAATCCTCTGTGGTTCCTCCTGTACTAATGCAGACTCATGCTAGTCCATTCCAAAAGACCTCCTTGATATGGCTACTATTACATAGTCCTTCCTTTATTAAAAATATTTCATCTCTAACTCCCTATTGTAACAATGTGTTGTTATGCTTTAAGTTTCTTCCTAAAATTTTTCATTAATAACCTACTAAGAAATAAAATATACTAACTTATAGTATTCTGTGACTAAGATATCTAAAGTTTGGTTTGATAGTCCATTTAAGGAGTAGATTTTCCCATCTCTCTCTTTGGGAAAAGGAACCTAGCCAAGCCCAGATTTGTGTGTCTATGTGAATCAGTAACACTTCAGGAAGGAAGTATGACATAGTGGTTAAGGTCACAATCTCTAAAATCAGACAAAGTATATTCAAATGCCAATCTTAGCAGTTATTAGGTATGTAAAGTTGAAGAATTTCATTACATCTTCTGATACAATTTTCTCATCTGCAAAAGTGTGTATTGGTAGTACAGGCATTATATTTTTGTGAAAATTAAATAAAACAATAAATACAAAGTAATATTTTTAGTGTTAGGCTCATAGTAAAGTGTTACTATGTATTATTGTCATTTCACTGTGGCTCTTATTTCTGAAGGACAGGACAGTCTACTAAATGTATTGTAATGTAATGAAAATAACTAAGCCATGTTATTCTATTATTTTGAAAAGTATCTCTGGTTTTTCATTCATTAAAAAACATGCCTCTCTTTTGGGGACACTCCATTGTCCTTTTCTTCTAGTCACATTGAAGTCTGTTTGCCTTTGAAGGCAGCCACATTAACTCACTGTCTACAGGAAAAAATCGCACCCCTTTTTATGGGAGGAAGTACAGATTTTTGATTCCTGAGTCCTGTTAATACAAGTAGCACCTCAGACTTTACCTAGATTGATATCCCTCTTTCTCCATTTCTCAGCTTGCAAAATGGAGTGGGCAATTGTTTAAGGGGAAAAGTGTATGTGCTTTCAAATTCCAGTTCACTTCTCATTAGTGAAAACTGTGGATTGGTGAATACAATTAATCTCCTGAATTATACTTTGCAAAAACAACCAACACTTTTTCTTAGACACAATACAATGCAATTTCATACTAAAGAAAGAATGTTACCTATTAGCATAATCATGCCCATTATTTTAATAACAATAAATGGATATTCATTATCCATTTTTGTGCTGAGAATCATTTGGTGTTTTATTCCTTTCCTATAGACCTGAAGGTATCAAAATGCTACAGCAGTAGTAAATAGTAATCTTTGTTGTTAGAGAAAGAGGCAATGGTTTTGATTACATTCTGGTTTGAGGTAATCTGATTGTGATAGCATGTTTGGTGAGAAATTTGTGATCAATTTCTTTCTAACATTATTATTTACTGTAATATTTTTAAAATCTATCAACCTGTCCTTTTAAGGCTTCTATAACATGAACCTATCCTGAATATTTTTGTTTCTGTCTAATGCTTTATTTCTTTTCTTGATTTTTAACTTTCCATCTAAACCATTACTTTTTCTCAAAATAGTGTAAACCATCATCTCTATGTAAATGAGTATACTAAAAATACATCATAATACCTATCCTGAGATCCAGTCTCAAATTTCCAACTTTTTTCTGGCCATTTTCATTTTTCACTTTGTTTTATGTATAAAGAAAACAAACAAAAACTAGCAAAAACATAAAACTGGCTCCAGCTCTTATGCCAGGTGCTATGAGTAAAGGACAAAGTTCCTGACTCAAGTTTCTCCTATTTATGTCAAAGGTACTATTGTCAAACTGATCAAAAATTTGTGGTCACAGACATTGTCATTACCTTGGTTTGCCTATGCCTACTCATATACTTAAATTCTTTTTTTCAATGATTTCTCAAATTTATTTCTACTTTCTTTACCTTCTGTGACCCTTACACTTAAAAGGTGAAAGTGGAAGACAGTCTTTTGATTTTTTTTTTGAATGCACAAAATACATGTTATTCCCTGACTCTCCTTTTGATGGATAGCCCTTTTTTGAGCAATTTACAATCATTTTCTTTTTTTGATTATTTATGAATAAAGTTCAAATTCTCACATCTAATATTCTAAATCCTTCATAATTTGTCCCAACATTTACTTCTAATTGTATATTCAAATATTCTGAAACAATCACATTATTCTGTCTAATGTATGCATTCTATACTTCTGAATGTTTTCTATGCTTATCACCAAATTTGCACTTGTCTTTTGAATAATCCATAATGCACTTTTCCTCTTCCCCATATTGTTGAAGAGTATCACATAATAGGAAGCTCTATTAACCTTTCTTTGATCATCATAGTCCACGATGGCATCTCCCTCCTTAGAAGATCCCCAATATATATTGCATAGCACTTTTCTGAAAGTTACTTTTTTGTGTTTATGTTTCTTATGTTCAGACTTGGATATTAAGTGACCTGAAGATAAAAGATCTGTATTCTACATCTTCTGTTCACACATAGCACTTACTGAGGAACTATACACATAGCAATTCTATAAAGTAGGGAGTGTTTTCTAGAAAAGAAGTGACTATGTGTTGATACGTCTCCTTCAATTTTATTAATAAACTTTCATTTACGAATATGTATTAAAAGTGTCTTTAGGCTCTCTTTGTATGTTTGACCCATTTCGTGGTAAATGTGAACAGTGGAACAAGATAGTTGCAGTGCTAAACTTAGACTAAAGGGAAGAGGAACTCAGGTTCTAGGCCAGCCCTTTAGAGTGAACCACAAACCACTTTCACCTTCCTCCCATGGGGGCTGGGAAGGAGAGTAGAAGGGGAAGTGGCGATGAGTCCACAAAACAAGTGAATGTGCTCATGTGAAACAAGACTCATGCCCATCCATGTGCTATGCCAATGTACCAATACTCAAGACTCTGGATTCCTCTTTAGGAGAAATAAAAGGTCCTAAGATTGCTTTCAAGGTCTATTCAAGGCCATTCCCTACATCAGCCTTTTTGAAGGTGGACTGGTGTGTACAACCCTTGGTCAAAGGGATGTCTCATGAGGAGATGCTGGACAAATAGGCTGCAGTATCTTGGATGTAACAAACCCCTCATCCAGCAAGATGGAAAGAGGGGTGGAAAGAGAATGAAATTGGCTATGACCTGGGGCCTCTTTCCAATCCTCACATTCCATTGTGGACCTCTCTTGGCAGTCCAAGAATGCAGATTTCAATTTAATTTTTTAAGTTGTTATGAAGTTGTCAATGTAGGAATTTCAATACACTTTAACAGTTCTTAAGCTTGATTGATGTCTTATAAATATGTAGTCATTAATATGTGGGTCTAGATTTGCAATACTTCTGAACTTCCACAAATGTTAGGGACAGGCCTGAATAGCTAACTTTTTTCTTTTATTTCAAGTTGACTTAATATTATAAAAAACATTTTATTTTTTCCTTTAATAGAGTCAAGTATACAGTTTCTGTTTTCATCCAGTAACTTTAGCAGAGACTTTTTCTCTCTGCTAGTGAAAGAGAGGACTCAGGTTTAGAGGAAATTTGCTTTTTCAGAACATTTGATCTTCGTAACACATCAAGATGTATTTAGAGAAAAGAACACACGGACTTAGTACTATTTATAAATAGCTTCTTTACCCTTACTCCTAAATTAAAACAAAACTAAAACCTAGGAAAAGCACTTGCATTATACAAAATTTATACTTTAGCTATTTCTACATTTAAAAATAAAATAATATAAATCACCAATTTTACGTTTTAAGCAAAAGTGTATTCTCAAACTTTATATTATTCAGCAATACCTATTACTCTCCAAGTATATGCATGTATCATTTCTCTCATTTAAAGTCTCTGACCACATCTAGAAAAAGTGAAAAATGGTGCAGTCATTACATTTTGGTTTTGGAACTGGGAATTTTATTTAGCACAATATAAATAATTAGGGAGTAATTCCTTTTATACTATTTTTCATCCACTTTTTTTTTTTTTTTTTTTTTTTTTGAGACGGAGTCTTGCTCTGTCGCCCAGGCTGGAGTGCAGTGGCGCGATCTCCGCTTACTGCAAGCTCTGCCTCCCGCGTTCACGCCATTCTCCTGCCTCAGCCTCCAGAGTAGCTGGGATTACAGGTGCCCGCCACCAGGCCTGGCTATTTTTTTGTATTTTTAGTAGAGCCGGGGTTTCACCATGTTAGCCACGATGGTCTCAATCTCCTGACCTCGTGATCCGCCCGCCTCGGCCTCCCAAAATTCTGGGATTACAGGCGTGAGCCACCGCGCCTGGCCTCTTTTTTTTTGTTTTGTTTTGTTTAACCATTTCTGATTTACTGAAACCCAGTCTGTATTTAATAAGGCTTAAACATTTGTATGTTTAATATAACAATATGTCCTCAGTGGCAGCTTGATTAGATTTGGATTTTAAAAGTCACTGTAGAAGGGAGGAAAAATATCAAAGAAGGGATACATACTGGTGACAAATACTTTTAAAATAGCATAACTCAAGTAACGCAAGTCAGTCTCGCCAGCCAAATGAAAATTATAGGTGGAAATCTCACACTGAACCTGGAGAATTTCCCGTTCCTGTTAAAGTATTTTCTTACTGATGTATTCATAAAACAATACTGTCCATTTATGTCTTTCAGAAACCATTCTATTATTTTCATTAACATACCTGTATATTAGAATAAAAACTTTACAAGGTTATGTTTTCATTTTCCACTTTTTTTTCTTGTTTCTGTATTACTTTTTATATCAGTTTAATTTTGGCATTTAACCTAGCTATCTAATACCTTGGCAGTAAACACATTTCCCACCCTTGCTCTTGAATATAATGCTGTCAGAGAGTGGGATATGAGAAAAACAAGAGGTTTTCTAAAAGGAAAATATCTATCTATCTATCTATCATCTATCTATCTATCTATCTATCATCAGGAGGACCTAGAGACATTATAAAAGAATTAAATTCAAATTGTAAGATCATAATAAAGTTTAACACATCATGATTTATAAACTACAGATATAAACTAAGTAACTTGTTTAAAGCTCCAGGTGCTGCTTTCCATAATATTTTAAGTGAAATACTGTGTGTATAACTTAAAACCATTAGGCCATGAAGACCATGGAGAATATTTTAAGAATCAGTCACAATCTGAAGTGACATTATTGTTTTTTGTTTCAGTACACATTAGTACCAATAGTTAATTTTAATTTGTGGAATGAATCAGTAAACAATAAAAGGGTATGAAAGGGTAAAGCACAATTTAAAGTGTTTTGGAAAATGTGGTCAGAAAACAACATAAGATCAGTAGAATAATTCTAGCATATCCATCGAATAATTAATATTATCACTATAGTAAACATGATTTAGCTCACACTATTTGGCGAAAAGAAAATTCACTTGCAGTATTCTGCACATTGTGTTATTTCTGCTCAAATGACATACTTACAATAATTTGATTGAAATCATGTGACTCTCCTGAACAATCATGTTCTATCTTCTGGTTTAAGGCTATGTAGATATTAAGAGACATACAGTGATCCATCTTCTTTGTGTGGAAACGATCAAACACTACAAGTCAGTTAATGTGTTTTCAACGGTGAGGGGTTAATACCAAAAGATTTATATTAGAATTGTATAGCATCTATATTTCTAATCCTTAGTTATTTGTATGAACAATTAGAAGTCTGACCTGTTTGGAACTTATTTTGGGGTAAATAGGTTCCCAAGCCTTCTTGCAAAGGACATGCAAATAATGAAAATATGATATTAAGAACCACTCCACTGTTATTAAATGAAGATGAAAAGAATTAAATCAAAGTCTGCCATAGAATAATTTATAGATACCATATTGAACATTTTCTAAATATGCCCACATTCTTGGAGTGGCAGATAATGTGTTAACATTATAATAAGCATGAGTTAATAAACATTATGCATATTCTCTACTACAGATGAGTATACTTTTTGGCCCTTTTAATGAAGGATGGGAAATAAGCAACTCCCTGTAAGAAGAAGAACAGAAATGGATCCATTTTTGACTTGAAACTTTTATAAAAATAGCTGTATTTAATAATGTTTTACTTATCATGGGTACATTTTTTTTAACTTGTGTTCATAAGGTAGATTCATTCAGCAAAAGAGTAACCGGTACTAGAAGAGAAGTAAGAAATTCATGGCTGAGTTAATATAGTTAAACTATATCCGTCTGAAACTCTTTCTCTCTGAGGAAGCTTTTAAAATTATTTTTTTCATTTTTCCAGACCTTTTTTCTTGATCTCTGTATTTTCCTCTAAAGCGAAGACTATCAATGACATTCTTAAACTTTGAAAGATTTAGGATGAAGGGAATATTTACTTATATTTTAGAAATAGTGCAATTTTGGAGACTGAGAAGTCTCTCAGGTTATTATCATCAATGTAGAACTTACCAGAGATGACTTTGGCTTTCTAAAGCATCTAAAATAAGCTATAGTATGCCCATGTTCCTGCAGCATTGGACTTACATAATTTCAAATGTTAATAATACCTTTCATGGATGCCTTTACAGGTATGCATAAACAAAATATCTCATTTTTTTAAATCATTCTGCCCTCCATATGAAACTATTGGTCTATTAGATATATTTTTATTTTTTAACTGTTGATTTGAAATTATTATAGATTTACAGAAGGCTGCAAATATAGTACAGAGAGGTCTCTCATACTCTTCACCTAGTTTCCCCAGTGGTTACATTTTTTTTGTAGCTACAGTAAAACATTAAAACCAAGAAATTGACATTGAAAAAATGTGTATGCATACATCTGTCATTTTATTACATGTGTAAATTCTTGTGACCACTACCACTATCAAAATATCTAACACTTCTAGTGAAGTGTAAAAATCTTATCTCGTTGGAAGTCTCTTTACCCATCCTTGTTTATATAATTTTAAAAATTTTTCATTTAGGTATTGATAACCATTTCGATGTTACAGTTTTTGATTCAAAAGTCAAACATAATTTAGAAAACTCAAGAAGAAAAATCTGTTGTACTTATTCATATTTTTGCTCTTTCTGTTACTCTTACATTTTTCTGATGATTTCAGGCCCCTTATTCATTTTATGTTTCAAGAACTTTTTGCTTTTCTTTAGGGTAGGTCTGTTTGCAACCAATTCTTAATTTTTCTTCTTCTGAGAATTTATTTAATTCTCCTTCATTTCTAAAGGACATTTTTGCCTAATACAGAATTCTGGATTGACAGTTCTTGTTTTGCAGTACTTGAGAAATATATCACTTCCTTTTGGCCACCATTATTTCTGACAGGAAATCATTGTCATTCAAATTGTTTTTCTTCTGGAGAGATGAAGCATTGTTTTACCTCACTGTTTCCAAGATTTTTTCTTCTGCTGTTTTCTGAAATTGACCTGTTTCTTTGTTGATTTTTTTGTATCTGTCCCGTTTTAGATTTTCTCATTTCTTGAATCTGTAGTTGTATGTCTTTTGCCAAACTCGAAAACGTTTTGGACATTATTTTTTCAAATATATTTTTAGCCCAACCCACTTTTGCCTTTCCTTCTAGGACTCTGATGACATGAATAGTAGATTTTTTGCTATAGTCTTATAGGTCCTTGAGGCTCTGTTCTTTTTTTTTTTTTCATTTTCAGTCTATACTCCCTCTGGTCTTTGGATTAGTAAATTTTTAATGTCCTATTTTCAAGTTCACTTATTCTTTTCTCTATTTCCTCCATTACCCTATTGAGCCATCAAGTATTTTTTAAAGTTTCAATTATATTTTTCGGTGCCAAAATTTCTATTTGTCTCTTGGCATCTTCTATTTCTTTGTAAAGCTTTCCATTGTTTCATTTGTTCCAGCATATTCGCAATTGCTCATTAAAACATTTTTATGGTGGTGGCTTTAAAATCCTTGTGAATAAATCTAATTTATGTGTTATCACTGTGTTGGCATGTGTTATCTCATTCAAGATGAGATTTTTTTTCTGGTGCTTGATATGCTGAGTAATTTTCAACGTATCTAGGGTAATTTGGATATTATGCTATGAGGCTCTGTATTTTAACTCTTGGAAATAAACCTCCTGTGACACCACACATGGTGAAAGTGGGGGTGCCTTGTTATTGCTAGGTGGTGATAAAAATTTATCCCTGCTCAACCACCTTTGGAGAGTGGGGGATTTTTTTCTTGTTTCTGCTCCCACTATGGCCTACACTGAAGGGAAGGCAAACATCAGGAGGCCTTGGACCTTTTTACCACTAGATGATGGTGAAAGTTCCAACTTCTCACTTAGTTTACTTTGACACCTAAGGAATCTGGTGGAGAAGGACGGGGCACATTGTAACTACCTGGCAGAGAAGAAAGTTCTAGATTCCCACACGGCCTTCTCTGATATCACCCAGACATTGATAGGCGGCAGGGCCTGTTAGTTTGTGTGTGTGTTTAAATTACACATTACCAATAGTATCACTTTGCATAAACCTATACTAAACTAAAAGCACGGACCCCACAGAAGATATGTAATTAAAGTTACCTTGTAGTATGCAGGTCTTTTTCACAGATGCATTCAGTGTGTGGTTTAAAAGGAAGTTAAAAGTTTAGTTCTAGTTACCATGCTAGAAGAACTTAATAGGTAAAGGATGACATCATCAAAGGCAGTGAAAGTCCTCTTTAATGTCTCAAGGCTTTTCATTGTGTATCACGAAATTTTGGTTATCTGTTTCTTTTCAGTAAATATTTAGTCTATTTTTCTAAGTTTAATATATTAGGATTTTCATTTTCATTAATCCTTAGTGTTTGTACTACTGATATTTGCACATACAGTATGAGAACATACATTTCAATTGATCATTTTTTAAAAATTTATTTGAGATATATCAAAAGTTCTATACCATATAAAGGAAAGTTATTCTACTATTCTAAAGCAGCTCATAAAATACAATGTACAAATAGGACAAAATACATGCAAGAAGCGGGAGAAATGTTCCTAAGCAGCTCCACTGATACAGTGGAGATATAATCTCTCCTCTCTATTGAATGAATTTGCTGAGGGTCGGTGCATATAGTAGTCAATGGAATACAAACCAATAAAAATATGATAGATAAATAGAATGAAAAGTATCCAAGGGTCAAGTGCTAAATCTGTTCTGCTGATTCCAGCTGGTATTTCCTTTTCTTCTTTAACCCACATGAAGACACTCTACTAAACAGTCATGTATAACTCAGGCATACTGGTTTTCATTTGTAATTTTCATTTTATTGCACTTTCAATTTTCAGGTTTTGTCCATCTTTCTTCCCCTTGGCCCTTCCATCACTTCTGCTACTTGATGAATTCTGTCTTAAACAGTAGCTAGAATATAAACATTTAATAAAATATTAACCTGATTGCTTGCCCTCCCTATAAACAATAAAATGACATACATGAACAAATGACAAATACAATATTTTATGTTGTGTTTATTTCTACCTTTCTCCAAGGCTTCTTTTAATCTTTATTAAAGTTTATTATAGCAAACTACTATCAAATATTTCCATGCATTTAACTGGTTATTGTAACATCAACACAAGAGAGCAAATGAAACTTGTGAAGCTTATACTTTCTATTGCTCTAAGGTGTCTATGCAGATCATTATGTATTCTTCACCACAGGTCAGTTGCTTAGCGACCAGAGAAGTAGAGAACTACTAATTGAAAGTATTCTGTATTGCTGGCAAGGCTTGCTGCAGGACGTTGAACTTGGAAACAGCAGAGACTGTGTCAGATAAAAATGTTGCAGAGGATGAAAGAAAAATTGCTGCAGCATTATCATACTAGGAATGGTTATTATTTACTTTATGGTAAATTCTGCAAAATGCTTTGCTGTGCTTCTGTTTTATAAGATATTAAAATTGATTTTACTATTAAGGATCATTTACACAATCAGATTAAAAATCAGAGTTGTGGCATCTATTTTTAAAAAGTAAAACAGAACACAAAGGAGAAAAAGAAGAGGAGGACAAAAGGGAAGAAACAGAAGCAACAGCACTAAGTTAGATCCAGGTCCCTAAAGATAAGTAACAATATCTGTATGAACTTTTCTGATTGCTTATTTTATTTTGTAATGAAAACAAAGAAAGAGGATGAGGAGGAAGATGAGGATGAGGAGACTGAGGAGGAAGGCAAGGAGAGTAAGGAAGAGGAGCAAGAGGTAAAGGAGAAGAAAAGAAAAAAGAGAGAGAGAAGATTATTAAAAATCAAACTAAATACATATTGGAAAAACAATTGAAAAACAAACCAAAAGTAGCAACACTAACAGAGCAATAGTATAAACAAATTTATTCAAAGCATTAATTTTATATTAGTCTGTATCAGGCTTTCTAACCTGTACATTATATAAAATTAGGATTATTTTCTCTCTTCTTTCCATGTAATGTACAATTCATGTATCCATCAAAAATAGATGAGTGGTCATTGTGTGACATCTTTCACTTAATAGAAAAGACTAGGTCAGAAAAGAGAAAATGTCCTTCACAAGACCAAGACTAAGTTGGCTCAATTTTCCTGATAGCTTATTTGCTACAAGAATTCTGATATAATTCTGTATTTACAGGCTCATTCTCTCTCTCACACAATCCACAGGCATACAAAGTGTGTGTGTGTGTGTGTGTGCACATGCGTTTGACAAAGAGAGAGAGAAAAAGACTTGAATAACTGTTTCTTATGAGAATTCATTTGTGGTAATGGTTGCTACTTGTATTTCTATAAAGATTACTCCTAGTAATGATTGAAAAACAGGACATATGTTAATTAAATGTTCAGTGACTTTATAGTTAAATATACATATAATGCACATTCCAAGTTTTTAAAAAAATAACAATCAATAAATAGCTAAATGTTTTAAATCATAACTGGTCAGAATTTAGTTGTTAATATTCAGATACCATTTCAGTATCGTGTAGAGTCATTATGAATATCATTTGTCTGCAGTACTCTGAAGATAAAGGTGGTAAAACATGTGTTAGTCAATGGTCTACCTGTTATACAGCCTTTTAAAACAAATCCTTGGCATGAGATTGTCATTTGTCTGTTTCTCATAAAAGCTGAGTGTAGAACATCCTAAAAATCCAGTTCAGCTTTTTTATTCTTGTTACATTTCTGCAGAATTTTAATATAACTTTCCTTTTGTGTATTTATGCCTACTGTTTCTATTTACTTACGGGTGGCCTGAATTTTTTATCCAGAGATAAAGTTAATGCAAGAAAGAATTTAAAAATGTATGGTAGATTATCAAAATTCTTAACTTAAAAAAAGGTCAAATCCACCTTTGCTACAGCACACAACCTAATCTTATATCTGTTCATCTTTTTTGTCTTTGTTTTAAAAACACATACTTGATAATCATATTAGATGGTTACAGCTTTCTATTGCTGCATAATAAACCAGTCTAAACATAGCAGCTTAAAACAGCTAAGTAGCACAGATGGACCTGCTCATGATTCTTCAATCTGGGCTGAACTCAGCTGGGTGGCTCATCTCTTCCCTAGATGGTGTCTTCTGCTGGACTATTTAATATGTTTGTATTTAGAGGCAGCTCCATAGGGACTGGAGGATCCTAGCTGGCCCCATTCATATGTTGTGCTGGAATGACTAGAAACTAACTGGGTCTTCCTCTCTATCTTCCCAGTCTTTCATTCCTCCTGGTCTTTTTCATCATAAGGTGTCTCATCCACAAGGACGCTAACCTAGACATCTTTGCACAGTGGCTCAAGGTAAAAGACAGAGTAAACAAAAGCTATAAAGCTTCCTTAAGCCTAGGACTGAAACTTATACAGTGTCTCTTTAGCTGCATTCTCATGGCTCAACTAATTCACAAGGCTAATCTATTGTCTGGTTGGGAGGATAATGCAAGGACATGAAATCAAAGGACATCCATAATTCATTGGGGACTGTTTGGTAAGAATATGAGTTAAGGCTTAAATTTGTTCGAACACAACTGGTTCTAAAGCATCACATTGTTGTATTAGGTTTCCAGGGTTGTCATAACAAATTACAACAAACTTGATGACTTAAAGCAACAGAAATTGATTCTCTCACAGGTCTGGAGGCCAGAAGACAAATGAATGTGTTGGCAGTATTGGTTTCCACTGGAGACCCAGAAAAAACCCATTCCATGCTGTCAGCAATTCTTAGCGGTTTTTGTCTTTCCAGTCTCTCTGACTCTGTCTTCACATGCCTCCCCGCTTTTTCTGTGTCTTTCTGTTATTCTATCTCTTATAAGGACACTCATTAGATTTAGAATTTATTGTAATAGAGGATGAGCACACTTTATTACCTTATTACATCTTCAAAGATGCTTATTACGATTGAGGTCAGACTGTGAGATTCTGGGTGGACAAACCTTTTGGGCAAACACCATTCAACTCTTACGATTTTCTATCAAAATGTATAATTTTCTCCCATACTTTTTCAGTAATCTCCACCATAAAGAACTTGGATTTAGAACACTTGGATTCAGTAATCTCCATCATAAAGAACTTGGATTTAGAACACTTTTTTTCCACATGTATTTAAGCAATATTTCTCAAAGTATATTCCTGAGAAAAGTATTTCAGTTATTCTATGAGTAAAAAGTTTCTTGGTCATGCAATTTTGGAAATTACTGCTTACTATTAACACCTCCTGGATATTTGCTTTGTGCATTAATTTATTAATGAGAAATCATATAGGAAAATATGCTAAAATTTTAGGAAGCACATGTTTTTCCCAAACACCAATAAACACTAAATATCACCAATTTTATTCAAATGATACCTATCAACACCTTACAGAAAAAGGGTTATGTGTACCAAAGGTCCTGATTTGACCTATTGTGTTGACTACATGATATCTGTTTCAAAAATATAAACAAAATTACCATGAGTATTACTAAACATTTTAGTAATCTGTGCCCTTGCAATTCAGCAAGCCATTTCAACTACCTGGAATTTTCTTTCTCCTTTTTATGGATAACTCCTACTGGTCCTTTAGATATGAGATTAGAGGTTATTTTCCAAAGAAAGCTTTTCTTCACTCCCCAAAGATTCAGTTAGTTGTTCTTCCAGTGATTTTTATAGCTCTCTGTTCTTGGTGGTAATATATCACTGAAACACTCTACTGTAATTACCTTGGTTTTTGTTCTTTATTTAGTGTTCAACCATATGCTTGCTGAAGTTTAGGATGTTATTCGTCATTGATTTTTAAGACACAACAGATATTTAATCAATTCTTATTAAATGAATAGATGAGAAAATTTGACATTGGGTAGAAATCCTTTAAAATATTTTGCATGGAAATCACTTTTTGCTTTCAAAGTAATGTAATTAAAGACTTTTAGTTCCCACAGTTTGCAACAATAATCTTAGGAACTTAACTATTTGTTTTGTGAATATCTAGCACTAAACAATGAGCTAGAAATTTGATAAAACAGTTCAAATAATTTTTAAATCTCTTTGACTCAACTAGTCATGACTGAATTCATTTATACCATTAGGATATTAACACATCTTTTAAAAAACAGTGTTAAATGGAGCTGGTCAAGCTATGCATTTTAAGAAGAAAAAGTACTCTCTTTTTAATAGGCTCTGCATAAGTAAGGCTATCCTCTTTTTCATAGTTTTTCAGAAACAATAACTTTGTCATTTTCTATACTTATTGATAATTTCCCCAACATATTAACAATTAAGAAATAAAGTTATGGCAGCCTAATTAGTCGAGTCAATACAGGAAGTAAATTGTTAAGACAGTGGGCATACCATCTTAGTTAGTAAGATATGGACATTCAACCACTCTCTTTCCCTACCCTAAGACACACACACTGTCAGAGAAAATGTTATGATGTGACTGAGAACTTTATGCTCAAAGCTTTCCAAAATTTCATATATAAATATTGTACTTTTATCAATATAAGATTTCACACTGTAAGAAAACATTGGCATAGGAATCATTCTCTTTTACACAGTTTGAAAATGAATTTTAATGACACTCATATCTGATAAATAATATAATGTCATGGAGTAAAAGTTATTTTCTTGATATAAATATTTTATCATTTGAGTATATTCTCCCTGAAATCTAGGTGTCAGTTTAACAAAATGCATTTCTCACTTCACTGAATATGACTCCAGGATAAATAAAAAAGAACATTCATATTCAAAAAAAGTAATTTATTTACCTAGTTTATCCCAAGATTTATACTGTCAATGCCTTCATTACAAATTAAGGGCTAAAATATATAGTAAGTTCCTGAAGCTCTACCAAATGTTATCTATACTAAGTAGAACTAAATTAAATCATTGTGTTAACTTTTTATTCCTATTAAAGGATTTAGTCTTCTTCTAGTTTAGCTATAATAACAAAAGCAAATGTACATCCCTGGTTTCTTGCCAATTATAGCTTGGTCACACCTGCCTAAGTAGTGTTTTATAATAAATACATGGTAAGTAAATTAGTATCCAACCCTCAGGCCTACATGGAATAAATTTGGTGGGGTACTTCTCCCTTGGGAAAAAAAATGTTGTTAGCATTTTTTGTTTGCTAGTATCCTTTAGACCTACTACCTATAAAAACCCCTCTAAATGAAGACTCTGGCAGCATTTCAATAAGCTAACTTCCATAGGTTTCTTCAGTTCATGGGGGTATTTTCCTCCTTTAATTTGCCAGCAGAGATCTGACATGAAAAAGTTCAGGTGCTGTTTTATAATATAAGAAAACATATACATGAGACTCCTTGTTCCTTGTCATAATCACATGTACAGTGCTTTAATTTCAACAAATCATATAGAAAAAAGAAGGTTGGTTTAAGTCATCATCACAAATAAAAAAGCCCATAAACCTACACCTATATTGTGGTCTTGTAATTCACCACTTGTAAGCTTGTAAAACCTAAAACTTAATATGCCTACAAATTTTGAATTTTTTAGAATATACTCAATTTGCTTCTACTTCTTCCATTGGGGTTCATGGCTATCTTACATTGTAAGACAGTTAGTAGACCCAGCAGAAATGACTTCAAAATATTTCTGGTTTCTGTGAAAGTTTGAAAATCTGTTGACTCCCTGGTTGTTCTGTTTGGAAGCCTTTTACGCGTTGCTTTCCCTTTCTTATTTCTCCTTACACACATACAAGCTCTTTTCTTGCCTATTGTGTGTACTTGGCTGATCTTCTGGGCACAGTGCCCAGTTGGTTTAATGTGTGCTTATTATTGTCTATAGCATTCCTGATTCTGTTTTGGAGATAGGTATTCTATGAATTATTAATGATTATTATCATCCTTTAGAATCAACTTTGCTTTTGGAATTTAGAAACAAAAGATGAACATTGAGCCCTATGGGTAATCACCAGCAATATCAAGGCCATGTCCAATGCTTGACTGTAAGGGAAAGGAATAGTGAATATACTGAAGTGAACAAAACAGGATTACTCCTATAAACAGATAAAATTAACAGAAGAAAACTTAAAGTTCAAAATGTATTACTTGAAAAAATGCTCGTAATATTATTTTACCATACCCATTTTACCATTTAAATATTACCAGTAGTTTTTTTCCTCAATATCCATTGATAAGCTTATTCTTTAAAAACAGAAGTGGGGAAAGTGCTAGCTTTTTTGCTTCTTATTCACAGGAACTTGTGCACCTGATGTAGTATAGCACATTCTCAAACATCTAATAGGTCACTTCTGAATTTTTCTCTGAATTTTGAATAAGATAAAAGTAATTTGAATTTAGCTATCATTTCAAAGAAGAAAAAAGTTGCATTTGCAAATTATTTACACAAGCACAAATTTTTAGAGAAAGAAATACTAGAGAAAGAAAAACATAGAGGAAAATAGGTGGTGAAAAAATTCTTTGGAAGTGCAAAAGAAAGAAAACGTTTATTGGCAATGACACATGATTATTAATCCCCATGTCTAAGTAAATTTGGGGTCTTTACCCTTGCTATAGTTTGGACATGGGTTATTCTCTCCAAAATTCATGTCGAAATTTAATTTCCCATGTAAGGTGTTAGGAGATCGTGCTTTGAAGAGGTGATTAGGTCATTAAGACAAATTAATAACTTTCTGGTGAAACTGGGTTATTTTTCATGATAATGGATTAGTTCTCATAAGAGCCGGTCATTCTAAAGAAAGTTGCCTCTTTTATAAAGCAATGATTTGCCTGATTTCCATTTTGTTTCTCTGCCTTGCTGTGACATAGCATGTGGCTCTCATCAGAAGCTCAACAGATGCCAATGCCATAGTCTTGGACTTTCCAGCCACCAGAACCATAAGCTAAATAAACCTTTTTTTCTTTATAAATTACCCAGTCTCAAGTGTTGTTACAGCAACACAACACAGACCAAGACAACACTACACCTGTAATACGTAATATTTTGAAATTAGATTTTAGCTTAGGAACAATACATACCCAATAAAGTGGAACTCAGAAGACATCACTTAAGAATTGTTAAATAAGTGCCATCTTTTTGTTTTTATACTGAAAAACAAATGTATCGATTCTCAATTATTTTCTCCCTAATGTAACAATAATAACATAATATTGTATTTTCCAAAACCATTCCTCCTTTCTCTCAATTGTATGTATTTTTCCTTTTTTCTTTCTCCTTTTTCTTTTTGGAGTATGATAAATATTTTTAAATCTATCCTCCTGAAATTGCATCTAGGATTTGGATATATTTTGCTATAAATCTTTGCTTCCTTGGAATAAAAATATTCTCTACATTTTTATTATTCTAATGTTGATTCAGCTTTGGAGTTAATTTATATGCAAAGCAAATAATTTACCCAAACTTGTAAAGGATATGCATTATCAGAACACAACACCTGCAGGATTTCACATCACGACTATCTGTTCCATTACTTCCTCCATGTTAATGAATTCAAGTCTTGATTTTCTCCAAAGAAAATGGGGCAATGAAAATTGCATTTCCTAAAATTCTCCTTGAATTATGTTTTAACATTTCAAGTGTGTTAATGTAATGCTTTAGAAGCTAAAGGGAATGATTATATAGGAAGCTAAAGTCATCTATGTCTATCCTCGGGATTGATTAAGTTTGCTATTTATACATGTTTCCCCCACAACATTGCTGTGTTGGAATTTATCAGGATAGGAACCATCTAAATTGAAAATGCCCCTTCGTATATTTTTATCACAGTGAAAGTCAAAGCCTAGAATAACAGAAAGGCACAAAATTAATATCATCAGGAAACAATTTACTCAGCTAATTAGCATAACATTCTCATATAAAAAGACAGATGGATTAAGGGATCAGGTCATTCATAGCCTGCAGCAAACTGCTTCAGTCTTTAATCCCCTGCTGTTACCTATCAAATGGTACTCTTTTTATGGATTTGGACAGATCCCTGGGAAGATTTAGATTCTCCCATTGGACTGATTCACCTTGTTCCTTTAACTTTTTATTGATGATATATTTCATTATTTCCTGACTAAAACAACAGTAAGAACTCTAAATTAGTTAGCAGCTAAAGAATTGAACTAAAGGCGTATCTCCACATTTCTCATATAGTAGCTTCTACCACACACACACACACACACACACACACACACGATGCCCTGCAGTGCTAACAAATAGGCTCCGGCTTGAAGACAACCATAGAAGAGTTATATATATATATATCCTACTTCAATAAAAATTGGGATTTCATGCTACATACGCAACATTCAAGACAATTAGGAATAGCACAGTAACAGCCAGTAGTAACTATGAAAAATATCAAATTCTTTACATGGAAGTAGTCAATCAGCATAGATTATAGATTTCCATGAGTCCTTTAAAAATGTTTCCAAAAATAATGTCTAAGAAAACTATTAGTGAAGATGTTTGATCTATTGTATAGAAACCAAAACCAACAAATGAAAGAAAAGGCCTCTGGGAAAAAAAAATTATTTTAAAGTTTTAGGCTACAGGGAGATAATTTATTTCCCTTTGACTATTGTATTAGCTTTCTAGGGCTGCCATAATAAAGTATCACAATATAGGTGGCTTAAAAAAAAAAAAAAAACATTTGTTGTCTCACAGCTCTGTAAGCTAGAAGCCTGAAATCAAGGTGTTGGCAAGATTGTTTCCTTCTGAAAAGTTCTGACTTAAAGTCCGTTCCACATGTGTCTTCTAGTTTCTGGTGGTTGCCAGCAATTTTTGGTGTTCCTTGACTTGTGCATGCATCACCCCACTGTCTGCCTCTGTCATTACATGGCCTTCTTCCTTATATTTCTTTATGTCTCTCTGTGTCCATATTTTCTTTCTTTATAAAGAAACCAGTCATTGAATTAGGGCCCATCCCATTTCAATATGACCCTGTTTCAAAATAACATCTGCAATAACCTATTTCCAAATAAGGTCACATTCACAAGTATTGGGATTAGTATTTCATTTTGGAGACTCGATTCAACACACAATGACTATAAACAATCAGAATGTTAGTTTATTAATTTATAACAAGAACTATGTTATATAAAATAAAATTCTTACTTCAGCATAAACAGTACATACTTTCCACCCAAACGCACATCTGTATGGGAAAACAAAATGTAGTCACATGATAGCTGGGTATGTATTAGATCAGAAAAATAAAGTTCAATGATTAGAATATTTAACACCATCAAGCTAATATAAATGTGCACATGCATTTATTTTTATTGTAGGAAGGCTTACCAACTTAACTGGCAATTTCACTTGCCCAGACTTCCTGCCTCAGGAATTGGACTTCCACTTAGGTGGAAAAGAGATTTATGCCTTAAAGATTCATCTGTAGCTCAGTTTCCATAGGCAACTAATTCTCCTTTCATTGACAGACTCTTTCTATAACTATGTTAATAAATTCAGTTCCAACATAGTAAAATCCTCTGACTTTACCCCCCTTAGGTTAGTTTACAGTGCTTCAGAAGGCATTCTTTCTTCTCTTAGTTTTATATATTTATAAAGGGTTATATAAAACTAAGAGGGTTGTATTTTTGTAGCCATCTTTCTGATTATCCCCATGTACTGAGAATATGTGTGTGTGTGTGTATTGATACATTTTATTTAGATGTGTGTGTGTATATATATATATATATATATGCAAGACTATATGTATATAGTCTTGTCCTATTTGGAGGCCCATTAAAGTATTTTTTCTTCCCATTCTTTTACTTCAACTATGATATACAATTAATTCTGTTATACACACACACATACACATACATATACACATACATATATATGTACGTGTGTGTATACATATGTTTTAATAATCAAAGTTACAATTTATTTTGAACATATTATTTGCCAGAATTTATATGGCATACTTTGAATTCACTAACCTATTTAATCTTTAATATCTAAATGGGATAATTATTATTATTTATTTTTCAAAGATGGAGTAACAAAGGCTTCTGTTACCCCTCAATGTTGCCCATTCTCTACAGACTGTATAATAGAAGTTAAAATTATTTTTGCCCAACATCAAATATCTTGCATCATACTGCATTCCTTTCAGCAACCTGCATTTTTCAGCATCCTGCAATTTCCCTATAACCTGGAAATTTTGAACCTCCATGTCTTCGTGTGTAATATTTTCTGCATGAAAAATGTGTCATTTCAACTTATCTAACTCTTGCTTACTATCTAAGGTAAGGTAGAAGTGCCAACTTTTTCAAGGTTTTAGATAAAAGGTGAAAATAATAGTCTCTTGGTCCACACTCACATAGCCCTTTGTTTATATTAAACACTATATTATATTATGCTATATTAATAGTCAGCTGTTTATTCATCTCCTTCAGCAGACTCTAAAGGCCATTAGGGACTTGCTAATTCATTTACTAATTAATTAAAGAAATTTGAGGAGAATATCAAGAATAACCCTCTACTTGTTCCCGGCCACCATTCATCACTCACTTTCTTAATTGTTCATTCACAGTGTACATATACGGTGATGTCAGAAACGTTACACCATACTTCCATGAGAAACAACTTTATTAACTGGAGCACTGTGCTTGTATACACTTCCTTTCACCTTTAATTTTACAGTCTCCTCTCATTTCTGAAATTACTTATTTCAACGCATTTTTTCCCACCCATCTCAGTGAGGTTGTTTCATATATTTTCAATACAGTTATAATATTTTGTCACACTCTGCATTCCATCTTGCAATCCCTCTACTTCCTAAAGGATAGTTTTTTTTAAAGTTATATAAATTAATGTTTCCTCCTCAAGCTCAAAAACTCTTATGGATTTTGAGAAATGCATAATGTTATGTCCACCATTACAATATCATATAAAATAGTTTCAGTACAGTAAAAAATTTGTTTTCATGTTTCACATATTTAACCCTACTTCCTCTCCCCTCACCTCTGGAAGCACTAATCTTTTATACTATATTGTTTTGCCTTTTTTACCATGTCATATATTTAGCAATATATAATACGAGGCATTTGCTGACCAATTTCTTTCACAGAGCAATAAATATTGAATATTCATGTATTTATTCCTGTAGATTTATATTTATTTCTTTTTTCTGGATGTACCAGTATATCAATTCACTTACTTAAGGTTTAAGGCCATGTAGGTTGCTGTCCATTTTTGATAATTATAAAAAAGAACTCTGATAAACACTCACATTTTTATGTGATATAAATTGTCACATCATTGGGATAAATACCTAGAAGAATGATAGCTGAAGTACGTGGTGAGACGATATTTAGATTTGTAAGAAACTGCCAATCTGTCTTCCAGCGTGCAGTACCATTTTTAAAATTCCCTTCAGCAAACAGCTACTATTGCTCTACATTTTCACCAGAATTTGTAATACTTCGGTTCATGGATTTAAGCCATTTTAACTAATGTGTGGTAGTATCACAATTGTTTTAATTTGTGTTTCTCTAAAGAAAAAAAAATACTGAGCATATTTTTATATGCCAGTTGCCATGGGTATTTCGGGGGCAGGGGTGAGGTGTCTTTTCAGATTCTATGCACATTTGTAATTGGTTTGTTTGCTTTCTTATTATTCAGTTTTCAGAGTTATTTGTATGTTTAGATACCAATACTTTATTAGATATATGGTTTACAGATATTTTCTTCTAGTTTGTGGCTTGTCTTTTAACTCTCTGGAGTCTTTCACAGAGCAGAAAATTCCATTTTAAATTTAACAAACTCTAACATCATTTTTTCTTTTGTAGCTAGAACTTTTCGTATTAATATTATATCTAAAAATCCATTATCAAACCTAATGTCACTCATTACATGTAAAGCATGCTTTCTTTTTCAACTATTCTAGTGGTTCCCCAGAGTATCCAATACACATTTGTTACTAATCTAAGATCACCTTCAAATAGCACTCCACCAGTTCACATATAGTGCAGGTACCTTAATAAGAAGTTACAGCGTGCTGGCAGCCCTTGCTCGCTCTCCGTGTCTCCTCGGCCTGGACGTCCACTCTGGCCGCGCTTGAGGAGCCCTTCGCCCCACCGCTGCACTGTGGGAGCCCGTCTGTGGGCTGGCCAAGGCCGGAGCATGCTCCCTCTGCTTGCGGGGAGGTGTGGAGGGAGAGGCACAGGCGGGAACTGAGGCTGCGCGCGGCACACGCGGGGGCGGCCCTGCACTCAGAGCGGTCAGGCTGGTGCCACAGGCCCTGGGCAGTGAGGGGCTTAGCACCCAGGGCCAGCCGCTGCGGAGTATGCGCTGAGTTCCGCATCACTGCCAGCCCGCCCGCTCTAGGCTCGAATTCTTGCCAGGCCTCAGCCGCCTCGCTGTGGGGCAGGGCCCGGGACCTGCAGCCCGCCATGCCCGAGCCTTTCCCCGCCCGCGCCTTCCCCCGTGGGCTCCCAGCGGCCAGCGGGAGTCTCCCCAACGGCACTGCCCCCTGCTTCGTGGCGCCTGGTCCCATCAACCACCCAAGGGCTGACTAGTGCAGGCACCTGGCGTGGGACTGGCGGGCAGCTCCCCCAGCGGCCCCAGCGCCGGATCTGCTAGGCAAGCCAGCTGGGCTCCCCAGTGAGGTGGGGTCTTGGAGAACTTTTGTGTCTAGCTGGAGGATTGTATATGCGCCAATCAGCACTCTGTGTCTAGCTCAAGGTTTGTAAACGCACCAATCAGCACCCTGTCAAAACAGGCCAATCAGCTCTCTGCAAAATGGACCAATCAGCAGGATGTGGGTGGGGTCAGGTGAGGGAATAAAAGCAGGCTGCCACAAGGGACAGTGATAACCGGCTTGGGTCCGTTTCCGTGGTGTGGAGGGTTTGTGTTTTTGCTGTTTGCAGTAAATCTTGCTGCACACTCTTTGGGTCCACACTGCCTTTATGAGCTGTGACAACCACCGGGAAGGTCTGCAGCTTCACTCCTGAGGCCGGTGAGACCAGGAACCCACTGAGAGGAATGAATAACTCCAGACGTGCTGCCTTAAGAGCTGTAACACTCACCGCGAAGGTCTGCAGCTTCACTCCTGAAGCCAGCAAGACCACAAACCCACCAGAAGGAAGAAACTCCGAACACGTCTGAACGTCAGAACAAATTCCGGACACACCATCTTTAAGAACTGTAACACTCACCACTAGGGTCTGCAGCTTCATTCTTGAAGTCAGTGAGACCAAGAACCCACCAATTCTGGACACGTTAATAGAATAGTCCCAGTTCATCCTTCATATCTTTTGTAACATAACCATCAGGCATTTCACTTACCCACATCCTGTAATTGCCCAAAACATTTACTAATATTACTTTAAACAAACATGTAGTTTAAAAAGATTTACAATAAGAAAAATAAAAAATTTTTTTTCCTTTTTCAACATACTTGCTTTCTTATTGTAAATACAGGTTTCTGATCTATATCACTCTTCTCCTCCATGAATAACCTCTTTTAACACATTTGCAGGAAAGTTTTCTGGCAATATATTCCGTTAGTGTTTTATTGTCTGGTAAATTCTGATTTCCCCTCTGCTTTTGAAGTATAATTTTGCTAGATGTAGAATTCTAAGTTGGTGCATTTATTCCTAAACATTTCCCGCAACTCTCTTCTTTCTTGCCTGGTTTCTTACTGGAAGTGGGCTGAAATCCTTGCTCTTTTTTCTCTACAAGGAATGTAGTTTTCATTCCAGATTCTGTCAAGATTTTCTCTTTGTCTATTTATTGATTTATTTTATTTTATTTTATTCTACATATAGGAAATGCTATGTCTGGTGCTGTATTTTTGTTGTTTGTCATGAATTGTATTCTCTGAGCTTCCTGGACCGGTTGTTTGTTTCATGTCATTATGTTTTAAAATTTCTTGACCATTACTCATTTAGATAGATTCTCCTCATTTCTCTCTTTCTTGTCTTTCTGCTATTCCAGTTTCCCATTTTGTACAACTTTAGAAACTGCCCAGCGGGTCTTTGATGTCCTTCACTTTTTTTTTCCGTTTATTTTTTCTTGGCACTTTGTTTTAAAATGTATTTTTGACCTATCTTTAGTTTCACCAATTCTTTCCCCAAACATGTCTGGTCTACTAATGAAACCATTGAAAGCATTTTAAAAAAATCTATTGGCGTTATTTTAATTTCTAGCCTTTTATTTTGGTTCTTTGTTAGAATTTTCATCTCTCTGCTTATACTAATCATCTTTTATTGAATATTTTCTACATTTTCCACTAGTGTCCTTAACATCTTAATCATAGTTATGTAAATTTCTTGATTGCTATTTCCAAAATATGCATCATCATCACTGAGTCTTGTTCTGATGATCATCCTGTCTCTTCAGATTGTTAATTTTTTTCTTGCCTTTTACCATGTTTTGTAATTTTGTTGCCATTGTTGAGAGCCAGACATGTGGTATCCATAATAGATATTGAGATAAATTGATGCTGAGATAAATTGATACTGAGATAAAGTTAATTGAGGATATATGTTAATCTGTCTTGGAGTTGAACTGCATTTAATATTTGTTATAGCTCAAGTTTCTGAAGGTTTCAAATTCCTCTAGTGTCCTTGTTTTTGTCTCCTCCCTTAACTTTAGGTTTCCTTAAGTACTCATCTTCAAACAGTGTCTGTTTCTTATAGCTCTTTTGTCTGTCTCCTTATATTGGAGTCATGTTGGTTTAAATTTTATGGTATGAGCAGAGAAATATGTTCTACAGTGCTCTGATTGAATATCCGCCTTTCAGTGGGCCTATGTCTTAGGTTATGACTTTTACGAGTGTTTTGCCAGTAGTTTATCTTTTGTCCCTATTACAGGACTGCCAGATTCATATGCCCACTGAGCAGCAATAGACCAATACACTGAGACATCATAATTTGCAGCAGAAAAAGAGTTTAATAATCACAATGCCATTGGGCAAAGAGATGAAGGAATCCTCAAGCTTCACATCTGTCTGCTTGAGGGGTTCTGGGCCAGGGTTTTTAAGGGGATTGTGGCGGGTGAGGTTCTGGAGAATTGGGGTTGTCAATTGCTCAGGTCAAGGAAGATTAAATCATCATGATGTGAAAACTGCATTCTTCTGTGAGTCGGCTCCTTGCTGGGACCTTCAGATCAACTGGCATCAACAATTTTATCAGTATGCGTAACATAAAGGAGAAACTCAAACAGAAAGCATATCATCTCATGTGCCTTAGATCTTATCTATAGAAAAGAAAAGGAACACATTCTTGTGACAAGGGCTACACTATCTTGGGGGAGTAAGAAGTAACTAGCTACAAGGAAGTAGGCCAAATTGGGAAGTGGATTTCATGATTGCCACTGATTATTCTGCAAGCCTAGTTGAATTTTATTTTCTCCCTTAATTGGTTTATAAACTTTTCTTTGGGACAGTTTCATCCTTTATCCCCTTTAGATGAGAAAAGAAGGTTAAATGAGGAGGTGCCAAGATGGCCAATTAGAAGCAGCTGTGGTCTGTGACTCCCATCTAGAAGAACAAAAATGGCGAGTGAATTCTGCACCTTCATCTGAGGTATCCAGATTCTCTCACTGGGAGTGACAAGGTGATTGGCCTGACCCACAGGGAGCAAGGAAAAGCAGGGTGGAGCAATGCCTCACTTGGGAGCTGCATGGGGCAAGGGGCACTCCCACCCCCAGTCAAGGGAGGCAGTGAGTGATTGTGCTCCCTTTCCTGAGGAACCATGCTTTTTCCATGGATCTGTGCAACTCACAGATCAAGAGATCCCCTTGTGAGTCCACACCACCAGGGCCTTGGGTGCCAAGCACAGAGCTGTGCAGACTCTCATCACCGCTCAGGCTGTGGCCAGTGACAGCAGACTGGAGACTGTCTAAGATGACTGAGTTCCCAGGGGAAGGGGTGGTTGCTATCACTGTGGCATCAGTTGGCTGTTTTCCCCTGGTGGTGCTGGGGAGACAGGGAGGTTTAGACCGGGAGCACAGCAGCTGTGGCAGATCATGGCCAGACTGCTTTTTTAGGTGGAACCTGGATCCATCCCTACTCATTGGGTGGGGCCCCCTTGTGGGAATTTCACCAACTCCAGCCAGAGGTTTATGGACAGAACTCTGATCTTCCTGGGCAGAACTCCTGTGGGGAGGGACAGCCACAGTCTCTGCGGTTCAGCAGACTTAGTCTTTCCTGCCTGCTGGCTCTGAAGGGTCTGGACATTCTGGACAAGGGAGATTCCCTCCAGTGCAGTGCACCCTCTCTGCCAAGGGGCAGCCAGAGTGCTTTGTTAAGTGGTCCCCGATCCTGTACATACTCCCTAACTGATTGAGACCACCAACAGGGGTCTCCAGGCACCTTATACAGGAGTGTTCCTGCTGGCATCACATCAGTGCCCCTCTGGGATGGAGCTCAAAAAAGAAGGAGCAGGCAGCCATCCTTGCTGTTCTGCAGCTTCCACTGGTGACACCTCCAGGTAGGGGAGGGACCAAGTGAATAGGGTCTGGAGTGGACCCCCAGCAAACTGCGGCAGCCCTAAGGAAGAGGGGTCTGACTGTTGAAAGAAAAACAAACAAACAGAAAACAACAACAACAAAAACATCCACAAAAATGGCCCCACAAAAACCCCTTCCAAAGATCAGCAGCCTCAAAGATCGAAGATAGATAAGCTCATGAAGATGAGAAAGAATCAATGCAAAAATGCTGAAAACTCAAAAAGCCAGAATGCCTCTTCTCCTCCAAATGATTGCAACACCTCTCCAGCAAGGGCACAGAACTGGGTGGAGGCTTGAGGTGGATGAACTGATAGAAGTATTCTTCAGAAGGTGGGTAATAACAAATTTTGCTGAGCTAAAGTATATTCTAAAACAATTCAAAGACGCTAATAACCATGAAAACATTATAGGAACTGTAAACCAGAATAACCAGTTTATAGAGGAACATAAATGACCTGATGGACCTGAAAAACACAACACCAGAACTTCACAATGCAACCACAAGCATAAATAACTGAATAGACCAAGCAGAGGAAAGAATCTCAGAGCTCAAAGACTATCTTGCTGGAATAAGACAGGCAGATAAGATTAGAGAAAAAACTGAAAAGGAATGAAAAATAATCAGAGAACTATGGAATTATGTAAAAAGACCAAACCTACAACTGATTGGGGTACCTGAAAGAAATGAGGAGAATGAAACCAAGTTGGAAAACATACTTCAGGAAATCATTCAGGAGAATTTCCCCAACCCAGCAAGACAGGCCAACATTCAAATTCAGGAAATTCAGAGGACTTCAGTAAGATCCATGAGAAGATCAACCCAAAACACATAATTGTCAGTATCTCCAAGGTCAAAATGAAGGAAAATTGTTAAGAGCCACGTCACCTAGAAAAGGAAGTCCATCAGAATAACAGTGGACTCCTCAGCAGAAACCCCATAAGCCAGAAGAAATTGGGGGCTAATATTCAACAGTCTTTTTTTTTTATACTTTAAGTTTTAGGGTACATGTGCACATTGTTCAGGTTAGTTACATATGTATACATGTGCCATGCTGGTGCGCTGCACCCACTAACTCATCATCTAGCATTAGGTATATCTCCCAATGCTATCCCTCCCCCCTCCCCCCACCCCACAACAGTCCCCAGAGTGTGATATTGCCCTTCCTGTGTCCATGTGATCTCATTGTTCAATTCCCACCTATGAGTGAGAATATGCAGTGTTTGGTTGTTTGTTCTTGCGATAGTTTACTGAGAATGATGATTTCCAATTTCATCCATGTCCCTACAAAGGACATGAACTCATCATTTTTTATGGCTGCATAGTATTCCATGATGTATATGTGCCACATTTTCTGAATCCAGTCTATCATTGTTGGACATTTGAGTTGGTTCCAAGTCTTTGCTATTGTGAATAATGCCGCAATAAACATACGTGTGCATGTGTCTTTATAGCAGCATGATTTATAGTCCTTTGGGTATATACCCAGTAATGGAATGGCTGGGTCAAATGGTATTTCCACTTCTAGATCCCTGAGGAATCGCCACACTGACTTCCACAATGGTTGAACTAGTTTACAGTCCCACCAACAGTGTAAAAGTGTTCCTATTTCTCCACATCCTCTCCAGCACCTGTTGTTTCCTGACTTTTTAATGATTGCCATTCTAACTGGTGTGAGATGGTATCTCATTGTGGTTTTGATTTGCATTTCTCTGATGGCCAGTGATGATGAGCATTTTTTCATGTGTTTTTTGGCTGCATAAATGTCTTCTTTTGAGAAGTGTCTGTTCATGTCCTCCGCCCACTTTTTGATGGGGTTGTTTGTTTTTTTCTTGTAAATTTGTTTGAGTTCATTGTAGATTCTGGATATTAGCCCTTTGTCAGATGAGTAGGTTGCGAAAATTTTCTCCCATTTTGTAGGTTGCCTGTTCACTCTGATGGTAGTTTCTTTTGCTGTGCAGAAGCTCTTTAGTTTAATTAGATCCCATTTGTCAATTTTGTCTTTTGTTTCCATTGCTTTAACTCATTTTATGAGGCCAGCATCATTCTGATACCAAAGCCAGGCAGAGACACAACAAAAAAAGATAATTTTAGACCAATATCCTTGATGAACATTGATGCAAAAATCCTCAATAAAATACTGGCAAAACGAATCCAGCAGCACATCAAAAAGCTTATCCACCATGATCAAGTGGGCTTCATCCCTGGGATGCAAGGCTGGTTCAATATATGCAAATCAATAAATGTAATCCAGCATATAAACAGAGCCAAAGACAAAAACCACATGATTATCTCAATAGATGCAGAAAAAGCCTTTGACAAAATTCAACAACCCTTCATGCTAAAAACTTTCAATAAATTAGGTATTGATGGGATGTATTTCAAAATAATAAGAGCTATCTATGACAAACCCACAGCCAATATCATACTGAATGGGCAAAAACTGGAAGCATTCCCTTTGAAAACTGGCACAAGACAGGGATGCCCTCTCTCACCACTCCTATTCAACATAGTTTTGGAAGTTCTGGCCAGGGCAATTAGGCAGGAGAAGGAAATAAAGGGTATTCAATTAGGAAAAGAGGAAGTCAAATTGTCTCTGTTTGCAGACGACATGATTGTATATCTAGAAAACCCCATTGTCTCAGCCCAAAATCTCCTTAAGCTGATGAGCAACTTCAGCAAAGTCTCAGGATACAAAATCAATGTACAAAAATCACAAGCATTCTTATACACCAAAAAGAGACAAACAGAGAGACAAATCATGAGTGAACTCCCATTCACAACTGCTTCAAAGAGAATAAAATACCTAGGAATCCAACTTACAAGGGATGTGAAGGACCTCTTCAAGGAGAACTACAAACTACTGCTCAAAGAAATAAAAGAGGATACAAACAAATGGAAGAACATTCCATGCTCATGGGTAGGAAGAATCAATCTCGTGAAAATGGCCATACTGCCCAAGGTAATTTACAGATTCAATGCCATCCCCATCAAGCTACCAATGACTTTCTTCACAGAATTGGAAAAAACTACTTTAAAGTTCATATGGAACCAAAAAAGAGCCCGCATCGCCAAGTCAATCCTAAGCCAAAAGAACAAAGCTGGAGGCATCACGCTACCTGACTTCAAACTATACTAGAAGGCTACAGTAACCAAAACAGCATGGTACTGGTACCAAAACAGATATATAGATCAATGGAACAGAACAGAGCCCTCAGAAATAACGCCACATATCTACAACTATCTGATCTTTGACAAACCTGACAAAAACAAGCAATGGGGAAAGGATTCCCTATTTAATAAATGGTGCTGGGAAAACTGGCTAGCCATATGTAGAAAGCTGAAACTGGATCCCTTCCTTACACCTTATACAAAAATCAATTCAAGATGGATTAAAGAGTTAAACGTTAGACCTAAAACCATAAAAACCCTAGAAGAAAACCTAGGCATTACCATTCAGGACATAGGCATGGGCAAGGACTTCATGTCAACAGTCTTAAAGAAAAGAATTTCCAGCTCAGAATTTCATATCTGGCCAAACTAAGCTTCATGAGCAAAGAAGAAATAAAATCCTTCTCAGACAAGCAAATACTCAGGGAATTCATCACAACCAAGACTGCCTTGCAAGAGCTCCTAAAGGAAGCACTGAATATGGAAGGGAAAAACCATTACCGGCCACTACAAAAACACAGTAAAGTACACAGACCAATAATATTATGAAGCAACAACATTAACAAGTCTGCAAAATAACCAGATAGCATCATAATCACAGGACCAAATTCACACATAAGAATATTAACCTTAAATGTAAATGGACTGAATGTCCCAATTAAAAGACAAAGACTGGCAAACTGGATAGTCAAGACCCACCAGTGTGCTGTATTCAGGTGAACCATCTCATATGCAAAGACACACATAGGCTCAAAATAAAGAGATGGAGGAAAATTTACCAAGCAAACGGAAAGCAGGAAAAGGAGGGGTTGCAATTCTAGTGTTTGAGAAAACAGGCTTTAAATCAACAAAGATAAAAAAAGACAAAGAAGGGAATTACATAATGGTTAAGTATTCAGTTCATCAAGAAGAGGTAACTATCCTAAATACACATGCACCCAATTCTAGAGGACCCAGATTCATAAAACAAGTTCCTAGAGAACTACAAAGACATTTAGACTCTCACATAATAATAGTGGGAGACTTTAACACCCCACTGTCAATATTAGACAAATTATCAAGACAGAAAGTTAACAAGGATATTCAGGACTCAAACAGCTGTAGATCAAGTGGACCTGATAAGTATCTACAGAACTCTCCATTCAAAAACAACAGAATATACATTCATCTTGGAGCTACATGGCACTTACTCTAAAATCGATCACATAATTGGAAGTAAAACACTCCTCTGCAAATGCAAAATAACTAAAATCTTGATAGTCTCTCAGACCACAGTACAATCAAATTAGAACTCAAAATTAAGAAACTCACTCAAAACCACACAACTACATAGAAATGTAACATCCTGCTTCTGAATGACTACTGGGTAAAAAATGAAATTAAGGCAGAAGTCAAGAAGTTATTTGAAACTAATGAGAACAAAGAGACAATGTCCCAGAATCTCTGGGATACAGCTAAAACAGCATTGAGGAAATGTATAGCACTAAATATCCACATCAGAAATATCTCAAGTCAACATCCTAACATCACAGTTTAAAGAACTAGAGAACCAAGAACAAACAAACCCCAAAGCTAGCAGAAGGCAAGAAATAAGTAAGATCAGAGCAAAACTAAAGGAGATTGAGACAGGAAAAACCCTTCAAAAAATCAACAAATCCAGGAACTGTTTTTTTGAAAAAAATTAACAAAATAGACTTTTAGCTACACTAATAAGAAAAGAGAGAAGATCAAATAGACACAATAAAAAATGATAAAGGGGATATGAACACTGAGTTTACAGAAATACAAACAACCATCAGAGAATACTATAAACACCTCTATGCAAATAAATTAGAAAATCTAGAAGAAATGGATAAATTCCTGGACACATAAACTCCCAAGATTGAACCAGGAAGAAGTTGAATCCCTGAATAGACCAATAACAAGTTCTGAAATTAAGGCAGTAATATATAGCCTACCAACCAATGAAAGACCAGGACCAGATGGAATTATGGTGGAATTCTACCAGATGTACAAAGAGGAGCCAGTGCTATTTCTTCTGAAACTATTCCAAATGATTGAAGAGGAGAGACTCCTCCCTAATTCATGTTATGAGGCCAGCATCATCCTGATACCAAAGCCTGGGAGAGATACAACAAAACAAGACAACTTCAGGCCAATATCCCTGATGAACATCGATGCAAAAATCCTCAATAAAATACTGGCAAGCCAAATCCAGCAGCACATCCAAAAGCTTATCCACCACAATCAAGTTGGCTTCATCCCCGGGATACAAGGCTGTTTCAACATATGCAAATCAATAAATGTAATCCATTACATAAACAGAACTAAAGATAAAAACCTCATAATTATCTCAATAGATGCAGAAAAGGCCTTTCAACAACACTTCATGTTAAAATTCAACATCCCTTCATTTTAAAAACTCTCAATAAACTAGGTATTGAAGGACCATACCTCAAAATATTAAGAGCCATTTATGACAAACTAACAACCCATATCATACTGAATGGGAAAAAGCTGTGAGCATTTTCATTGAAAAGAGGCACATGACAAGGATGCTCTTTCTTACCACTCCTATTCAACATATTATTGGAAGTTCTGGCCAGAACAATTAAGCAAGAGAAAGAAACAAATGGTATTCAAATAGGAAGAGAGGAAGCCAAATTGTCTCTGCAGATGACATGATCCTTTATCTAGAAAACCCCATTGTCTCAACCCCATTGTCAGCAAAATCTCAGGATAAAAAATCAATGTGTGAAAATCACAAGGATTCCTGCACACTAACAACAGACAAGCAGAGAGCCAAATCATGAAAGAACTCCAATTCCACAATTGTTACAGAGAATAAAATACCTAGGAATACAGCTAAGAAGGGAAGTGATAGAAAGAACCAATATGATTAAAATGGCCATACTACCCAAAGTAATTTATAGATTCAATGCTATTCCCCTTATACTAACATTGACATTTTTCACAGAATTAGAATAATCTGTTTTAAAATTCATATGGACAAAAAAGAGTCTGTAGAGCCAAGATAATATTAAGCAAAAATAGCAAAGCTGGGGGGATCATGCTACCTTACTTCAAACTACACTACAAGGCTACCAAACCAGCATGTAAACAAAACAGCATAGTGGTGGTGCAAAAACAGACTCATAGACCAATAGAACAGAATTGAGAACTCAGAAATAAGACCACACAGCTACAACCATCTGATCTTCAACAAACCTGACAAACACAAGTAATGGGGAAAGGATTTTCTATTTAATTAATGGTGCTGGAAGAACTATGGAAGAACTTTAGCCATATGCAGAAAATTGAAACTGGACCCCCTTCCTTACACGTTATACAAAAATTAGCTCAAGATAGGTTAAAGACTTAAGTGTAAAATCCAAAACTATAAAAACCCTAGAAGAAAATCTAGGCAATACCATTCAGGACATAGGCATAGGCAAAGATTTCATGACAAAAATGCCAAAAACAATAGCAACAAAAGCAGAAATTAACAAATGGGGTCTAATTAAACTAAAGAGCTTCTGCTCAGCAAAAGAAACTATCATCACAGTGAACAGACAACCTACAGAATGGGAGAAAAATTTGCTATTTATCCATCCGACAAAGGTCTAATATCCAGAATTTACAGGGAACTTAAACAAATTTACAAGAAAAAAACAGACAATCCTATTAAACAGTGGGCAAAGGACATGAACAGGCACTTCTCAAAAGAAGACATTTATGTGGCCAACAAACATGCAAAAAAAAAGTTCAACATCACTAATCATTAGAGAAATGCAAATCAAAACCACAATGAGATACCATCTCACACTAGTCAGAATGGTGATTATTAAAAAGTCAAGAAACAACTGATACTGTTGAGGCTGCAGAGAAATAGGAATGCTTTTACACTGTTGGTAGGAATGTAAATTAGTTCAACTATTGTGGAAGACTGTGGCAATTCCTCGAAGTCCTAGAACCAGAAATACCATTTGACCCAGCAATCCCATTACTAGGTATGTACCCAAAGGAATATAAATCATTTTATTATAAAGATACATGCATGTGTGTGTTCATTGCAGCACTATTCACAATAGCTAATACATGAAATCAACCCAAATGCCCATCAATGATAGACTGGGTAAATAAAATGTGGTACATATACAACATGGAATACTATGCAGCCATAAAAGGAAATGAGATCAAGTCCTTTGCAGGGACATGGATGGAGCTGAAAGCCATTATCCTCAGCAAACTAATGCAGGAACAGAAAACCTTGAAATATGAGCTATAATGAGGGGCACTAGAGGTACTTGGCTTTAAAAAGACATAGGTGCAGTGACATGATGTTAGTTACATAGCCTTTGAAGTCATGTTGTGTGAAAGAGCAGTTGGATATTGATGTTGGCTACCAAAACCAATGGGTAGGCATTTAGATTTTGGTTCACTAGAAAACCTGAACTATCTATCGATTAAGCTCTCAAAAACTAAATAGACTGCTGTCTCCTAAATAAAATATGTCTCCCACTGTGGAAATGTCATTGATTTTCAATTTGTATAGCTTTTATTATTATTATTATTGTAAGGCCAGGAATGACAACTTCTGAGCCCTTCACATGTTGGTGATAAATCCAAAAGTCCTGTAATGTATTTGTTTTCTCATTTTTTAAAACCAAATATTTGAAGCTATTTTATTAAGGGTTTCCTTTTCCTCAAAAAGTAAATGCATTAAATATAATCTAGATATTCTACACTCATGAGAAAGATATTTCATTGTATATAACCAGAGCTATAGGCCTACAAACATTTGGACTTTATCAGAGGTAAATAATAAGAGATAATACTATTCGTTAAAATTAAAGTATAAATTTAGATCATTTTTAATTGGTTATTTTTTAAAGCTGACATAACTTTAATTTACAATGTAAACTCAGGAGTGAAAGAGCATTAAGTAACTCATGATCTGTAAAGAAAATTTCAAAATTTAAGGTAAGTAATGAGATTTCCCCATATTTCTGTGTTTAATTCATCAATGTTTTTAAAATACTTAAACCAGCTAAGAAGTGTGTTCAGGTTTCTATTTATTTTAAAAGTGACTTACGTATTTTTCTCACAAGGGAGGATGATTGTAGAGGAGTTTAGAGCCTGCATCGTGGTTCCAAGTTAGCATCACCGTTCCTGGTCCTTCCATCTTTCTGCTTAGTCATATTTAACTTGTGTTTATTTCTTCATGATCAGAATATGTGTCTTTCTCAACTATCATATGTATGTTCTAGGTAGAAAGGAGAAAAACAAGAATTTATGTTGTTCTGTCAAATTATAGAAAGTTTATTTGATAATAAATCAACTGTTAAAAAGTACCCCTTAAAAGTATAGTAAGTATACAATATTAAAAGAAAGCATGGGACTTTGCACAATTGTGAAATCTATTGAGAATTTTGTAAGTTTTTAAATTTTGATCTGTGCTGTCATTTATTAATTCAGTCAAAATTTGCTTCAAAAACACATAGTTGTCAGAATATGTAAGTGCCTTAGAAGAGTGCAATCTATAAGTAAAATAATTCTGAATATTCATCTGAAATAGTTTGAAAAGGTTTTGAAAATCTACTGTCTCTCTTATTTCTTGTAATCAACATATTTCTCAATAGGAAAATTCACCATTTGCCATCAAAATGTATTGTCTGAAACTTCCACTGGAACCTTCATATGGCAAAATATTTAGGCATTCTGAGGAGATGCAAAGTTTGCTAAGCAGAATAAATGTGTTTTAATATTTAATAATTATAAATGATATTTGGAAAATTATAAAGATGTTCTTAGTTCAATTAATAGAGTAAGATTTATATATCTATTAAGAGTGCTGGGCCAGACAGGGTGGCTCACGCCTGTAACCCCAGCACTTTGGAAGCCCGAGACGGGAGGATCACCTGAGGTCAGGAGTTTGAGACCAGCCTGGCCAACATGGTGAAACCCCATCTCTACTAAAAATACAAAAATTAGCAGGGCATGGTGGTGCTTGCCTGTAATCCCAGCTACTGAGGAGGCTAAGGCAGGAGAATTGCTTAAACTCGGGACATTTCAATGAGCTGAGATCTAGCCACTGCATTCCAGCCTGGGCAACACAGTGAAACTCCGTCTCAAAACAAAACAAAAAAAAAACAAAAGTGCAGGCAACACATTATAATCAATATTAAAAGTTTTTATGTTGAAAGATGGATAAGAATTAAAACTTTGATTTTTCAACTGAGATATTTAGTTGAGATATTTGAAATTACTGGAAAGCAAAAGGAAATTTTAATGTACTGCGGAGTAGCCTCGGGTAGTATGTGTATGTATTTCTACTAAATGCAAAAGAAAGTACCAGATAAAAATGCAATAGGCTTCTACTTCTAGTTCAGGATGGGAAAAGATGGGGAAGACCAAAAAAGATCTGCATAATGCACAAATCCATGTGATTTCTGAAGGGAGTGGACACGATCAGTCTTGATAAACTGATAACTAGTTAGTGGATCTGCAGGTTTCATCTGAGGTATTTTCTTTTAGATGATTTGTGTAGTGACTAAAAAACAGTCAATACATTTAAATAAACTGCACATTGTGCACATGTACTCTAAAACTTAAAGTATAATAAAAAAATAATACAATAAATAAATAAACTTATTTTCTGGTTTAGTAATTGAGGTTGGCCAATGTCTATTATTAATTGTTAACTATTTCCTAATCAATAATCTGTCTTATATTAAACTGTACATACACTTTACAAGAAATTTCAGTTACACTCACACATAACTGAATAACATATTTAATGCTTATATAGGCATGCATATAATGTTAAAATCTAGATATAAAAATAAGAAAATGAAACCATAATTTTTAAGTAATGGAACTTGTTCCAAAAGATCAAATGTGGTTATGCATTGGTATGACAATTCTGAATCCTGCACTCAGGCAGCATCTGAACACTGTTTTATTAGCTATCAATAAATTGTCTGCACTGCAGGCCGATGATGGTTTAAGGACAGCAGTGTTAATAATAATGTTCAAAGTGTCAGTCTGGAGGGGAGGCAATAATTGACTGTATGAGACTATTAAGCTATAAAAACAATGTTTTATTTTGAGCATCAAAATATGATAGACAGAGCTTCAAATGCTCTTGGTGAAGTCATTATTAACACATACAAAACTGATTTTCATTCAACATTTACTGTAGAGAAAATTATATTCCATCAGGCTTTAAAATTGAGAAGAAAACAGAAAGAGTAAGTCTTAAATTCCTTTCTTCCTCACCTTCCTCCTTCACCTAGTTTGCCTGCGGACCTACACTGTTACATTCCCACATACCTCCTGTGTGTATTTCTTTGCAGATCATTTACCTTACATTTCTACATTTCCCCTTAATTTTTTCCTCATCAATAGATGAGAAAAAAAATTTGTTAAATCATGGTAGATGAATATGGACCAGATCATCCCATGAACTACGTTCAATCATTGGTTTTACCTTTCAAAAAATTCTGAATGAAATATGTAATAATTTAATATTCTAAAACTTTATTTTTTCAGGAATATTTACATATATTCACCCTTCCTTCTAAAACAGTGGCCAGAGCAGTTAGAAAACAAAAGCATGAGAAACAGTAACTCTTACAGTTGTATTATGCCTGTATGCCTTCCCAGTTCTGCAAAGATTATGAGGATTTTTTTAGGTCTGTACATAGTTTTAAAATATCCTAAAACAATCCACATAAATAAACTCATTACCATAATAATCTGCAAGATAGACATTGTCATCCTCAAGTAATATCAAATAAATCTTATTTGCCTGCAAGATCTGAATCTGAAAATCCCAAAGCTCAAGTTTACCTAGCTAATAGGTAGTAAGACTGGGGCCTCAATCTGGTTTATCTAATTCTGAAAAGTGTTTTGCTATAAAAGCACTATAGGAAATAAAACATTAGACTTTATACCTTTAGATAATAAGAATATTTATGTCATTGAACCTGAAAAGATACTGTTTAACTTTCATGTTCTACTTGTCATTTTTCTTTTCTGCTTTTATATGTAATTTAGGTAATAGATACCCAGGAATCAACTTAAATTCCCATCAGTGGTAGACTGGAAAAAGAAAGTACGGTACATATACACCATGAATTACTATGCAGCCATAAAAAAGAATGAGATCTGTCCTTTGCGGCAACATGGATGGAGCTTGGAGGCCATTATCCTTAGCAAAGTAACACAGGATCAGAAAACCCAATACTCCCTATTTTCACTTATCACTGGGAGCTAAATAATGAGAACACATTGACTGAAAGAGCAGCACAATAGACACTAGGGTGTGCTTGAGGGAGGAGGATGAGAGATGGGTGAGGTTCAGGGAAAAAAAAATTGTTGGGTACTATGCTTACTACTCAGGTGACAAAATAATCTGTACATCAAACCCCTGAGTCACGAATTTACCTAAAGAACAAACCTCCACACGTTCCCATGAACCTAAAAGTTAAAATATTTAAAATAATAATAATAATTTTAAAATGTGAAATGTTGTGATAATTACTAAAATGTCAAATAGAGACACAAGGTGAGCACGTTGTTGGAAAAATAGAATGAATAGACTTGCTTGATGCAAGATTGCCACAAACCTTCAATTTGTGAAAAATGTGTTATTTGTGAAGAGCTATAAAGTGAAGCACACGCAAAAAAAGTGAGTTTGATTAATGCAATTCATTGTTGCTGAAAGATACCTTGAAATATGAGCTATAATGAGGGGCACTAGAGGTACTTGGCTTTAAAAAGACATAGGTGCAGTGGCATGATGTTAGTTACATAGCCTTTGAAGCCATGTTGTATGAAAGAGCAGTTGGATATTGACGTTGGCTACGAAAACCAATGGGTAGGCATTTAGATTTTGGTTCAGTAGAAAATCTGAACCATCTATCGATTAAGCTCTCAAAAACTAAATAGACTGCTGCCTCCTAAATAAAATATGTCTCCCACCATGGAAATGTCAAGCTAGGGTCACAATTCAAGTAATGTAAATATGAATCTAATGACTTCCAAGATGCTTTTCCAACTTAAAGTGTTAGACAAGTACCTTTTAAAACAGTATACCATTTGAATTACCTGCAACCATTTTAATATTTCTGAGAGGGTTTTTTTTGTGTGTGCTCCTTCTTTCATCACATGGAGAGTTATTTTGCCTTTTAGGGTAAAATATAAAAACAAATGCACGTCACAATATGATGTGGCAAACGTTACCCAGAAGCCTTAGTGATGTTGTTGCGATGGTATTAGCATGCACAGAGTATGCAACTCGCAGCTCTGCTGTGTGCACTTGTTCTTTTGCTTTCTCTCATGTGTTCTGCTCCATATATTTTAAGAGAGTTTAATGTGGGTGTTCCAATTCAATCCCATTAGAGTACTATGTATATTATTGTTACTAAACCTTGCCTTCATAATCATTCCTAAGTATGTGGTCTATTGAAAAGCAATCATTTATATCTTTAGGAGGATGAATGGGAAGTCACAGATCTAGAACAATAATCAACTTGAACTCATGCTGCTAGCACAGGTATGGATTTTTAATATAATCTCAGGCAGGGAAGTGCTTGCAGGCATGTTTTCTCAGTCAGGAGCTGAGAGCATATGCACGATGGCAGACACAAGGTAACTACCCTTTGGCTGGTTGAAAGATGAAGTCATTATAAAGCTGGATTTTAAACCAAATGTAGTGCTGGCTGCTGTCTGAACTTACCTAAAACATACACTATATTTTAAAAAGAAGGCTGAGAGTCACAGAAGTAAAACAAATAAATTCCAAAGTTGGTGTTTTATATTATCATTTATCTGCAATAAGTGATAATTGATATTCCAAAAATATACTTTGCTTTGAATTCAAATTGTTTATTTTGAACAATTAGTGAGTTCATCTCTGCACATGCCTAAAGAAGATAAATCAATAAATAAAAGAATAAAAATTAAAACTCTATATAATAAACACTTGATTTCTTAGTCCTGATTTCTCTTTTATTATGAAGACCAGAAGCAGAATGTTATTCTATTTTACCTAAAAATATATATATGATCTTTAGAAACTCCTTGTCAGCAATCATCTATCTGTGTGTGGGTATATATATATATATATATATCTCATACAAACAATATGTATCACATTTATATGTTATCAAGCACAATCATATAATAAACTCACAAATGTCCAACTCCAAAACTAGAAAATTATTAATAGCTTGTACTACTCCTGTGTTCTTCCCCATCTGCCTGTAGGAATTATTTCTTTTTCTAAAGTAGTTTTCTTACATACATATATATATATCAAAGAATGTGTTTTTGCTTATTTTTCAGCTACAAGTTTGTGTCACACTGTATATAGTCTACCGTATTACTTTTTTTTTTTTTTTTTGAGACGCAGTCTCACTCTGTCACCCAGGCTGGAGTGCAGTGGCACAATCTCCATTCACTGCAACCTCCGCCTCCCGGGTTCAAGGGATTCTCTCCTGCCTCAGCCTTTTGAGCAGCTGGGATTACAGGTGCCCAACTACACCAGGCTTTTTTTTTTTTTTTTTTTTTGAGACCGAGTCTCGCTCTGTCGCCAGGCTGGAATGCAGTGATGTGATCTTGGCTCACTGCAACCTCCGCCTCCCAGGTTTAAGCAGTTCTCGCACCTCAACCTCCCGAGTAGCTGGGACTACAGGTGTGTGCCATAACACCCGGCTAATTTTTGTATTTTTAGTAGAGACAGGGTTTCACCATGTTGGCCAGGATGGTCTTGATCTCTTGACCTCGTGATCCACCCACCTTGGCCTCCCAAAGTGCTGGGATTACAGGTGTGAACCACCACACCCAGCTACTGTATTACTTTTTATGCCTCCAGAATTTTTCTGTGTTGTTGCAGGTGTCTGTTGTGCCTTAATTTTTGCTATTGTAGAGGATTCTATTATGTGCAATTGCGCAGCAGTGTATGTATCTGTTCCCCTGTGGATGGACATTTGGGTTGTGTCCAGTGTCTCTTGACCACCTACCTTGTGCCATGCCCCCGACCCTCCTGCCATTACTCCACAATCTAGCTACATCCACAAAGCCATGACTTCACAAAACCCTGTCTTCCACTTCTGAGCTCCAGACCATATAAAAGGCATAATGGTGTTTATTGAGCACTTACTCTGAGCTAGAAACGATTCTCAACATTTTACATGTGGTAGCGCATTTAATATTCACAGCAACACAAATGGGAAGTAATATTCTTATCACCGTTTTACAAATGAGAAGACCAAGGCCCAGAAGAGTTGAATATCTTGCTCAAGATCACACACCTTTTGCCACCCCCCATTCCAAGTCCCATAGGCAACTCAGACTCAGCACATCCATGATGTAACTTATCATCTTCCTCTCCAAACAATTTCCTCACTTGTGCCCTACTCTCAGTGGGGACATCTCCAATCCCCAGGCCCAAGCTGGAAACCGGAAGCCATTTCTGACTCCTCCCTCACCCACTCCATCCAAATGGAGCCCAAGTCCTGTACATTGTACTTCTCGGGTATTGATCAATCCCGGCCCTTGTCTCCACGCCCACGGTGCTGACCCATTGTTAGGTGCCCGGCTGCTGCTCCTGGGTCATCACTTCCCAGCACTCTCTTCGCAGGCCCATCTCCACCATTTCCAGCATCCTACACACTGCGGCTCAGGTGTGCTTTCTAAACCTCACCTCACCATGTCCCCACCTCCAGAATGAAGCCCAGCCTCCTCTGCCCATCCCCTCAAACTGTAAAGTGCAATCCCAGCCCCAAAAAGGACACCCCCCACCACAATACCCTGCTCTGTCTCCTCCTCTGGGAAGCCTCCTGGCCTTGGCCCAGAGGCTGGATGTGAGCTCCCCCACCCCAAGCCCCACAGCCTCCAAGCCTCCCACTCTGCACTCACCTTCTTCCTTATAATTACCTGTCACCCATTAAACTGCAACCCTCAAAGGCAGAGCCCAGTGCATCCACTGCGCATCCCCAGTGTCCAGGCAGGGCCTGCACACAGTAGGTGCACAATAATTGTTGAAAGGCAAAATACATGAGCAATGACAGGAACCATGGGTGATACTGCCTTCTGAGCCCCAGGCAACAGAGTGATTCCTGCCTGGCCCCAGGGTCAGTGGATCCTGGCCCCTCACCCCACCCAACCTCTGCAGCTGCTTCCCTGGAGCCCTTGGAGCCCTAAGAGGCCTCTTCCTGTGTCTTCATGTGTTCGAAGGATTTCCCTCTTTGCATCTTCCTTTCCTATTCCTTCATGTGGGAGCACTCTGGCACCAGGAAGAAGAAAGAGGAGCCCAACCCCTTACCAGCCTTCAATCTATAACAAGCATTCTCAAGGGAATTAAAACTGATTCTTAAAAGGGGAGGTGAAAAAAAATCTTACTCTTTTTTACGTATAAAGCACAGAACATATACAGAACATAAACAGATGTATAGTATATCTGTGGTATTAAAATTTCATGTGATTAAGAAAAAAAATCTGGAAGAATACTAGGGAAGGCACTAATGAAAAAAAGGCTAAAAAATTCTGATCTACCTTCTTGGGCCATGCCTTGTCTGGTCCAAGAACCGGCCAGAACTCGGGGAAGGGAACAACCAGGGGAGAGTCTAGAGTCCAGTCTCAGGATCCCCTCAAAGTATTTCCAAAGCCAGCCCCCCACCAGTCAGCTACAGTCCTTTCACCAAAACTGCCCTTCCTTCCCCCTTGCCTGAAAATCCCTCATTCTGTTTCTGTCATTCTTTCATCTTACCTTGTTCCTACTGAGGGCGCAGGTCAGCTCTTCCCCATTCTCCCCCTGGGGCACCCCAGTTCCCAGGGCATGAAAGACTTGAGGTGCCTCACCTCTACACCTTGGGCTAAGACATAGCCCTAGAGCTCCTGGAAGAACCCAGGAGGGAAGCCCAGCCACAGGAGGCCCCCAGGAAGTGGGGGTACTGCTGTGGGACAAGCTTCTCTTTATTGGGGAAGGGATGGGATCACAAATAATCTCTGCTTAGAAGTGCTCTAGGGCCATGGATTCATGTAAGGGTGGGGCAGGGTGGACTGAAGATCTGTTGGCAGGGCTCACGGAGATGAGGGTAAGGGGAGAGATCATGGGTTCATGAGATCCCATCTTGGGCAATACGGTTATCCCGTGGTCTTCATATGCCACAGAGTCCTCCAATTTCAGGGGCTCCCGTGGGATGGTGGAGCCAATGAAGACCAGGTAGATGATGCCACCTAGAGAGGCACCCAGAAGTGGTGCCACCACTGGCACCCACCACAAGTTCTCCCCATCGCTGCAGGCAAGAGGCAGAGGCCGGCTGAGGGGGCTGATGCCCAGGACAGCACCCTCATCCACCTCGGGCCAAGACTGGTTGAGCAGAGGAGTCATCCTCAGGCTAACCCAGGAAACACCCCCAACCCGGGGCCCTGGTCAGCCTCAGCCCGATTCAGGGACAGGGTTGACACTCAGTGCAGGTGCAGGATCTGTATCTGTACTGGCCTGGGGAAATGTTGGGACTCACTCCTGCTCCCCAGGCCACCTGGGGGCTCTGCAGGACCCTCCTGTGCTGCCCCTCACATCACCCCCCACACCTCAACACACAGGGGCCCCACAGAAAATCTCAAAGGAATGGGCCTGGGCAGGGGCAGTACCTGAAGACCAGTTTGCCCCAACCAGCAATGAAGGTGAAGATGCGGGGGGGCAGGTCCCGGGACGGATTGATGGCATATCCTGTGTTCATGCCATGGTACACCCTGATGATGACCACGAGGATGCCTATCACCAGTGCGTGTGTTCCTGGCAGTGCTGGGTTGTTCTCCTGGTCCACGATGGCGAAGAGACACAGCTGGAGCATCCCGGTCAGCCACTCCTGAGGAGCAGATGCTGTGGAAGCTCACCTGGGCCCCTCCCCAAGCCACAGGACCTCGGCAGTGCCCCAGACCCAAGCCCACCAGCAGAGACACATCTTGGTACAGTCTCCATCCAGAGTTCTTGTCCTGTCTATCCGGAGGGACTCCCTGCTGGCTCCGTCCTGAGGGGTGGAGGGCAGGGGGAGGGGTACTCATCCTGGACCACTGACCTCATTCAGGAAGCCCCGCCACAATGTCATGTGATCAGGAAGGTAGGTGGCAAAAATGCCAACTGTAGCAACGGGACCGGTCACCATCAGCTCTCCACCCGAAAAGTGGAGAATGGCCGCTGTGGAGACACAGACTATCATGCGAACCTGTCCCCAGCTAAGCCCCACCAGGGTCCCGGAAATTAGGTTATAGGTTAGAGGGTGGGAGACCTCCAAGGCTTTTTTCTCCCAGCTATTTTTTACAAATCAGGACACTGAGGTCCAATCTGCCCATATTTCATAGGAGGCAGCTGAGGCCAGAGGCGGACACCCGGGCAGGACGCTCACTGTAGAAGAGACTGTAGATGGTGGCAGCTGCCAGGAAGGAGCCCAGGAACTGCCCCAGCACATAGACTGGAAACTTCCTCCAGGGCACACGGCCCAGTGCACAGTTAGTGAGGCTCACAGCTGCGTTCATGTGGGCTCCTGCGGGCAGCAGGCAAGTGTGTCAGGGAGTGAGAGCAGAACAAACAACAGTGACAAACAGTATGAGAACAACGATGGCTAGTGTGTATGACAGCATGCTCCGTGACAGAGTTCTCTCCTTGAGCCCTCACAACCACCCCGTGAGGCAGGGGCCACCGTCTTCCTTTCACTCTTAAGGAAACTGAGGAACACAGAGGCGATGGCTTGCCTAAGATGACCCAGCCAGTGAAAATGGTAGGTCGGGGGGGCCAGGAAGAATCTGGGGCAGACACGTCATAGGCACGGGGTTCAGAGGAGACTTCCTCCCGCCCGGTGGCCAGGCTGAGGCACTGGCTGTGCTGGCAAAGGAGCTGGCTGAGGCGGGCAGGAAAGAGCCTGTTGGGGACACCTGGTCTTGCCCGGTCCGGCAGGGCCTGGGCTCACTCACCAGAGGTGCGGCCTGCCATGTGCACTCCCATGGTGACTCCGAAGCCAAAACCCAAGTTGACACCAAGGTAGCTCCCAAATGTTTTATTTAGAAGCATATGGGCCACGGAACCAAGGCCGAATACCTACAAGGGAGGGCCTCTAAGGGGGCTGCCTGCCCAGAAGCCCCAACCTCAGAGGAGGGCTCAGAGCTCAGTTCTAGCTCCTCACCCTCATGCCCTGGGCCTCCCTGGCGTTGCCTCGAAGACCCTCTGCCATGCCCTCTTCCTCCAGAGCCTTCCCTCCTCACTGCCTCCTCTCCTTGCCCCTGCTGAGGCCTCTCAGACCTGAGCCACTGAGAGCCGGGTGGAGCGGCAGAGTTAGAAGCTCTTACTACAAACATCCAAGCACCTCAGCCCCAGGCCCACCTGAAGTTTTGGGGTGAGGCAGGGCTGCGAGGAGGGGATGGCTGGCATGCATTGCACCCCCTCAGAGTCCCTCACACTTCAGGCTGACCTGAAGGAAGTTTCTTCAAGGGACCTCCAAATCCATCCATGCCTGACTCTGCCAGGAACCCCTCCCTACACACACACACTCCACCGCAATTCCCACAATGCTGGAACAGTGGGCCCCTAACTGTCTTGCCCTCAGCTTCATTTCCACTGACCTCAGGCGGCATTCCCAAGCTGCTGCTTCTTGCCCATCCCTCACGGCTCCTCAGATAATGCTGCCTTCACAGGGGAAGGGGCCTACCTTCAGGCCCATTACCCTCAGTCTAGAGCCACTGTTCCCTTCAGCCCTGGCTCCTGTGCTATCCTCTCCCTCTGCAGAGGCCTCCGTCTCCCCCATACCTTCCATCCTCCCATTGATCGGTTCCCACACACTGGAGTCTCATCCTTCCCAGCAAACTGTCCCACCCCTGCCCAGTGTCCTTCTCCAGCTGTGGGTTCCTGGTTGCCCCCTCCCTGTTTCAGTCAGGCTGCAGGAGAGAACACACTGGCCAGCTGCTTCACCCCTTCCCTCGCACCCCCTCCTCAATCTGGCTTCCATTTCCACATGTCACAGACACCAAAGCTCTCTCCAAGGGCTCCAGCAACCTCCTGATTTTCCAAAGGTCTTTTCAGGCATGGTTTTACCACGTAGACAGTCTCAGCTATGCCTGATGCGCTGAAATTCCCGTCATCTCCGTGGGGGAGCCAGATGCCTATTTGCAAATCCCCACTGCAACTCTCCTGGTGTTCCGCGGACGTCTCAGGCTCTGTTGAAGGTTCGCCATCTCACAGCACACCTGCTCCTCACTCTATGTTCCCCATCCCCGTTGGCCGAGCCAGAAACTCAGATGTTGCAAATGATAGTTAAGCACTATTATTCTCCCCCACTTGACAGATGGGTAATCTGAAGCTTAGAGAACTTGAATGGCTTGTCCAAGGTCACACAGCCTGTACATGGTGAGCCAGGATTAAATCCAGGCAGTTACCTGTGCCAGATGGCCTCAAACCAAACAACTGCGCTGCTCCATGCATGCCTTGCTTTCTTGTGCCTCTGTTTTATTTGTTTGTTTGTTTGATGCTTGAGATAGGGTTTTGCTCTATCACCCAGGCTGGAGTGCAGTGCCATGATCAGGGCTCATTGCAGCCTCCATCTCCTGGGCTCAAGTGATACTCCCACCTCAGCCTCTCAAGTAGTTGGGACTATGGGCATGTGCCTCGGCACGCAGCCAATTTTTTTTTTTTTTTTTTGAGACAGTCTTGCTCTGTCGCCCAAGCCGGAGTGCAATGGCGCAATCTCGGCTCACTGCAACCTCCAACTCCCGGGTTCAAGTGATTCTCCTGCCTTAGCCTCCCGAGTAGTTGAGATTATAGGTGCATGCCACCATGCCCAACTATTTTTTTGTATTTTTAGTAGAGACAGGGTTTCACGATGTTGGCCAGACTGGTCTCAAACACCTGACCTCAGATGATCAGCCTGCCTTGGCCTCCCAAAGTGCTGGGATTACAGGCATGAGCCATTGAGCCCTATCCCAGCTAAGTTTTTCAATTTATTTTGTGTAGAGATGAGGTTTCACTATGTTGCCCGGGCTGGTCTCGAGCTCCTGGCCTTAAGCAATCCTCTCACCTCAGCCTCCCAGAGTGCTGGGATTACAGGTGTGAGCCACCATGCCTGGCCAGAATATCCTAATAATTTTACATTGATTGCATCTTGAAATAGGATTTTGGCTATATGGGTTAATTATTAAAATTAATTTCACCTGTTGCTTTTTACCTTTTTAATGTGGATACTAGAAAAAATTAAATTATACAGATGGCTTGTATTGTATTTCCCCTGGAGAACTCTGTTCTAGAGTTGATAAAGGAGAAAACCTGAAGAATTGTAGACATAAGGGCCAAAGTCAAAGCCGACAGAGGAGAAGGCCCCAGGAGAGGGTACAAGGTAAGAAGGCAGACCAGGCCGGGTGCGGTGGCTCATGCCTGTAATCCCAGCACTTTGGAAGGCCGAGGTGGATGGATCACTTTAGGTCAGGAGTTCAAGACCAGCATGACAAAACCCCGTCTCTACTAATAATACAAAAATTAGCCAGGCGTGGTGGTGCTTGCCTGTAATCCCGGCTACTCAGGAGGCTGAGACAGGAGAATTGCTTGAACCCAGGAGGTGGAGCTTGCAGTGATCTGAGATCACACCACTGCACTCCAGCCTGGGCGACAGAGCAAGACTCCATCTCAAAAAAAGAAAAAAAAAAGAGTTGAAAGGCACCAGTGTAGACTCCTCTTCGAGAATTCGCCTGAGGAGCGGGGAAGAGAGAACATGATCCCGTGAAGGGGCTGACAGGGTGAAGGGAGGGATGTTTCATTTTGTGTTGTTTTCAGTGGAGAAACTTCAGTATGTTTATAGGCTGAGAGAGGGATGGGCTGAAGATAAAGGACAGAGAAAAAGGACAGAGTAAAGTACCTGAATAGGCTGGACAGCTGGATTGGTGCAGAAGTGGAGGTGTCCTCCAGGAAGGAGAGGACCCCACCCCAGCCAAGGGGTGATATGTGGATACACGGGTGGTTAATGGGTCTGGTGGTAAGAGGGACAAGAGGGTGAGCTGAACATAGGAAGTGTTGATTATTTTACCTATCAAGCAGCAGATCAAGCCATTTGCTGATTTAAAAAAAAAAAGAGTACAGAGCAGCTTTGGGGAAGTCTGAGAAAATGTGAAATAGCCCAGATATGGTGGGGGAGAGGCAGCTGAGCAGGGCCCACTGGGTCCCTCAGAAGCCCCAGGACAGGAGCAGGGGAGCCCAGAGCTAGGCTGGCTTCAGATCCAGGATAAGATACAGCAGGAGAGGACAGGAACAGATGGGGGTGCAGGGGGGAGTGAGGTCAGGACAGGTTGACAGGCTGGCAGGGTCAAGAGGTAGAGGGACTGGAGGAGGCATGGAGGGTCTGAAAACAGAGGGGCCCCCATGGCCTTTCCCGCATTCCAATACCATGTGCTAAAAATACTGGATGAGCATAGGCCAGGTGTGGTGGCTCACGCCTGTAATCCCAGCACTTTGGGAGACCGAGGCAGGCCGATCATGAGGTCAGGAGTTTGAGACCTGCTTAGCCAACATGGTGAAACCCCGTCTCTACTAAAGATACAAAAAATTAGCCAGGTGTGGTGGCACATGCCTGTAATCCCAGCTACTCGGCAGGCTGAGGCAGGAGAATCACTTGAACCCGGGAGGCAGAGCAGTGAGCTGAGATCACACCACTGCACTCCAGCCTGGGCAACAGGGTGAGACTCTGTCTCAAAAAAATAAAATAAATAAAATAAAATACTGGGTGAATGAATGAACCCCACATGATTCCTTGTGTCAGGGTTGCCAACTGGCAACTCATGCACCTAATTCATCCAGCGCACAGATTTTGTTTAGATAACTTGGTTTTGAAGAACAGAAGTTTCCGTCTCTCTTGAAAAATGAGCAGCTCAAGCAACACTGGCCTGCATTCCACCCTCCATGGCAACAGTCAGCTGGAGTGGCAGCAGCTCTACAGCCTTGCACAGATTGGCACTCTGCAGCCAGCCAAAGTCCCCACCGCCCTGAGTTGCCGCTCTCTTGGCCCCCGTAGCATGTGATCTACAACCCTTGCCCCGTGTCTCATGTGTATGGCTGGTTTTCCAGGGCCCGGATGGCTCCAGCCCCTCCTCTCCCTGATCAGTGAATGTGGCCCAGCCCATCCAACTCTCCCCCACAGCCAGGAGGCCAGCTCCAAGGGCAACACACCTGGAAGCTGCAACACGGATCAGTCCACTTCCCTTGTCCTGGCTGCAATAAATGGGGCCAAGGTCACACTAGCTTTTTTGGCAAAACTTCACCCTGGTGACTCACTGAGATTCCTATATATATATTTACAAAAAAAAAAAAAAGCCCTCACTTCTTGGCACAGCCTGGCAACTAAAAATAACAACACCACAATATCCGATTTAGGCTTACGCCTCACAAAGTTCTTTTACAAGTGCTACTGTCTTCAATCCTCACAACAAATCTGCACAGCAAGAATTTTTCTCCCACTCTATAAATGGGGAAACTGAGGCCGAGAGAGGCATCTTGAACTACCTGAAAGTGAGGACTTTACCCTGGCTGGGGGAGCATTAACAAGCGAGTCTTTAAAAGCTGGCAATATTTAAGCTAAGGTACAGAGCATAGAGGTTAAGGGTCAAGACTGTGATATTGGGCTGGGCACGGTGACTCATGCCTGTAATCCCAGCACTTTGGGAGGCCGAGGTGGGAGGATCACTTGAAGTCAGGAGTTCAAGACCAGCCTTGACAACATGGTGAAACCTTGTCTTTCCTAAAAATACAAAAATTGGCTGGGCATGGTGGCATGCACCTGTAATTCCAGCTACTCCAGAGGCTGAGATGCAAGAATCGCTTGAACCCAGGAGGTAGAGGTTGCAGTGAGCCGAGATTGCACCACTGTGACAAAGCAAGACTGTATCTCAAAAAAACAAAAACAAAAACAAAAAAGACTGTGATATTAGACTGCACTGGATTTAATCTTGACTTAAAGTGTGACCTTGGGCAAAAGGCTTAGTCTCAAGGAGCCTCAGTTTTCCCATCTGTGAAACTGGGATAATAATAGTACCTACTTCACAGGGCTATTGCGAGGATTTGGGAAGATGCTGCACGTAAGGGGCTTAGCATCACAGAGCCCGGGATGCATTAGGTGCTCAATGAAAATCTCAACAAAAGGAAGAGGAACACAGATGTGGGCAGGTATCAAGCATGTGGGCGGTGCCTATTTCCCTAACAGCTCTCAGAGGATGCACCCTCCTGCCTCCGAGGCTCCAAGGGTTAACAGCCCTCATGGGGCTGGAATGTCTTGTGGTAAGTGAATTACTTTGCCCTGGATTAAGGAGGGACAGGATCCAACTGCTGTCCTCACAGCTCAGGAGCCAAAGCAGGTGGGGAGGTAAGAGAGGAGTAGGGGAGGGCCAGAGACAGAGAGGAGACAGCAGCTAGAGCACCCGTCCTAATAACAAGGGACCAATACATGGGTACCACACTGGGTGCTGAGACTTGGCCTTCTTCACACAAGTCCTCCTGTTAACCAATAAGGAAGCTAAAGTTGTGGGCTGGGAGAGGTGACTCACGCCAGCAATCCCAGCACTTTGGGAGGCCGAGGCAGGAAGGTCACCTGAATTCGGGAGTTCGAGACCAGTCTGGCCAACATGGTGAAACCCCATCTCTACTAAAAATAGAAAAATTAGCTGAGCACAGTGGCACATGCCTGTAGTCCCAGCTACTCAAGAGGCTGAGGCAAGAGAGTCACTTGAGTATGGGAGGTGGGGGCTGCAGTGAGCTGAGATCGTACCACTGCACTCCATCCTAGGAGACAGAGTGAGACCCTGTCTCAAAAACAAGAAAGCTAAATTTGTGAACAGTTAAGATACTTGTGGATAGTCGCACAGCTAGAAGATAACAGAGCTAGGATTCAAACACAGCTCCAAAGCCCACGAAGGCCTAATTCTACACGATATAAGTGAGAAGTCAGGCTTTAAGCCAGGGAGAGACCTGCCCAAGGCAACTGGTCACTCAGTGGCAGGGTCAGGCTAAGAAACCTGGTGTTCCAATTTCCTCTCTCCCTTGAGCTCCATGGGCCCCACCACACACACGAACAGCCTCTCTCACCCCACCTTCCTCTAGCATGCACCTGGCTGCCTTTGCCTCCCTTCCCAGAGGCTGCCCCTTCTTTCTCTAGACCCTGGACCCTGCATAAGATGCAATAAACATGGCTACAGTCATGTTAAGGGCAGAGGCTCACTGGGGTAAGTGGCAGGGCTGAAGCAGGTGGAGAGGGAGCAACCTCACATCCCACCTGCAGTCTGGATTCTGTCCCAATCACACACTAAAGAAGAGCCCTTGTCAAGGTTACCAGCAACCTCCACATTGGCAAACCCTAAGGCCCCTTGCCAGTGCTCACCTTGCGTGGCCCATCTGCCGCTGCCCATGCCGCTGATGGCTTCTTCCTGGTGGAACCACTGCCCCCCTCTGTCATGCAGTCGGCTCTGGTTCTCCTCCCACCTCTCTGACCATTCCTTCTCAGGCTCCTTTGCGTGCCCCTCTTCATTCCTCAGGGCTCTGTCCTCAAACCATCCTTTTCTCTTTCTGTACACTCCTTCTAGACAGTGTTGACAACCACCACCTGTGTTGTGATGAACTTCAACTTTTTCCTTCCAGACCAAGCCTCTCCTGAGCTCCAGACCCTTGCCTGTGTTTAACTATCTCCTGGATTTCCCTACAGGCATCTTGCCTCTCACCCTGTGCTGGGCCCCGTGCTCCAGAACAGCTCATCGGCGCTTTGCCCACATGTTCTGCTGGCAGAGTCTCCCCGATTCCATCTTCCACAGCCCTCTCAAACATGTGCTTTCTTCTCCAACCCCAGATCAGTCATCACCCTCTCTCTGTCCCAGATCAAAAACAGCCTCTTAACTGGTTCCTTCTTGCCAGCCTTGCCTGTCCTGCTTATGCTCCACACTGCACCCAAAATTACCTTTAAAATCCAAATCTGATCATGTCACTCCCCTGCTTGCCAGCCTTCAACATCGCCCATTGCCCTCTGGATTCATTATCAGAGCCTGATCATCAAGTTTCTCTTCAATCTCTCTCTCTTTTTTCTTTTCTTTTTTTTTTTTTTTGAGACAGAGTTTTGCTCCTGTCACCCAGGCTGGAGTGCAATGGTGTGATCTCAGCTCACTGCAACCTCCACCTCCTGGGCTCAAGCGATTCTCCTGCCTCAGCCTCCTGAATAACTGAGGTTACAGGTGTCCGCCACCATGCCCAGCTAATTTTTGTGTTTTTAGTAGAGACGGGGTTTCACCATGTTGGCCAGGCTGGTTTCGAACTCCTGACCTCAGGTGATCCACTTGCCTAAGCCTCCCAAAGTGCTGGAATTACAGGCATGAGCCACTGCACCTGGGCCTCTTCAATCTCTTTACTCTGGGTTTCCCTTCTCCCCATTTCCAGCCTTGCCCCGGATACCCCAGTGCATGGTTTCATTTGACCCCCACATATTATGAGCCCTTTCTGTCCAAAAAGACTTGATGAGAAAGCCCCCCCCCCCCTTACTTTCCTCGCTGCTTCCCCAGGCTCCCAGCTCAGAGGCAAGGAATGGACAATGTGACCCATGGGGTCAGAATGGGGAGGGGGTCATGGAAGGCCCTGGCAGAGCCCACCCACTTCGTGCTGCCCGCCCACTCACCATCATGACATATGTGCTCATGAACTCGGCCAGGAACTCTCGCGCCATCTTCCTCTCATCTTCCTCGCATCATATTTCCTGGATCTTTGCTATCACGGACCAGGAGACCATTTTGGAGCCACGGGTGGACCTGATACAGTGGCCCGAGCTCATGGACAGAAAGGAGACTCAAGTCTGCCTGCTGCCCATCGGCTCTTCAACTCACAGCTGAGTTAATAGGTAACCCAGCAGACTTGCCACACACACCTCCTCTTGCCCGGGGCAGCTGGGACAGCTGGAATTGGAGACACTTGAGAGCCATGGGGACATGGAGAGGAACTGGGGTAGATGGCCAAGCCATGCCCCTTGTAGTTGGGACTGGACCAGTAAAAATGGCACACCAATGAGGCCACTTTGCAGACGGACAGGTGGGGAGCTGAAAGTGCAATCCACGGTGCCAACAAGCCTCTGGGAAAAAGTAGGGTGGGAGAGAGCAGGCTGGAAAGTAGAGCTCAGTAGTCTATGTCTGTCCATCTGTCTGTCTGCCTATCTGCTAGAGCCAGAACTTTGGGGTCACAGGCCAGGGCCTGGCAACAGTGAGGCACTCTACAAACAGCATGAAGTGTGACAAAGTCTGCTGCCGAGCTCTGTAAACAGCACTGAGCACTGAAACATGCGCCAGGTTCTGTCAAAAATGAAGGGGTCAGCAAAATGCACCAGGCTGTGCAACCAGGTCAGTGCAAACAGAGGTTTGTGAGAGAGTGAGTGAATGAATGAATGAATGACCAAGAGAGCGGGAGGGAGAAAAGGAAGGACTGGATCTACTTCCTGGTGTATCTTTAGTGCCCAGCACCATGCCAGGCACATAGTAGATGTGCAATAAGTATTTGTTGAATGGGTGAAAACTGGGGAATCTGTCTTACTCCCAACTAGATCCTCAGAGCTTGCCAAAGGGCCTGGCACTTGATTTATATTTAGTTAAGTGCACGGTTAGATGGAAAGGTAGATGAAACAGGTGAGTAACAGGTTCCAAATCTGCGTATAGGGAGAGGTATAGGACTGGAGTTTGGGGAAGGTGGCGGGGTGGGACTGGAGGATAAAGAGGAAGAAGAGGGGCTGGGCCCGGTAGCTCACGCCTATAATCCCAGCACTTTGGGAGGCCAAAGTGGGCAGATCACCTGAGGTCAGGAGTTCGAGACCAGCCTGACCAACATAGAGAAACCCTATCTCTACTAAAAAATACAAAATTAGCCAGGCATGGTGGCGCATGCCTGTAATCCCAGCTACTTCGGAGGCTGAGGCAGGAGAATCACTTGAACATGGGAGATGGAGGTTGTGGTGAGCCGAGATCTTGCCACTGCACTCCAGCCTGGGCAACAAGTGCGAGACTCCATCTCAAAAAAAAAAAAAAAAAAAAAGAGGAAGAAGAGGGATACAGATACCTCTAAGTGTGGCCTTAGTCACTCTGCTATCTCACTGTCTGCATGCCCGGAAGCTGACACCAGCCCCTCAACTCCTCTGGCCAGCCCATCCTTGCATATCACGTACTGCCTTAGCTGCAGGCCTTTGCACATGCCAGTCCTACACCGAGAATGGTTCCCTGCCTCCCCAGAGGCTCCTTTACCCGCCAGCCTTCTTTTCTTGACCTAAATTTCCCTTTCTCTGGGAGAGCCTCCTACCCTCTCCTCTAGGCCATTCACTTCTTCCACATGCCCCACGGTGCCCACTCTTTCAGCTGGGGCAATGCTCATCACACTGCATAGTAATTGCTCAGTTAGGCCAGGCACAGTGTCTCACGCCTGTAATCCCAGCACTTGCTGAGGCGAGCTGATCGCTTGAGCCCAGGAGTTCAAGACCAGCCTGGGCAGTATGACAAAACCTCATCTCTACAAAAAAAAAAAAAATACAAAAATTAGTCAGGTGTTGTGGTGTACGCCTGTGGTCCCAGCTAATGGGGAGGCTGATGTGAGAGGATTGCCTGAGCCCAGAAGGCAGAGGTTGCAGTGAGCTGAGATCACACCACTGCACTCCAGCGTGGGTGACAGAGCGACACCCTGTCTCAAAAAAGAAAAAAAAAAAAAGCTTAATTAATTAACGGTTTTTCTTCCTAAGGGCTGGGATCATACCAGTTTGCTTCACTGCAGTGCCTGAACATAGTAGGCATAGTAGATTCAATAAATCTTTGGTTCCTTGGCTGGTTGTTGCCTGCTCTGTGCTGATGAGAAAGGAGCCAGGCTTCCAGGATTCCCTTGGTGTTCTTGGCTCCCTGCTCTGTCTACCTCTCCCCTGCCTCTATGGTACCTTCCCAGGACTGTCTTTGGGCTGCTGCTTGCATTGATAGGGTCTCTTCTTCAGGGCTGAGGAGGCTGGTCATGGGATAATGAGACCCCTATACGATGCTGCATGGGAGCTGGAGTTGGATGGGGGCCAGTGGAATATCCGCGCAACTCTGCATCCCCCTCCATCTACTCATCCCTGGTTTTGTTTCTCTGGAGTAAGGAATAGAGCAAGGACTGGGATGGGTGAGCCATGAACAGAGGGTCTCAGCTGAAAAGTGGAAGATGTTTTATTCCATGCCTGGACGTCTCTCATTCCCTCTGCTTACTTTTTGCTGCTGTGAGGTCAGGGGAATTTAGGAGCCCTGAGGAATGCTGCTGCTCTCCCTAGCAGGGCGAGGTGACCCTCCACTGGCTCCCATCCAACCCCACCTCCCATGCTGGAGGTAACCACAGAAGAGGAGAGAGAAGTGGACAGAGCGGAAAGACAAGAACACCAAGAGAATCCTGGAAGCCTGGCTCCTTCCTCATCACCACACAGCAGGCAAGACACAGTAAGCAACAGATAACCACCAACCAGCCAATGAACTCAAGATTTCTTGAATCTACTGTGCCTAGAATGTTCAGTCACTGCAGTAAAAGACACTGGTACAATCCAGCCTGTGGGAAGAAAAGCAATCAATTGAGCAATTACTATGCAGTGTGATGAGCATTGCCCCAGCTGAAAGAGTGGGCACTGTGGGGCATGTGGAGGAAGTGAATGGCCTAGAGGAGGGGGTAGGAGGCTCCCAGAGAAAGGGAAATTCAGGTCAAGAAAAGAAGGCTGGAGGGTAAAGGAGCCTCCAGGGAGGCAGGGATCACTCTGGGCGTAGGACTGGCATGTGCAAAGGCCTGCAGCTAAGGCAGTATCCAATGTGCAGGAATGGGCTGGCCACGGAGGAGTGGAGGTGGCATGAGATGGGCAGAGAGGGGCCAGGGCCAGGTGGCAGAAGGCCTCATGGCCCACATTAGGGAGTCTGAACTCTACCAGAGGGCCATGGGCCAAGTGGAGGGTTTCAGCAGGAGAGCTGCCTCCCCTGTGGAGGCCAGGATGGAGGAAGTGGAGTGGAGGCAGGGTGAGCATCAGCTTCTCCACAGATGGGTGGAGAAGTGGTGGCAGTCTGAGCCACAAGGATGGCAGTGCCAATGGCCACAAGAACACAGTCAAGCTGACAGGCTTGGTGTTCGGTTAGAGAGGGAAGGGAGCGGGGCAGCTCAGCGATGCCCTCAGGTCCTGGCTAGGGCAGCGGAATGACTAGCGTGGGGCACAGCAGAGAAGCTGTGGAAGAATGGACAAGGAGGCCCTTTCTGGACATGTTGAGTGTGAGGAGCCTGCTAGACACTTGGGTGGGATGGCCAGTGAGGAGGCAGCTGGTCATGTGGTCTCACTTACAGACACATTTGGAGGACAGCAAATCACAGATGGTCATCTGAGCCATGGGCATAGATGAGAGAGCTCAAGGAGAGGGTACAGACTAAGAAGAGGGGCCCAAGAAAGCCAGCCTACAAAGCAAGAAACTGACAGCCAACCAGATCCCCTAAGTAATCTGTTAACCAAGGAACTAAATAGCTAACAACTCACTAACGCCTGTTTCTTTTCTTTTTCTTTTTCTTTTTTTTTTTGAGACAGGGTCTCACTCTGTCGCCCAGGCTGAAGTGCAGTGGCACAGTCACAGCTCACTGAAGCCTAGACTTCCCAGGGTTCAAGTGATCCTCCCACCTCAGCCTCCCAAGTAGTTGGGACTACAGGAGCATGCCACCATGACCGGCTATTTTTTCCTATTTTTTGTAGAGATGGGGTTTTGCCATGTTACCCAAGCTGGTCCCAAACTCCTGGACTCAAGCAATCCTCCAGCCTCAGCCTCCCAAGGTGCAGGGATTTCAGGCATGAGCCAACATGCCCGGTGGCTTATTAACCCTTTGACTAACCTATCAAAAACCAACTAACTGATTCTCCTGTTAACCAGCTATTAACTCATTGAATTATCTAATCAACCAGTCAACCATAAACTATCCAACTAACCACGAGCCAACAATTCAACCTGCTAACCAACATTTCTTCATTCAACAAACATTTGTTGGCCAGGCATGGTGACTCATGCCTGTAATCCCAACACTTCAGGAGGCCGAGGCAGGTGGATCACTTGAGGTCAGAAGTTCAAGACCAGCCTGGACAACATGGCAGAACCCCATTTCCACTAAAAATAAAAAAAAAATTAGCTGGGCGTGGTGGCAGGCACCTGTAATCCCAGCTGGGGTGGGGGCTGAGATGTGAGAATCGCTTGAGCCCAAGAAGCAGAAGTTGCAGTGAGCTGAGATCATGCCACTGCACTCCAGCATGGGCAACAGAACAAGACTCCATCTCAAAAAAAGAAAAAATTTTTGTTGAGCACCTACTTATGAGTCAAGCACCAGGGATACAAAGTCAAAACCCACTCTCCACTCTTGGGTCACTCTGTTTAATAGAAGAGATGGGTAATGGCAACACCACCAGAGAGAAGCAGCCTGGGACTGGGGGAACTCAGGGGAGGCATGGGAGGTGAGGCCTGAAGGGAGTTTTGAAGAATGGGCGGGTGGTGGCCTGACATGGCCATGGGGGAGTAGGGTGGTGGTAGAAAGAATGGTGGAAGCTGTGCACATTCTAGATATTTTAGGAGATTGGTGACTGGATGTGAGGCATGGGGAAGAGGGAAGTATCAAGGACATGACCTTGACTTCTGGCTTGAGCAACTGAAGAGAAGGGGACCCCTGACTGAGCCAAGAGCACAGGAGGAGTGGACTTGTGGGGGGCGGAGGAGGCTGTTTCCATCTAGGAGCTGAGTTGCCTGTGAGACACCAGTGGGTCTCTAGAAACAGGATCTAAAGCCCTGGAAAGAGACGTAGGCTAGAGGCAATGATGTCAACAGAGGGGCACTATTCATTCTCTCCGTCCAAGTGTACAACAGGCAAATATCCCTGCTTGCGTGGAGCTGACAGCAATGAAATGTAATAAGTAAGTACATTTGTATAAGCGAAGGTACCAGCTCCTATGGGAAAAAACAGAGCAAGGAGAGGGGAATTGGGAGTGCAGGGGCTGGAGATGGGGTGTGATTTCAAATAGGGCAGTCAGAGTAATCCTTGTTGAGAAGGTGGCCTTGGAGCAAAGCCATGAAGGAGATGAGAGTGGGCTGTATGTTAACTGCAGAAAGCCTCTCAGATGGAGGGAATAGTCACCAGAGGACTCTCAGCATGTTTGAAGAAAGCAAAGAAAGTCAGTGTGAGGCCAGGTGCAGTGGCTCACACCTGTAATCCCAATCTTTTGGGAGGCCGAGGTGGGTGGATCACCTGAGGTCAGGAGTTCAAGAACAGCCTGGCGAACATGGCGAAACCCCATTTCTACTAAAAATACAAAAAAAAAAAAAAAAAAAACAAACAACTAATTAGCTGGGCATGGTAGTGTGTGCCTGTAATCCTGTAATCCCAGCTACTCAGGAGGCTGAGGCAAGAGAATCGCTTGAACCCGGGAGAAGGAGGTTGCAGTGAACCAAGATCTTGCCATTGCACTCCAGCCTGGGCAACAGAACTGGATTCCATCTCAAAAAAAAAAAAAAAGAAAAGAAAAAAAAAAACCAGAAAAGAAACTCAGTGTGGCTGGAGGAGGGAGAGCAGGGGGCTGGAGTGGGGAGGCCAGAAAGCTAACAAGGACTACATAGGCAGGGCCTTGGCCATTGCAAGGACTGGCTCTTTTTCACCCCAAAGACAGCTGAGCCTGAGAGGGTGAGAGGTGCTGAGTGCAGTTGAGTTGAAGGCCACCTGCATGCCTTGACCCTCATCCAAGTATTTCTGAGCCTCCCCTCACCCCAGGACCCAGCCCAGGCAACAGGTGGAAGATGCTTTTCTTCTGGGACCTCAGAGGCGAGTGGGTGGGTGGGGAGGAGGAGGTCGAGGGGGGACAGCTGCCCCAAGGGAGAGGCTGAGGATGGAGCAGGGAGGGCACTGAAGTGGGCTGGGTGGAGGACAGGGGGCTGGAGGGTGAGAAGAGGGTGGGGTACTTACCGCCTGTGCCCAGATGCTTGAACCATGTTTTGTCCTTCAGATTTGTAGATGCTGAGGAGCCAAAGAGAGGTCACTAGGGCTGGAGGACACAGAACTTGGCCCCACACTTCCATCAGATCTTTGTCCCCAGGGGAGAAGCCCTGGGGCAGCTCCTGCTAGTGCCACTCCCTTAACCCAGCCAAGGAACAGGGAGGGAGGAGCGGTGCTCAGCCAATGAGGCGACGCCCTGGAGCCCCACCCCACCCATGCTGGCCCCAGGACCCCAACCCCAGGCCAGACCCTCCAGTGCTCCTGCTGACCTTCCCTGTCTGCAGCCCAGCTTTGGACTGTGGAGATGCCCTCAGCCTCTACTCAGTGGCTCCAGCCTCATATTTGCGTGCTATACCTTTAACCTCAAGTTCTCTTGCTGCTAACTTAAGCTGTGACTGTCCAGGACCGGCACACACACATACATGCACGCATGCACACACACACACACACACACACACACACAGAAGGTGAACACACAGGATGAGGCCCTGAAAACTCATTTCACCCGTGTACCTCACCCAAAAATTCCCCTTTGTACTCCTATCTTTATCTCTAACAGACAGCATGAAGGTAGCCCGAAGTCCCCTCACCCTGTCTGTCCTCCTGATTCTCTAGCCCAGTTCCCTCTAGCTCCAGCACAGACTCTTATCTCCAGCCCTGACTGCTGAAACCCTCCAGCCCCAGCTCCAGCCCCTCAGGAGGGGACTGCGTGGGAGGAATGACTCCAGCAAGCCGGCAGCTGACCCGTCTCTGGCCTGCATGCCTCCCCCTGTGGTCCACTGCCGGTGGTCTTCAGCTCTCTCCTCGTCCCACCCCCATGGTCTGCTGACAGCCCAGCCCAGTGCATCCCTGCCATCTCTGCTCTACCGCTGGTCCTCCCAACAACCAACTTACAGGTAAGGAAACTGAGGCCCAGAGAGAAGGTGTATGTGCCTGTGTCACACAGCAACACAGGACTGCACCATAACAAGAAAGCCGGGACTTCCACTCCCAGCCGGGGCTCCTTCCCCAAACAATCCCTCAGTCACCTCCTCGCTGTATGGTACCCAGGGAATGACCCTTCCAGATCTGGGCACTGAGGAGGCTGCCCCATCCCCACCCTGCCTGGAGCCCCACTCACTCTGCTGAAATGTCTTCTGATTCTCAGCCTCTGCCTTGGGGGCTTCTCAGTTAAAGCGCATCTTGATCTTGTTCCTCTGTGACTGTCTCTGGCTCAGCTTCCACCCCCAGCTGGGGCTCAGCTATCCCTGTGTCCCCAGTCCAGAGCCTGCCTCTCAGCCCTCCCAAGGCGGCCTTGAGCGCTGCTCCTGCTCCTCCAGGGGAGAGGTCAGTAAGGCAGGGATTTGGCTGGTGCCACTTGAACCAAGTCCAGATGCACTGCCCAAAATAACTTCCCTCGTCTGGCCAGCAGTGCAGTGGAGACTGAGTTCTGAAGCAGGCCTTTGTGAGGTCAGAGGTGGAGTTCTGGGTGGGCACTCTGGGCCTCACAGTCCCAGAGGAAAGGCCTGTCCTCCAAGCCAATGTGCAGCCTGACTCTGGGGCCAGCGCCTGAGGAAGCCCTCCCTGAGCCCCAGCCCTGGGGAAGGCTGAAGAGGCCTCTGAGCTCCCAGCGCTGGGGAGCGCTGTGCAGAATAGGACTGGAGGTGGAAGTGTTGGAGATTAACAGCCAGATGGAGGGGACGGGGGGAGGCCCTGGGTCAGTCCTCAGGGAACCCCCATTCTGAAGGGGGAGAGGGAAACTCAGGCCCAGTCCTCAGGGGCCCCCAGTCTGAGAGGAAGGAGGACACACGAGCCATATTTGCAGAGAAACACCAGCCTGCGAGAGGAGGTAGAAGCCCAGGCCTGGCCCTCCGAGGGCCCCTAGTCTGAGGAGCAGTCCACCTGCCCTCGGGAAAACACCTCCCTTAGGAAAGGCCAGCAAGGCCCCCGTAAAGGAGCCACAGCTGGATCGGGGCATGGGGCTCGGGGCCCAGCGGTGTGGGAGCTCCGGGACCGAGGTGCAGTCAGGAGAGACCCTGGGGGCCAGTGGCAGTCCAAGAGGACTTTTGGAGCCAAGGCCTGACTGGGTCTCAAACAATGGGGCAGGCAGTTTGGGGTTTCAGCAGGTGGCCCAGTGCTGAGACACAAGGGAGTTGTTTCTGGTCTGCAGACACTGAGGACACTTGCTATGTGGCGTGGTGGATGGTGGGTAAGTCCTGGGAATTTCTGGCACCAGGTTCCCTGGGTGGGAAGGGGCATAGGATTCAGTTGTCCAAAGCTCAGGTGTGGGAATGGAACTGTCCTGTAGAGGGTGCCAAAGACCAGGTCTGGAAACTGCATAGCCCCAGTCCCCACCCCCACACACACCATCCCACCCCTTCCAGCTTTTTCTGCAGATCTTTCTGCAGGGGTGAGGCAGGGAGAGGAAGGGGTCGGCCGCAGTTCTGGGGCTTCCTAGTCAGAAGCCCTCTGTAAGGCACTAACTTCCCTCTTCCCTCTGCAGATTTTTTTTTTTTTTTTTTTTGAGACGGAGTCCTACTCCACCCAGGCTGGAGTGCAGTGGCACAATCTTGTCTCACCACAGTCTCTGCCTCCCAGTTCAAGTGATTCTCCTGCCTCAGCCTCCCAAGTAGCTCGGATTACAGGCATGCACCACCAAGCCCAGCTAGTTTTTTTGGATTTTTAGTAAAGACGGGGTGTCACCATATTGATCAGGCTGGTTTCGAACTCCTGACCTCAGGTAATCCACCCGCCTCGGCCTCCCAAAGTACTGGGATTATAGGTGTGAGCCACTGTGCCCGGCCTCCCTCTGCAGATTCTACATGGGCTCTAGGCAGCCTCTAAATTGCCTGAACACCTAAGGCTTATTTGCTAGTTGACATCCGATCTATTCTGACACTGAAAATTTCAGTGCTTTAGGGTGCTAAAAGGAAAAAAGAGGGTTTGCAAGGAATCCTGCAGTTGCTGAGGGGGTACCCTGATAAGGGAATTTTAAGCAATTACAGTAAGTGTCACTAAACTTTTAAAAAAATCTTTAACCAGATTAAACTTACACAATTTTTTTATAATTTGTGTTTCTGCAGCTTCCAATTGTGGACAAGATAAGGACCATTGCCCAGGCTGTCTATGGAGCCAAAGATATCGAACTCTGTCCTGAGGCACAAGTCAAAATAGATCGTTACACTCAGCAGGTAAAAGTTGTACTTTTAGGGGAAAAGAAAAAATTCACCTTAGGCTCTCAGAATACTCAGCTTGACTTGAGGATTTGTACATGTCTCACCAGCTAACCTTTGCTTAATCTATTTTCTGGTTAACAAAGATGAAAGCAATATCCTCGGGTAGAGTGTAAACTATATTTAGAACTTTATGGTGAGGCATGTATCCTCTGATCCATGCATCATTTACTTCTGTGACTATAAATGTGTCTGATATGGGTGGTATCCCTGTTTGTAGGTGATGTGTGATCTTTCATCCCTCCCACTCAGCCCAGAACGTTGAAACTATCCTTTGGAGTAGAGCTGCGGAGTCAGATTTGCATGAATTGCAATGCTTCCTCTTCCTTACAGGCCTCTTACTACCTTAAAAATGCTAGCAAGGTGCCAGGGTAGGCAGATAGGAGTGCAGCCTATAAAGATGGGAATGTTTGCTGTTCTTATGCAAGCGGTTCATTGGCTTTTTACTGAGCTGGTCCACTGAGGTTGAAGGCTCCATCATCTTCTACCTCTAGCCACTGAGAAAGGCAAGTAGGCAAACAGCTGGGAAAGTGGCTACGATCTGACAGCATGTGTCATCACCTAGTCCAGTGACAGTCATGATGAATCAACTCCATTATAGGAGGCTCAGCCACCTTTTACCAAAAGGATCATGTGCCTCCAGTGTCCCTCCTACTTTGGTGTAATCAGATAGATAGAAGTCAGAACATTTTAAGAGCCTGTTGGCTAAAGAGCTTCATGATTGGTAGTGTTGACCTTATCTTTAAAAACAATCTCCAACTCCTTATTCTTTTTTGTAAACCCATTTGAAATTTTGTTAAATGCTACCATTGCCAGCCAGGGTATTTGTTCTCCTAGGTTTGGTAAAATAGGAACTCAGAAAGTTCTAAATTCTTAGAATTTTCCCTGATGTTCTTGGCTTACCCTTTACAAAAAGGATTCCCAAGCACTGCTCTGTGCCTAGGCATTGTGGTGAAGTTTTCATTCATGTGCAATGAACCAAGTAAAATAAGGTCATTCTCATGAGGTTGCTTTGTTTTTTATTCCCCGAGTTTTTAATAATGATATTTAAGACTATCATTTATTGTAATATTAAGTCTTTTCTCCTTTCAGTGTTAAAATGTTATTTCTTTTATGAAGTAATCTGGTGACAGTATATAGCATACTGGTTGGTTTCTGTTTCTTTTTAATATGCCTACTAACAAAATTTTTACATTAGCAAACCTATAGAAATTACTTTAATATTTAACCATGTCTGAAATTCAAAATTCTGGCACCATTCTGAAAGGCAGTTGTGATTCTCACTCAGCAAAATTCTTATCAGTATAGAAGAGTGGAGATTTCAAAAAGAAAATGGCCCCAAGCCCAAGTCCTCCCTAAGTTGATAAGACTCTAAGATCTTCCAAATAGTTTTAGGCTAAGTCTTATGAAAATTTGACTAAAGATTTCATTCCCTTTATCTCTATCAAGGAAATACTCCTTAAAAGTCGTGTCAACCAGGCACGGTGCTCACACCTGTAATCCCAGCACTTTGTGGGGGCAAGGCAGAGGATCAGTTGAAGCCAGGAGTTGAGACCACTCTGAGCAACATAGCAAAACCTCCATCTCTATTTTTATTTTTTTTAAAGTTAGTGCCAAGTATGTGGTTGCAATGAATTAGCAAAGCCTCTGAAGGAACACTGTGTGCCATTTAATCAGAAACAGGCTTATAGGACACTGTGCTTTTTGTGAGACACCACATGTGACTTCCTGCTCTTTCACCTTTGGAACTCTGGGTCAGACATAGACTTTTGTCCTTAAAAACAAGAAGCTTAAATAGTGACCTCATCTTAGCTCTTGTAATGTAGTTGCAGATCAAATAACCATGATTCATAAACCAACACAAAGGAACCCTTTGCTTCTTGACTGACTCCAGAATGAGTGAACAACATGACTAAGAGCCTAGTCGCAGAGCCTTTCTCCAGACTACCTTGCTGGGTCCCGGATATTAATAGTCTTGGAAAGCGGTTTCTACAGCTGCTGCTTTGCCTGCAAATAGCAATGCTTTTCCCAAACATGCACATAACACTGCCTTCTCTTAACGAGAACCTCCAAAATAAACAATAGTCACCCCTGACCTACTAAACAGTCATCACATGGAGATGAGTTTTTATCCTCACCTTCTTGCTTCTTCAGTGAACAAGTAGTAACAAGCAGCTCCTGCGTGTGCCTCGATCTGAGCTGGCATACCATTGCTGCCGAGACTGTATAAAGTGCAAATTGAAAAACACAGGAGACTCACGTCTATATCAGTGAACACATTTTCTTTCCTTTCTTACAGGGTTTTGGAAATTTGCCCATCTGCATGGCAAAGACCGATCTTTCTCTGTCTCACCAACCTGACAAAAAAGGTGTGCCAAGGGACTTCATCTTACCTATCAGTGATGTCCGGGCCAGCATAGGTGCTGGGTTCATTTACCCTTTGGTCGGAACGGTGAGTGAGTCACATTTTCCAAAATCCCTCCCCATTCTGCATTGTCGCAGTGCCTCAAATCGTTATGCTCCACCCGCTCTTTAAAAATCATGGATTAGGGAGAATTGGGAGTAATTAATAGTACAGTATTCGCTATTTTTCTAAACACTCTGTCTCACCTACCTTTGCCATTGTGCTTTGGGTTTTTCTTTTTTTAGATCATGTGTTCAGGATCCTTAGAGTCATAATACTAATTTCCTTCCTAAGGCAAGTAAGAACATAACTTGGGAGAATTCAGTCTATTTAAATGGTAGAATGGCTTAGGACAGTGGTTGTCAACCTTTATCACACATAGCACCCAAAATGATGTAATCAGTAGGGTTGAATGCTCACACCAGACAGGATCTGCCCAGTCACCCTAAGGGCTGGGGAAAGCAGTCCTCACCCTCTCACTTCCCCAGCACATCAGGTGGGAAGTTCTGGCTTAGGAAATTACTGAATCATATGAATTCTCATTTTTGATGTTGTTGTGATGGGATTACGTTGCTATTGGTTGATTATTCTGTTATTTTGTGTTATCTATGGAGGTAAACGAGATGAGCAGAGATATAAAAGCTTATCAAAGTGCTTAAAATCCATGAAGATTGGCTTCATTTGGTATAGCTACACAGTGATAGCCTTCCGTTGGTACCATCAGTGGCCTAAATTTGATTTCTTGTCTTTGGGAGTGCTCCTGAATTTGGTTTAGAATAAAAAAGAATTCTTAAAACCTGGCAGATCCCATGGCAAGAAAAGAAAAAAAATTCTAACCCATCATTATCATCATCATTAGTGCAAAGTGATCTGAGCTTAAACAGCATACATTATAATAATTTTTTATAATAAACCATGTGGCTCTATTGTGCAAACAAGCAATAGACAGACAAAAAGTGCAGATTCTTGCCTTGATATTTACATGCTTCATCTAATATTGGACACAATGTTTTTTCAATCAGCATCATTTGAATTCTTCCTGCATGTGAGGCACAGAGATTTTAAGATGAGCAGGTGTGAGATGCATGGATTTGAATAGCATAGAGGTATCTGGAGAGCATTGTGTTGGTATTCTGAATGCCCTCAGATCCCAGGGGGATAACAGCTCATTATGCCTGGGGTAGAACTTACCTGGGCTGTGGAAGAAGAGGGGATTCTTCAAAAAGGGCTCAACCTCTGAACTGGCAAAACAGTGAGTTTTGACTCAAAGGCACCAGAGTACTAATACATGACATCCTCTCCTGGGGTGATCCAATGTGGCTGGAGTTGGATGAGGTGGGGAGGCTGGGGATGGGAATGGGAATGGGATTGGGATAGCAGGACGGGGTCACATGGCCAAGGATCTTGAAGACCATCTCACGGAACTTGAATCTGATCTCTACACACTGAGGAGCCACGGTAGGGTGGGTTTTTTGTTTGTTTCTTGGTTTTTTATTTTTTTGATTTTTTGTTTTTAAAGAAGGAGGAGAAGAATGTGGTCTGATGTGTATTTTAGAAAAATAGCTCTGGCAGCAATGTGGAGAATGTTTAGTGAAAAGAGAACCAGGCCCAGAGAGGTGGGTTAATTCAGCTGGGGCCAGAGGAAATCAAGGTCCGCACTTTGGCCACAGAAGTAGATACAGAGAGTGGGGGTGAATTGCAGACATACTCTAAAAGTATCCTCCTACAGTAGGGGCCGGGTGAAGGGACTGTTCTAGCTTGGTGACTGGCTGGTGATGCCATCACCGTGTCATGGAAAGGACACGGGAGGAGGCAGATTGGCCAAGCCAGAAATGAGCCTGGCTTGAAGAGAGAGAGCTCAGAGGGTTAATAGGATCTAAGGAACAGTCTGTGTCTCCACTGGAAATACAGATACAGCTCTCCAAAGAAAGGGGCAGGAAGGTCGCCCTGGTGGGTTTAAGGATATGGGTGAAGGCACTCATTAAACAAGAGACACAGGGATAGCTGGAAATCAGTGAGAAGAGAGTAAAGGAAGACACCCCTGAAACACCCACTTTAATGCAGCCGACTCCTGGCAGGGGTGCCTTCCAGAAGGCAGGAAGGAAGGAGCAGGGGCATGGCAGAGAACGTCCAGAAAAATCCCACAGACACCGCTCACAGCAATGTTGACACAGAGAGAAGGGTCCAGATGAAATGGGTTCTGAATGACATTTTCAGGTCTACAGTTCAGATCAGCAGTTGCCAGGAGTTGGGGGAGGGAAGTGTTTGACTGCAGAGGGGCAGGAGGGAACTTTTTGGGATAATGGAAATATCCTATGTTTTGACATGGTAGTGATTCCATGGCTATATACATTCTTCCAGACTCATAGACCTATACACGTGTGTTGCCCAGGCTGGACTCAAACTCCTGATCTCAAGCAATCCTCCCACCTCAGCTTCCCAAGTTGCTGTGACTATAGGTTTGTGCCACTGTGCTGGGCCTGTGTATCATTTAGTTATACCTCAGTTAACAAAAATGGGTACTGAAGAGCTTGCTGTATATTCCTTAGAATGGCCTCAGTCAGCCGGGTGCAGTGGCTCATGCCTGTAATCCCAGCACTTTGGGAGGCCAAGGTGGGGGGATCACAAGGTCAGGAGTTTGAGACCTGCCTGGCCAAAAGGGTGAAACCCCATCTCTACTAAAAATACAAAAATTTGCTGGGCATGGTGGCGGACACCTATAATCCCAGCTACTTGGGAGGCTGAGGCAGGAGAATTGCTTGAACCTGGGAGGCAGAGGTTGCAGTAAGCCAAGACTGCACCATTGTGCTTCAGCCCGGGTGACAGAGCAAGACTCCATCTCTAAATACATACATACATACATACATAGAATGGCCTCAGTGATGGCCACTTTACTCCTGAGCTTTAGTTGGCAAAGGCCTTGGCTTAGGGATAAGAGGGTGGCTGGACAGTGCAGGCCCAGAGAGACTGGACCATCAGGGGAAGTGAGGGGTGATGGAGGTGCCCAAACAGAGCATGAAATGGTAGAGTAGATGAGAAGGTTAGCCTCTATCACGATCTGTCCTGTCCTACCCTCTGCGGACTCTAAACCCCGCAGCAGTTCACCCAACAAATTCATTCACTCGGCCAATGCTGCATAAGACACTCAGCTCGGGGCTACAGGAAGCCCCAACCTAAAGAAACTTTCTCTGCTTCAGGTAGTTTACAGCTGGTAGACGCAGATAGAAGTGAATTAGCAAAGAAAATAGTTTGATATAAAAATTGTGCATTTAACTGCAACCTTAATTCACTTCTGAGCATTTAATAGCCATTAAACAAAAACCAGGGCCCACACAGTGGTTCACACTTACAATCCAAGCACTTTTGGAAGCCAAGGTAGAAGGATTGCTTCAGGCCAGGAGTTCAAGACCAGCCTGGGCAACATAGCCAGACTGTATCTCTACTTAAACCAAAATTAGCCAGGAGTCATGGTACACACCTGGAGTCCCAGCTACTCAGGAGGCTGAAATGGGAGGATTACTTGAGCCCAGGAGTTTGAGGCTACACTGACCTATGATCATATCATTGCACTCCAGCCTGGGAGATAGAGTGAGACCTCTGTCTCTAAAAAAATGGAATAAAATAATAAAAAACACAATATAATTTAAAATCTTTGGAGTCACTAAACAAATATACAATGTGAATCTCCTCCCACTCCAGCTAACACTACCATATCCAACACCAGGTAAAGACCAAAGCCGTTCTGGGAAATCAGAATCTGTTGCCATGGCTCATGCCTGGACACCAGGCTGTCCGCTCCTGATGTCACTCTTTGACTTATGACTTGTTAGAAAATGAATGCGTGGAATGGCCCTGGAGGAGCCGCTGCAGCTCTCTGGGTTTCCTGAAGTGAGCCCTCTGTGTCATTATCTGGTCTTCTCAGCCCTCAGCCGAGTTCCTCCTGTGGCCACATGTGGGGTCGCAGTGAGCATCAGTGCACAGTGATAAAATCTGGAACAACAGGGTGTTGGGTGTGAGGGAAGGGAGTGGTGCCTGACTACAGAAGTTCCTGGAGGTCAGGAAACTCTCACTGGAGGCAGTGGCCCTAGAGGGCTGCTTTCTATGACAGAGCAGGAAGCTGCATGTGTACTGGGACACATGCAGCAGAGGGGCCAGGATCTCCTAATAAGGACTGGTATTTACTTTTACTTGAACCCATTCTGGGCCTTACCACAGTGTGCTGAAATGCCTTGAACATTCATCACCCATGTGGGAGAAAGGATAGTAATTTCCTGCTGAGATGACTGAGGGGACAGGGAATGGGGACACCAGGGGGACTGGCTCCTGCAGGTTGGAAAATTCTAGCAAAACGAATCACTCTTCTGCTTAGTCACCCAATGTGCGCTTATTAGAGTGCTGCTGAAAAACATATTCGTCTATCCATTCCAGAAAGATAGTCCAAACTGAGACCTCAAGATCAGAAAGGCTCCCAATCTCCTGCAGGGTTCATTCATTTACTCAGTGAATTATTAAATGCCTACAGCACGCAGGGCCATCAGCCCAACGGCTATGAGAAAGAGATTCAGTCCTTTCCTCACAGGCCTTATGATAGACTCCAGTAAATAAAACAATACAGGCACAGAATGTGGCAGGCTTTATAAGAAAGCCTCTCTTTTTGTGTCCTCAAGGGAAGCAGAGAATCTCCCCTCTGGCTCTAGTTGGAGAATCCCAACCCAAGCAAGTCCATCTTTGAACAATAAACATCTCCAGTACTGCTGGCTTTGGAAGACCCCATGGTGAGATGCTGGAGCTTTTTTCCACTCCTGATTTCACTTTCTAAATATTTACTTTTACTTTCCATGTTCACTTGTAGGCCAGATTTTTTTTTCCTACCATTGAATTATTTCATCATGTTCTATTTAATTATTGTTTTAATTGGCATTGGTGACCACAAATAATAATAAATACTATTAACTGATGTAACAGCTTCACTAGTCTATTTAACTTCCCCATGCTGTTGTAACTGAAGCACCCAGCACAAGCATTCCCAGCTCGTGGACGTCTAAGACCTTTGAGGTCATTCTTACATGCATTGCTAGTGTTTTCCATATTCCTTGATGGTAACCAATTTTTCCTTCCTAAAATAACTTTCTTCATTCCTAGTAAGCTTCATATGTATTTTGTGTATTCTTCCCTCTTTTTTATGACATTATACATATTATTGAAAGCTAGAAAATAATACAAGATGCTTGACTGACATAATACCACTTAGTACATCTTTTTGTAAGAAATAGATTTTCTAATACAAATCTTTGATATAGGAAGAAATGAGCAAGTGTTTTTTAAGGTTTTCCAACCCTATATTCTACTACAAATTACCCTGTTATCGTATGCTTCCAAAATTCTTTCAAGGATTACAGTTTATAGTGTTCAATAAACCTAATAGTTTATAAAACTTCTCAAAAAATAATCTCATGCCAAAAATAATTTAGTAGTAGGTGGTCTTTGTCTTGTGGTCACATTGTTTTGATATTGTCTTTAAGTTTCTGTAATTTACAAGGGCTGTTTAATCAGTTGGCATAAATTTCATGACAAAAATGCTAATATGTAAGCAAAGAATATGAAATGATATTTTTGAGAAGTAAATTACATTCCATATAGAAAAAGACTAGAAAGACTACACCAAAACCTTAAATTAGACAGTGATATTATGAGTAGCTTTTTTTCTTCTCTTTTTTGTATAGATCAAATTACTACGTTGGGTGTATATCACTTTTATAACATGAAAATACAGTAAATAGGGCGATGATAAACTGCAAGTGCTTGGGGAGAAGGCTTAACTCAGGCCAGTTGCAAGAGAGTGAGAACACACACGCAGCCTGTGGGAGCGGGCTCCGTGCCATCACCTGGCCGGTCCTGGCTGTGTTGCTGTGTTTTCGCACCTCAAAAGTTGGGACAGCAAGGAAAGGCCATAAGAGCTAGAATGTTTCTATAAGAAGTGTATTCAGTATGATTTGTCTAGCTCTGACTAATGTGTGCAAACCCCAGATTCCACTAAGCAAATGCAAGATTGTTTTTCCCTGTTAATTTTTTCCTGGGCCCTTCTTGCTTACTGTGTTGGGCATTGGAGAGGGGGTGATTGACTTCTTTCTTCTCACAGTGTTTTCTCTCGCTCTCTCTTTTTTTTTTTTTTTTTTTTTTTTTTTTTTTTGAGACAGAGTATTGCTCTGTCACCCAGGCTGGAGTGCAGTAGCATGATCTCGGCTCACTGCAACCTCCGCCTTCCAGGTTCAAGTGATACTCCTACCTCAGCCTCCCAAGTAGCGTGGACTACAAGTGCATGCCACCACATCTGGCTCAATTTTTATATTTTTCATAGAGACTGGGGTCTCACCATATTGGCCGGGCTGTTCTCAAACTCCTGACCTCAAGTAAGCCACCACGCCCAGCCATCTCTCACAGTGTTTTTTAAAACAACAATGCATTTTCACAACAGTTGGCCTGGAGAGGTGTCCAACCAAGTTGGAATTCATAGCAGATATCCATTTGAAGTTAATTTTTGGTGTATTTGACTGTTTTCCATTGACTTCACATTGAGGCAGTGAGAGAGACTTGAAGAACTTAGAATATGAACCCTTTTCTCACTGGCAAACATGGGACATAGAGGCATGTCTTGACAGCAATTTATGGCAACACTCTGGGCTGGAATCTAGGGGTTAGGCAGCCTGGCCGGTTTTGTAAATTAGTCAGGCCACCCTCAGAGTCAGTTTGAGGGTTTAGTGGGAAGCCTGAATAAAAAGAGAAGTTAAACTTTTAAGAAAAGGGTCAAGCTTTAAAACTGGAATTGGCTTTTCAAATTTAATGAGTAAAAAGAAACCCCAAAACTGGAATTGTAATTGTGGAGAAGTACAAATTATAATATTTGGAATATCATCTACAAGGAATGAAACTATCCAGAAGCATTTAGATGGTAGTCATTGATTGTAGGGCATCTCTGGGGGCAGGGTGGCTCCTGGCACTGTAGAGAAAGACCATCGGTGCTTCCGTCTCCCAGTTGGAGGAAAGGGATACACTGTGGAGGTCCCAGCAGCTTAGGGCCTGCCCCCATGTGGTTATGTCTGCATGGTTTCCTTCCCTCTGTCTTCCTGTAACTCTTTCACCCTGGCCCCTGTGCCCTTTCTGGGCAGAGGGTGACAGGAGGCACTGCATGGGTGCATTCTTTTTTTTTTTTTTTTTTTTTTGAGACAGAGTCTTACTCTGTTGCCTGGGCTGGAGTGCAGTGGTGTGATCTCGGCTCACTGCAACCTCCATCTCCCAGGTTCAAGCGATTCTCCTGCCTCAGCTTCCCGAGTAGCTGGGATTACAGGTGGCCACCACTACGCCCAGCTAATTTTTTCCAATTTTAGTAGAGACGGGGTTTCACCACATTGTTCAGGCTGGTCTCAAACTCCTGACCTCGTGATTCACCCGCCTCAACCTCCCAACGTGCTGGGATTACAGGTGTGAGCCACCGCCCCCGGCCAAGTACATGCTTTTTTTCCTCTTGTTGGGATTGGCCTGGGCTATACCTATCTCATGGTGGAAGCCTGCCTAGGGACCAGGCCCTAGAAGACCAGCAGTTTATTTAACTGGGTTGGCCTTTGTCCCCACTCCCTGTGACCCGGCCCTGCCATATCTTTACCCAGGTGCACCACTGACATCATGGCTCGGCTGGACTCTGGAAAGCAGGAAATTGCTGGAGCATGTTTGGGCATCAATGATGTCATCCGCTACGAATGCCGGGTGGGGTTACTGGACTGAGGGCCATGAAAAAAGAAAGCTGCGGCCCTGCCCCGTGGACTCACTGCCATTCTGTTCTTTCTCACGTTTCAGTTCAGCTCACTTTGTTTTCCGTCCCCCTCCCTCTACTGTAAAAGTATGTACTCAGTGTTTCATTTCCTGCTGGATCTGATTCAGGTCAGTGATGAAGTTCTTTGCGAGCTCAGTGGGGAGGCGTTTCCTCCCTTTCATACCGGCCCTGCTTAGGGATGCATGGTTGGTTATATACTTGCTTCACTCGGTTAGGCATGGAGGAGAATTCATTCAGACCTCATAGGTTTAAATCAAATGCATGACCCTTCACATTTTCCAGAGATTTAGACAGTTACAGTGAGACAATTAAACATTCACCCCCCAAGCTGCACTTGGAGATGTGTAAGCAGTAATGTAGTCATGCGCTCCCCATGATATGAGAGTGTGCAGAATGCCACGCCCCACAGCAGGTCCACCAGGACCTCCTCAGGGAGCATCTTGCCTACAAAATCACCCATCCCTTTTCCCCCACTTTCTTCACTTTCCCTACGTTTCCACTCCCACACCCACAAATAAACAAAGAAACTTTGAGCTTATTTTACAAAAGTCTTTGAAATGGCCCTCCTCTCTCCGATGCTCCTGGGCCCTGGTTTGGCCCCATCTGTGCAGTCTCTCTGATGAGTGTGAAATAAGCCAGGTTTGGCTCATGCTCTCCCTGTGAGCTTGCTCTCCCCGTGAGCCTGCCCTCTCCATCTGGCCTCACTTTGTTTGTGTCCCTGGGTCCTTTGTCTCTGATCCTGGGATCCTGGTGGTTTCCTCCTCCCCGCCCAGCTTGGGTCCTTTTCCCCAGGGTTCTTCCCTATCTCTACATCAGAATTTCCTGCTTTCTCCCAAATATGCATTTCCCTGGCCCAGGCATCCATTGCTTCCTCTCATCGTGAGGTCCCTGCAGCAGACTGCCAATGGTGTTGTGGCCATGCCTTCCTCCACAACCCAGGGAAAGCTACATGTGTGTCTGTCCCATAGGGAAGGAGTCATCCCTGTCTCTTCAGTGTGGCATGTTCAGGAGGAAGGAAAGTAACCAGCGTCATTCTCAATTTACGGAAACTGTTTATCATATTGACAAGAAGAAGAAAGCTTTGCGACTCATGAGAATGATGTTTTCTTCTCTGGTACATAAGGTTATGTAGGTCCAATCCATTGTGTAGAAGATCTTTTCTCCCTTAATGGGATGTACACTTATTTTTAGCACAAGTATAAAACTACTTTAAATGAAGTCAGCCTCAGCCAGGGAAATATGCTGAGTAATAATGTTGCCAGGTACTATACCACTGAGTTGAGTTTGCAATTCACTGCTATTAATCCCTGCATGTTAGTTCTGAATTTTTACTCTTTGCATACGTAGAAAAAATGGTGTTTCTCTTCAGAGTCAAGGAGGGAAAAAAGAAAAGTTAAAAGACACTTATAACACTTTTGTGTCCACCCCTAAAATCAGCATATTGATCTACTATTTTTCTAGGTATTGATGGAATATTGACTCATATACTTTCATACAACTGCTAATATATATATATATATAGACTCATTTTTCTTCTTCCACTTTCATCTACAGCCTATTTGTTTTTCTCCCCCCATTTTTCGTTTGGATTCATAGCATAAATTGACAACAAAGATACATCTCAATTTAGAGCTTCCAAAAGGCACCCATAAAAGTATCTGGTGCTCATGGAATTTCTCTTTCTTCTGTGTCTCTTAGTTACACTTTTCTCTTATTACACTTTTCTATCCAGCCGCGGCTAAGAGGCATATAATCAGAAGCAGCTAAGCAATGTATGCAAGGGAAATAAAATGAACACAAACCAAGATAACCGGTTTTGTAAATTAGATAGCAAGGCCACCCTCAGAGTCAGTTTGAGGGTTTCGTGGGAAGCCTAAGAAATATAACTGATATAACTGATATATTATCAGTTATAAAAAAAGTTATAAGAAAAGGGTCAAGCTTTAAAACTGGAATTGGCTTTTCAAATTTAATGAGCAAAAAGAAACCCCAAAACTGGAATTGTAATTGTGGAGAAATAGAACTGATAATATCTGGAACTTGCAGCAGTTTACAGGCTTAACTATGCATGTGTTCCTTAAATTATCCACCCGCAGATATCAGATTACAATAAGTCCTCACTTAATGTCATTGATAGGTTCTTGGAAACTACCACTTTAAGCAAAAGGACATAATGCATACGAAACCAGTTTTCCCATAGTCTAATTGATAGGAAAAAGAGTTGAGTTATGAAGCCACACAGTACCTCGTTTGGCTTAAAGTCACTGTTTCCAAGAACATATCCACAATGTTAAGTAAGGACTTACTGTAAATGAAAATATTTGCAGTAAATCGCTTTTGAGAGAATTGGTTATCACACTCTTCTCTGGGTATCACTGAAAATTCAGAATGTTTAGTTACATCAGGCTATACTCACTGGTATGAAATCAGGGAGCAAGTATAAAGTAGGTGTAGGGAAATAATTTATGTTGGATTAAATGATCCAATGAAGGAATTTTATTAAGCCCCTAGAAATCCCAGAATGAAAATGTATAACTGCATGACTAACCCCTGTAAGAATTTGCTGGGGTTTCTGCATTATGTACGCTTCCCAGGCCATTTGTAATGAAGCTACCGTGATCTGTTAAGGAAGAGACCTACACCTGGGAACATAAACAGCCAATTCCATCCTGGACATCAGTCTCCTGTTTGACTCATTCCAACCCCAAGAATATGTTGTAGAGTGTAGGACCCATGAAAGTTACCTACAGTGCTTCCCTGTACCTTCCATCATCCAGTTCCCAAACATACCTGTGTTTCTTCTCTGAATGCATAGTTACTTGGGATCCCATGTTGTATTAGTCTGTTCTCACACTGCTGTAAAGAACTACTTGAGAGTGGATAGTTTATAAAGAAACAAGGTTTAATTGACTCAGTTTTGCAGGCTATACAAGAGGCATGGCTGGGGAGGCCTCAGGAAACTTACAATCATGGGGAAGGCAAAGGGGAAGCAAGTACATATTCACATGGCGGCAGGAGAGAGAGTGAAGGGGCAGTGCCACACACTTTTAAACAACCAGATCTCAGAACTCACTAGCACGAGAACAACAAGGGGGAAATTCACCCCCATGATCCAGTCACCTCCCACCAGGCCCCTCCTCCAACACTGAAGCTCATAATTCATCATGAGATTTGGCTGGGGACACAGCGCCAAACCATATCATATGCCTTTCCCAGGACTGGTGTTGGAGGAACAGTGCCTTTGTCACACCTACCAGAATATACTCACCCACTTCCAGACACTCCATTTCTCTTTCAAGCACACCTCCTCACTTGTGCTGCCAGCTAAGGTTTACTGCAGTTACTTCCTTTGTGTGTCCTCTTACCTTACCAAGTCGCCTCACCCACCACCTACTGTTAATTAAATTACCACCTCCCCCACTTCCCCACCTCCAGAGTAGAGACTGTCTCTTCAGTTCTCTTGGCCTTCCCACAATGGGAAGTCTGGTGTGGAACATACCCTAGGAGCCAACTAAATGTGGTAGTGGCCTGCCAACCCTGCAGAGGGCTAGCAAATCTTCAGGGAGTCTGCTGCCGGTGGAAACTCACCAGTACTAGAATCCCAGGCTCCAAAGAAGTCTAGAAAAGTACGTCTTTTAAGGAGCTAATAAGAGGTTCAAGTTTCCACAAATCCTATCTGCTCTTGGCCTAGTTCTTTTGGGATCAGTGTGCTAGTCTCTCTTGTCAAACTAGTTACTGACCAGCAAGACTAAAAAACCAGGCCCAAACACATTCTATTCATGTGCTTAGATATAGACCTATGGATCAAATATCCCACTGTAAAGCAAAAAAGCAAACTGTTTTTCCCTTGTACTCTCACACTCAACAATAGCACACTTCTGTGGCTGGCTGTGTGGGGGCTTTTCCTTACACACCAAACATTTCTCACAGAGACCAACTGGGTGTCCTCTTATTCAATTCAATCCTGACACTGTCTACCTGCAGATAGTGTCCAATCCCACAGATTGACGGCTCGATCCCATGAGACCAGCCCCACTTCAGGCACTAATTCCAAGTCCAGGCGACGCATACTTCTGACTGCCTGGCTAAAAACTACATCCACGGCCGGTCATGGTGGTTCACGCCTGTAATCCCAGCACTTTGGGAGACCAAGGCGGGTGGATCACTTGAGATCAGGGGTTTGAGACCAGCCTGGCCAACATGGTGAAACCCCGTCTCTATTAAAAATACAAAAATTAAACTGGGCACGGTGGCTCACACCAGTAATCCCAGCACTTTGGGAGGCCGGGGCAGGCGGATCACGAGGTCAGATCAAGACCATCCTGGCTAACACGGTGAAACCCCATCTCTACTAAAAATACAAATAAAAATTAGCCAGGCATGGTGGCGGACGCCTGTAGTCCCAGCTACTTGGAAGGCTGAGGCAGGAGAATGGCCTGAACCCATGAGGTGGAGCTTGCAGTGAGCAGAGATCATGTCACTGCACTCCAGCCTGGGTGAGAGAGCGATGCTCCATCTCAAAAAAATAAATAAATGAAATAAAATACAAAAATTAGCTGGGTGTGGTGGCGGGCTCCTATAAGCCCAGCTACCAGGGAGGCTAAGGCAGGAGAATCGCTTGAACCTGGGAGGCAGAGGTTGCAGTGAGTTGAGATCCTGCAACTGCACTCCAGCCTGGGAGACAGAATGAGACCCCATCTCAAAAAAAAAAAAAAAAAAAAAAAGGGTTCGCATGAGCCCCCTCCCTGGGTTCAATTAAGTTCCTAGGATGGCTCACAGAACTCAGAGAAACATTTACAGAGCTGTTATGATATATATTGATTTTCATTGATGAACATTGATGCAAAAATCCTCAATAAAATACTGGCAAAACGAATCCAGCAGCACATCAAAAAGCTTATCCACCATGATCAAGTGGGCTTCATCCCTGGGATGCAAGGCTGGTTCAATATATGCAAATCAATAAATGTAATCCAGCATATAAACAGAACCAAAGACAAAAACCACATGATTATCTCAATGGATGCAGAAAAGGCCTTTGAGAAAATTCAACAACCCTTCATGCTAAAAACTCTCAATAAGTTAGGTATTGATGGGACATATTTCAAAATAATAAGAGCTATCTATGACAAACCCACAGCCAATATCATACTGAATGGGCAAAAACTGGAAGCATTCCCTTTGAAAACTGGCACAAGACAGGGATGTCCTCTCTTACCACTCTTATTCAACATAGTAATGGAAGTTCTGGCCAGGGCAATCAGGCAGGAGAAGGAAATAAAGGGTATTCAATTAGGAAAAGAGGAAGTCAAATTGTCCCTGTTTGCAGAAGACATGATTGTATATCTAGAAAATCCCATTGTCTCAGCCCAAAATCTCCTTAAGCTGATGAGCAACTTCAGCAAAGTCTCAGGATACAAAATCAATGTACAAAAATCACAAGCATTCTTATACACCAACAACAAACAAACAGAGAGCCAAATCATGAGTGAATTCCCATTCACAATTGCTTCAAAGAGAATAAAATACCTAGGAATCCAACTTACAAGGGATGTGAAGGACCTCTTCAAGCAGAACTGCAAACCACTGCTCAAGGAAATAAAAGAGGATACAAACAAATGGAAGAACATTCCATGCTCATGGGTAGGAAGAATCAATCTCGTGAAAAAGGCCATACTGCCCAAGGTAATTTACACATTCAATGCCATACCCATCAAGCTACCAATGACTTTCTTCACAGAATTGGAAAAAACTACTTTAAAGTTCATATGGAACCAAAAAAGAGCCCACATCACCAAGTCAATCCTAAGCCAAAACAACAACGCTGGAGGCATCACACTACCTGACTTCAAACTATACTACAAGGCTACAGTAACCAAAACAGCATGGTACAGGTACCAAAACAGAGATATAGATCAATGGAACAGAACAGAGCCCTCAGAAATAACGCCACATATCTACAACTATCTGATCTTTGACAAACCTGAGAAAAACAAGCAATGGGGAAAGGATTCCCTATTTAATAAATGGTGCTGGGAAAACTGGCTAGCCATATGTAGAAAGCTGAAACTGGATCCCTTCCTTACACCTTATACAAAAATCAATTCAAGATGGATTAAAGACTTAAAAGTTCAACCTAAAACCATAAAAACCCTAGAAGAAAACCTAGGCATTACCATTCAGGACATAGGCATGGGCAAGGACTTCATGTCTAAAACACCAAAAGCAATGGCAACAAAAGCCAAAATTGACAAATGGGATCTAATTAAACTAAAGAGCTTCTGCACAGCAAAAGAAACTACCATCAGAGTGAACAGGCAACCTACAAAATGGGAGAAAATTTTCACAACCTACTCATCTGACAAAGGACTAATATCTAGAATCTACAATGAACTCAAACAAATTGACAAGAAAAAAACAAACAACCCCATCAAAAAGTGGGCGAAGGACATGAACAGACACTTCTCAAAAGAAGACATTTATGCAGCCAAAAAACACATGAAAAAATGCTCACCATCACTGGCCATCAGATAAATGCAAATCAAAACCACAATGAGATACCATCTCACACCAGTTAGAATGGCAATCATTAAAAAGTCAGGAAACAACAGGTACTGGAGAGGATGTGGAGAAATAGGAACACTTTTACACTGTTGGTGGGACTGTAAACTAGTTCAACCACTGTGGAAGTCAGTGTGGCAATTCCTCAGGGATCTAGAACTAGAAATACCCTTTGACCCAGCCATCCCATTACTGGCTATATGCCCAAAGGACTATAAATCATGCCGCTATAAAGACACATGCATACGTATGTTTATTGTGGCATTATTCACAATAGCAAAGACTTGGAACCAACCCAAATGTCCAACAATGATAGACTGGATTCAGAAAATGTGGCACATTTACACCATGGAATACTATGCAGCCATAAAAAATGATGAGTTCATGTCCTTTGTAGGGACATGGATGAAATTGGAAATCATCATTCTCAGCAAACTATCGCAAGAACAAAAAACCAAACACCGCATATTCTCACTCATAGGTGGGAATTGAACAATGAGAACACATGGACACAGGAAGGGGAACATCACACTCTGGGGACTGTTGTGGGGTGGGGGGAGGGGGGAGGGATAGCATTGGGAGATATTCCTAATGCTAGATGACGAGTTAGTGGGTGCAGTGCACCAGCATGGCACATGTATACATATGTAACTAACCTGCACATTGTGCACATGTACCCTAAAACTTAAAGTATAATAATAATAATAAAAAAATACATCACCAAAAAAATAAAGAGGGCATTATAAAATGCCTCATGGAAAAAATATTATTTTAACAATTAGTAAAGTAAAATAAAAATTTGTGACTCATAAAGACACACTTCATTTTAATCCTCTATTTTTTTTTTACAAATGGGACTTGAATATTTTAAGATAAAATTTAAAAAATCAAGTAATTTTAATCAGAAATTTCAAAAAAATAAAACCCTGAATCCAATTCAAATTTCACTTACTTGGAAATTGTCACTGATATAAATTTATTTATATAAATGTGATATAACCAATAAAGATATGCAATAGAGTCATTGTTAATTTGGGTAAAATAATTTTAAAAACAATGCAAACTTGTATTACCTCCATATGTATGTATGTACACATGTACACATATATGAATATTTATATATTTGCGTACACACACCATATATGTACCTGTGTATAAATGAATAACAATGGAATATCAGTTGGCCTCTACTACAACATTTGAAGGCCCATTGCACAATGGCCAGAACAGAGACGACATCAGAATGCAACTTAAAATTTCCAAGATGACTTGAATTATATCTGAATTTCTAACAGGGCATAGAGAAATTAAAATCTTGTTTGATTATGCTTCTTTGTTTATTACTGGGAGAGCCTCACATGCAAAGCAGATCAGGATATTCTCTTACCAAATGTGTTAATTAACAGTCAGTTCATAATGTAAGGGTGACTCAAATAGCAGATTCAATATCAAACAGGAAGGGCTTTTGTAGCCCGTTCTATTTTCGGTCAACCACAAACCACCCACTCCTGCTGAAATAAAAACTTAAAAGGCAGGTGGAGGAAAATATGTTCTAGATCAAGGGGTAGGTTCCGGGTCTGCAAAAGACATAGTGTGCCACCCACAAACACACAACTTCAAGGAGCGTGGCTCAATCCTTCAGAAAATTGGTTCTAACTTTCAAATCATTAGGGATCTTCTTTATGAAAGATATAGCAAACAAAAACACAAAATATACCCCTCTAAGATTATTAGGAAGTTAAAAAAAAGTGACTTGTAACTTTTAATAAATAACTAAGGAGGTAAGCTTGTTCATTTCTGAGATTCACAACTTTTATAAAGGTGCTGTATTAATACTTGAATTGTGCTATGTTCAATAGAAGCAGAGACATAAGCCATACTGAGAGAAGAAAAAAATTTTACAACAAGAAAATCTAATGCTGTTTAATTTCTTTAAATATTTATTAATTTCTGAATGCTATGTGATTGCTTTTATATTAATTTTTCAGTAGGGAAAATGAATACAATTGAATACAATTTCTCAGTTGAGAAATTAAATACAATGGATTTTAGTGTGATGACATACTTGATGGGATAATTTTAAAATCATGATTTTAATTAGATATAATATTTTTAGGTAGAATAATAAAAATAAAGGAAAACCGATTTTCTTTAAATTCCGTCAATTATTTCTTTCTCACAATAATTAATATGTAATTTACCAATGATGTAGTAGATTAATACCAAATTCTCTTACTTTTGGTTTCATCAAAAAATGATGAGCATTTTTCTCTGATTGATGTTCAGTTACTTTCAGATGGCTTGTAATCTTGTACTTTCAACATTAAAGATTTTTTTTCACATATTGATACCAATCATTTTATGATATATCTGATTTTATAATTATGTATTCATTGTTTTCAAATGAGAGTTATGGTTGTATACAGTAAGAATTATAATAGAGGAAGTTATCTGGTGTTCCAGGAATTTAAATAAGAGAAGATATAAAGATCTCAGCCTTTGTATCAATATTTTAATTGGATCCTGAAAAATGAATGGAGATAGACAGAAAACAAGTAAAAAATGGTCTAAGCAGATGGAATAGAAGGAGTAAAAGGAGAGTGATAGAAAAGTGTGTGTGTCTTTGAAGGAACATAACCTGTTCTGGGTGTGGCTACAGCACAGGTTTGTGAAGGAAAATGTTAAATGATTGAGGAGAATGTCTCTCAATATCAGTGATTTTGTATTTTACCCTTCAATGATGGGACATAAGTAAACAATTTTTAAAAGCATAGTGGGTGTGTGTGTATATAAATATATAGTATATATAGTATATAGCATGTCTATACTTATACTATATACATACATATAGTGTATATGTATATATGTATATATAGTATATATATATATACTTATTTTCATTCTAGATAGAAGTTTTTGAGATGCAGTTAGAAGAAAAAGTCAGAAAGAATAGTCAAGATTATTCCAGCAGTACAGGCATGATGTGATGAATAACTAAATTAAAACATTAGCAGCAACACAGAAGAGAAATGGCAGAATAGAAAGGTAATTCAAGGTAGAAACAGCTGAACTTAATAATTCATTTAGAAGGAAGAGTCAAGGTATAAATACTCTAAATTTTCTTGGCGACTGGCTTGATATTATCATCATTAGCTGAGATGGGCAATGCTTTAAAAGAAATAGATTTATTTGCCAAAATATAAAATGTGTTTATGGCTATGTCAAATTTGAGATGCAGGTGGTGAAGACAGAGGGAGAGAATCAGTTGATATTTTAAAATACAGGTTTGAAACCTACAGGAAAATATTGGAGTAAAAAAAAATAAAGAAAATCAAACGTCAAAGGAAATGCTGGAAGTGTGGGAATGGATAAAAGGAGCACAGGAAAAGTGTGCAGAGCATTGTTACCCAAAGTGCTGTGGGAATTTTATACACATATGAATACAACTCGCAAAACACACAAATATTTTTGCTTCCCTGGATCATTTACTGGAGTCTTTTACATACACATTCTGAAGTATAAGGTATGCAGAATTTTCTAAGCGTATCATACAATTCCATTCCAAGAATACATTTCAGGAAAACTGTTGTCAATCAGGGAAACATTGGTGCAGAATAGTAAGAAAAGAAATACCCATTAAGACTAGTAGTTACACAGTGGACATGAAAAAACTAGGCAGCAAGGAGTTATTAAAAAGAAAGCATGGGCTGGGCATTGTGGCTCATGCCTATAATCCCGGCACTTTGGGAGGCCGAGGCGGGCGGATCACCTGAGGTTGGGAGTTTGAGACCAGCCTGACCAACATGAAGAAACCCCATCTCTAGTAAAAATACAAAATTAGCTGGGCATGGTGGCACATGCTTGTAATCGCAGCTACTCGGGAGGCTGAGGCAGGAGAGTCTCTTGAAACTGGGAGGCGGAGGTTGCAGTGAGCTGAGATCACACTGTTGCACTCCAGCCTGGGTGAAAAGAGGGAAACTTCATCTCAAAAAAAAAAAAAAAAGAAAAAAGAAAAAAATGAAAGCATGGGGCCAACATTGAGTGGTCTTAAGGAAGTCAAGGTAGAAGGAAATTTAAAGAAGGAAATGAGAAGCAATGCAGAATGTTTAGAAAGTCAATTAGGAAGCTCCCATAAATATTCTCACTATGTATTATAGGGAATTCATTTATAACTTCAAAAATACCACTCAAAAAAGATGGTAATTGTTGAAATGAGATTTCAATGGGTGAAAGAGGCTGGGCACAGTGGCTCATGCCTGTAATCCCAGCACTTTGGGAGGCCGAGGTGGATGGATCACGACGTCAGCAGTTCAAGACCAGCCTGGCCAAGATGTGAAACCCCATCTCTACTAAAAATACAAAAATTAAACGGGCATGGTGTTGGGCACCTGTAATCCTAGCTACTTGGGAGGCTGAGACAGGAGAATCGCTTGAACCCAGGAGGTGGAGGTCGCAGTGAGCCGAGATGATGCCACTGCACTCCAGCCTGGGTGACAGAGCAAGAGAAAGAAAAGAGAAAAGAAAAGAGAAGAGAAGAAAGAAAAGAACGACGGAAGGGATTTTAAAAAGAGATGAGAAGTCAGTATACTGTTTTGGAGGAAGTGTAATTTATGATTTTGGCTATAACTTGCTATGAATGGAAACAGCAACACACCACTGGATTTCAACTTTTGAGTGCTTAAGAAGGTGGAGATGGTGATTAAAATAATAATAATAATAATAATAATAATAATAATAATAATAATGCTAAGTGTGTAATAGTTGCTAAGTGTGTGGTGTCTGAAACCAGGATATCAGGATGTCTGGAACTGGGATTGAATCCCAGCTCTTCCACTTTCTGGTTATGTGAGTGACTGTAGGCAAATTACTTAATCTTTTCATGCTCCAGTTTCCCATATGTAAAATGAGAATTATAATAGTAAACTACTTCATGGCTTGTGAGGATGAAGTGCATGTAGAGTACTTAGTGAGTTCTCTTTGTGTATTATGTATTAGTTTCAAAATGCAGATTCTAGAGCCCTTAGATTCTCATTCAATAGGTATGAGGCAAGCACGGGCCAGGATTCTGCATTCTTTAAGGAGGTGTAATTTCCTATATCTGCTGTGACAAAGTGGTTCACATTAGGTCGCTTAAAATGAGATAAAGTTATTCTTTTACGGTTCAGAAAGCTAGAAATCTTAAATGAAGGAGTTAGCAGTGCTGCATTTTTCTCTGAATGACCTGGAAAAAAATCCTTTCTTGCTTCTTCTAGCACCGGGTGATCACTGAGCTTCATTGTCATTGCTTGGCTGGAGGATACCTCACTTTATTCTCTACCTCCATCCTCACATTGCCATCTCCTCCCTGCGTCTCTGTTTCCTCTTCCCTTCTTATGAGGATATCAACCATATTGAATTATGGCCCACTCTAATGCATTATGAGCTCATCTAGCATATCATAATTATACAGCATCTGCAAATAATTTGATTTCAAATTAAGTCATACTCACAGACATCAGGGGCTAGAACTCTAATATATATATTTTCTTTTTGAAGACACAATCTAACCCACAAAAGGGGGGGAGCCGCTTAAGATCATAAATAACTCAAGTAACAAGACTGTGTGTTTAAAATAGCATTTAAATTTCTCCAAATGGCAGACAGCTTAATTCAGATCAATACCAATCAGGAGATAAACAAGTGTTTGTCTCCTAATTGGCATTTACCTGAGATTAAAACATTATGGTAAAATACATTATCTTCAGTGATCTTTGGTTTAGGTGAGCATTCACAAGGCACACAGTTATTATCACTTGAGCCATCTCTCTCTAATAACTCTTTTCTAATCTGCTGGCCAACAATATCAGGTTCTTTCAAATCTCTGATTATCGGACCAAACCATAAGGTCCTCCACGTGAATTGGTAGAAATATTTTTTACAAAGGTAAATGAAATTTTATTTACTTGATGGATTTCTCTTCTCCTTTGTACAAAGGGGTGACCCTTTGACAGCACAGGGAAAGAACATGATAGAAATAGACTTTCAGAAGGAAGGGCCTTCCATAACAAGGAATGCCATCTGTAATCCAGACTTTTTTCTCCTCAGGAATCCAGTCATAGGCAAATCTCTATGAATCACAGATAAATAGAAAGAAGGGTGGGAGTGTGTCAGGAGTAGGATGCTGAAAATGTGAGTAGCCTGTTCATTAATTGGTCCCTTGGAAACTGAGAAGGCAACGTGGCATACATGCAATTTCCATGGAATGATGGAAGACTGGTTGTAGTTACTATGATCCTATAATGCTCAGATCACAACGGGGTCACCCTTATTCATGACTGAGCATTCCTTCTTATTAGTATCCCAATGTGAAATTGTTTCTCAAAAAAGGAGGGGGCGGGTAATTTTTGTACAAAAGGCTTTTACTCCAAAATAAAGTGGCTTGTACTGTATTTCTCCTCTGGAGCCTTGCCGCTGGCTCCATAGGAAAATTCTGCCTCTCATAGATACCTGAGGCATTGGATTCCCTAAACAAAATTGTAGATCCACTTGTACTGCAGGCCTCTGTAGTCCAAAACGTTTCTCTTTCTCTGAGTCCCACTCACAGCTGACATCCTTCTTGACATTTGCATTTTATTTAGAATACACATCCAAATATGTTTTATGTTGCCTCTAACATTCAAAAGAGCCTCTAACAGTCTTCCTTTCCCTATCCCTTCCTTCCATTTGAAAGATGTTTGCTCCACATCACTTTCTACTGCATTCTTAGACTCCCTGAAGGTAGGAAACCCACATTTTTGTCATTGGCTCGATGTGTCTTTCCTGAAGTCTATGGTAGCTGCTATTTTTCTCTAGAGCATATCAACCGGATGCTGTCCATGTATTCCATAAGTTATGTCCATTTGGCTAGTGACATGGCCAGGGTTCCTGAGTACAAAATTGTGACACAGACAAAAATAGTTATACTTCTACAGCTACATAGTGAAGACACTCTGCCTGGAAAAAGTAAGAAATTTCAGGTATTTACCATTTATTTAAGATACAGAAAAATAATTTGCCTAAATGTATAGCAGGAAAAGGAGGTAAGTGTATTCACTAAAGCAAGGAGACTACATCTGGATTTTAAATGTGTGCCCTCAGATAGGATTCCAGTACACAGTGGCTGGATTCTGAGTGTTTGTCCCTCACACAGGATTACAGAACACTGCTACGAGGTTCTGAATGGAAAAGGAAATATCTTCACATAAAGACAAGAAAGAAGCATTCTGAGAAACTTCTTTGTGATGTGTGCATTCACCTCACAGAGTTGAACTTTTCTTTTGATTTAGCACTTTTGAAATACTCTTTTTGTAGTGTCTGCAAGTGGATATTTGGAGCGCTTTACATTCTATGGTGGAAAAGTAAATATCTTCACATCAAAACCAGACAGAAGCATTTTGAGAAACTCCTCTGTGATCTATGCATTCATCTCACAGAGTTGAATGTTTCTCTTGATTGAGCAGTTCTGAAACACTGTTTTTGTAGAATCTGCAAGTGGATATTTTGAGTGCTTTGGGGCCTATGGTGGAAAAGGAAATATCTTCACATAAAAACTAGACAGAAACATTCTGAGAAACTTCTTTGTGATGTGTGCATTCAACTCACAGAGTTGAAATATTCTTTTGATTGAGCAGTTTTGAAACACTCTTTTTGTAGTATCTGCAAAGTTGGAGGACTTTGGGACCTCTAGAGGAAAGGGAAATATCTTCTCTTAAAAACTAGACAGAAGCATTCTGAGAAACTTCTTTGTGATGTGTGCATTCATCTCACAGAGCTGAACATTTCTTTTGATTGAGCAGCTTTGAAACACTCTTTTTGTAGAATCTGCAAGTGGACATTGGGAGCGATTTGAGGCCTATGGAGGAAAAGGAAACATCTTCACATAAAAACTACACAAATGCCTTCTGAGAAACTTCTTTGTGATGTGTGCATTCATCTCACAGAATTGAACCTTTCTTTTGATCGAACAGTTTTGAAACACTTCTTTTGAAGGATCTGCATGTGGATATTTGGATCAGTTTGGGGCCTGTGGTGGAAAAGGAAATATCTTCAAATAAAAACTACACAGAAGCGTTCTGAGAAAGTTCTTTGTGATGTGTGCATTCAACTCACATAGTTGAAGATTTCTTTTGATTGAGCAGTTTTGAAACAATCTTTTTGTAGTATTTGCAAGTGGATATTTGGAGTGGTTTGAGACCTATTGTAGAAGAGGAAATATCTTCACATAAATACTAGACAGAAGCATTCTGAGAAACTTCTCTGTGATGTGTGCATTCATCTCACAGAGTTGAAACTTTGTTTTGATTGAGCAGTTTTGAAACACTCTTTTTGTAGAATCTGCAAGTGGATACTTGGAGTGCTTTGAGCTCAATGGTGGAAAAGGAAGTATCTTCAATTAAAAACTAGACAGAAGCATTCTGAGAAACTTCTTTGTGATGTGTGCATTCAACTCACAGAGTTTAAACTTTCTTTTGATTGAGGAGTTTGGAAAATCTCTTTTTGTAGAATCTGCAAGTGGATATTTGGAGTGCTTTGCGGCCTATAGTGGAAACAGAAATATCTTCACATAAAAACTAGACAGAAGCCTTCTGAGAAACTCCTTTGTGATGTGTGCATTCATGTCTCAGAGATGAACCTTTCTTTTGATTGAGCAGTTTTGAAACACTTTTTGTAGAATCTGCAAGTGGATATTTGGAGCGCTTTGTGGCCAATGGTGGTAAAAGGAAACATCTTCACATAAAAACTACACAGAAGCATTCTGAGAAACTTCTTTGTGATTTGTGCATTCAACACACAGAGTTGAACCTTTCTTTTGATTGAGCAGTTTGAAACACTCTTTTTGTAAAATCTGCAAGTGGATATTTGGAACGCCTTAAGGTCTATGGTGGAGAAGGAAATATCTTCACATAAAAACTGGACAGAAGCATTCTGAGAAACTACTTTGTGATGTGTGCATTCATCTCACAGAATTGAAACTTTCTTTTGATTGAGCAGATTTGAAGCACACTTTTTGTGGAATGAGCAAGTGGATATTTGGAGGGCTTCAAGACCTATGGTGGAAACTGAAATATCTTCACCTAAAAACAACACAGAAGCAGTCTGTGTAACTTCTTTCTGATGTGTGCATTCATCTCACAAAGTTGAACATTTCTTTGGATTCAGCAGTTTTGAAAAACACTTTTTGTAGTATCTGCAAGTGGATATTTGGAGCGCTTTGGGGCCTATGGTGGAAAGGGAAATATCTTCACCTAAAAACTACACAGAAGCATTCTGAGAAACTTCTTTGTGATGTGTGCATTCATCTCACAGAGTTGAACATTTCTTTTGATTGAGCAGTTTGGAAACACTCTTTTTGTAGAATCTGTAAGGGGACATGCGGAGCTCTTTGAGGCCTGAGGTGGAAAAGGATATATCTTCACAAAAAAACTAGGTGGAAGCATTCTGACAAACCTATTTGCGATATGTGCATTCATCTCACAGAGTTGAACCTTACTTTTGATTAAGCAGTTCTGAAAAACCCTTTTGGTACTATCTGCAAATGGACATTTTGTGTGGCTTGAGACCTACAGTGGAAAAGGAAATATGTTCACATAAAAATTAGACAGAAGCATTCTGACAAATTACTTTGTGATGTATGCATTCATCTCACAGAGTTGATCATTTCTTTTGAGTGAATAGTTTGGAAGCTCTCCTTTTGTAGCATCTGCAAGTGGACATTTTGAGCGCTTTGAGGCCTATGGTGGAAAAGGAAATATCTTCCCATAAATATTAGACAGAAGCATTCTGACAAATTCTTTGTGATGTGTGCATTCATCTCAGAGAGTTGAACCTTTCCTTCGATTGTGTAGTTTTCAATCACTCTTTCTGTAACATCTGCAAGTGGACATTTGGAGTGATTTGAGGCCTAAGGTGAAAAATGAAATATCTTCACATAATAACTAGACAGAAGCATTCTGAGAAAGTTGTTTGTGATGTATGCATTAATCTCACAGAGTTGAACATTTCTTTTGATTGAGCAGCTTTGAAACACTCTTTTTGTAGAATCTGCAAGTGGACATTTGGAACACTTTGAGGCCTATGGTGGAAAAGGAAATATCTTCATAGAGAAGCTAGACAGAAATATTCTGAGAAATTTCTTTGTGATGTGGGCATTCATCTCACAGAGTTGAACTTTCTTTTGATTGAGCAGTTTTGAAACACTCTTTTTGTAGAATCTGCAAGTGGATATTTGGAGCGCTTTGCGGCATATGGTGGAAAAGGAAGTATCTTCACTTAAATATTAGACAGAAGAATTCTGACAAACTTCTTTGTGATGTGTGCATTCATCTCAGGGAATTGAACCTTACTTTTGATTGAGAAGTTTTGAAGCCCACTTTTTGTAGAATCTGCAAGTTGATATTTGGAGCACTTTTAGGCCTACGGTGGAAAAGGAAATATCCTCACATAAGAACTAGACAGAAGCATCCTGAGAAACTTCTTTGTGATGTTTTCATTCAACCCACAGAGTTGAATCTTACTTTTGGTTGAGCAGTTTGGAAACACTCTTTTTGTAGAATCTGCAAGCGGACATTTTGTTCGCTTTGAGGCCTATGGTGGAAAAGGAAATATCTTCACTTAAGATCTAGACAGAAGCATTCTGAGAAACTTCTTCGTGATGGGTGCAGTCATCTCACAGAGTTGAACATTTCTTTTGATTGAGCACCTTTGAAACATTATTTTTGTAGGATCTGCATGTGGACCTTTGGAGCGCCTTGAGGCCTATGGTAGAAAAGGAAATATTTTCACATAAAAACTATACAGAAGCATGCTGACAAACTTCTTTGTGTTGTTTGCATTCATCTCACAGAATTGAACGTTTCTTTCCATTGAGCAGTTTTGAAACACTGTTTTTGTACAATCTGCAAGTGGACATTTGGAGTGCTTTGAGGCCTATGGTGGAAAAGGAAATATCTTCACTTAAGAACTAGACAGAACATTCTGAGAAACTTCTTTGTGATGTGTGCATTCATCTCACAGAGTTGAACCTTTCTTTTGATTGAGCAGTTTTGAAACACTCTTTTTGTAGAATCTGCAAGTGGACATTTGGAGCGCTTTGCAGCCAATTATGGAAAAGGAAATATCTTCACATAACAACAAGACAGCAGCATTCTCAGAAACTTCTTTGTGATGTGTGCATTCATCTCATGGAGTTGAAACTTTCTTTTGATTGAGCAGCTTTGAAACACTCTTTTGTAGAATCTGCAAGTGGACATTAGGAGCACTTTGAGGCCTATGGCAGAAAAGGAAATATCTTCACATAAAAACTAGACAGAAGCATTGTCACAAACTTCTTTGGAATGCGTGCTTTCATGTCACAGAGTTGAACATTTCTTTTCATTAATCTATTTTGAAACACTCTTTTGGTAGAATCTGCAAGTGGACATTTGGAATTCTTTGAGGCCTACGGTGGAAAAGGAAATATCTTCACAGAAAAACTACACAGAATTATTCTGGGAAATTTTTTTGGGATGTGTGCATGCATCTCACAGAGTTGAACTTTCTTTTGATTGAGCAGTTTGAAACACTCTTTTTGTAGAATCTGCAAAGGGACATTTGGAGCACTTTGTGGCATATGGTGGTAAAGGAAATATCTTCACATAAAAACTAGACAGAAGCATGCTGACAAACTTCTTTGTGTTGTTTGCATTCATCTCACAGAATTGAACCTTTCTTTCCATTGAGCAGTTTTGAAACACTGTTTTTGTACAATCTGCCAGTGGACATTTGGAGCACTTTGAGGCTTATGGTGTAAAAGGAAATATCTTCACTTAAGAACTAGACAGAACATTCTGAGAAACTTCTTTGTGGTGTGTGCATTCATCTCACATAGTTGAACATTTCTTTTCAATGAGCAGTTTTGAAACACTCTTTTTGTAGAATCTACAAGTGGACACTTGGTGTGCTTTGAGGTCTATGGTGGAAAAGGAAATATCTGCTCATAAAACATGGACAGAAACATTCTGAGAAACTTCTTCATGATGTGTATATTCATCTCAAAGATTTGAACCTTTCTTTTGATTGAACAGTTTGGAAACACTCTTTTTGCAGTATCTGCAAGTGGACATTTGGAGGGCTCTGAGGCCTCTGGTGGAAAAGGAAATATCTTCACTTAAGAACTGCAAAGAATCATTCTGAGAAAATACTTTGTGATGTGTGCATTCATCTGACAGAGTTGAACCTTACTGTTGATTGAGCAGGTTTGAAACATCCTTTTTGTACTAGGTACAAGTGGACATTTGGAGTGCGTTGATGCCTATGGTGTAAAAGTATATATCTTTACATAAAAACTAGACAGAAGGATTCTTAGAAATGTCTTTGTTATATGTGCATTCATCTCACAGAGTTGAAACTTTCTTTTGATTGACTAGTTTGGAAATCTTTTTGAAGGATCTGCAAGTGGACATTTGGATCACTTTGAGGCCTATGGTGGAAAAGGAAATATCTTCACATAAGAAGTAGACAGAAACATTCTGAGAAACTTCTTTGTGATGTGTGCATTCTTTTCACAGAGTTGAACCTTTCTTTTGATTGAGCAGCTTTGAAATGCTTTTTTTGTAGAATCTGCAAGTGGACATTTGGAGCGCTTTGAGGAGTGTAATGGAAAACAAAATATCTTCATGTAACAACTATGCAGAAGTATTGTGAGAAACTTCTTTGTGATGAGTGCATTCATCTCACAGAGTTGAAACTTTCTTTTGATTTTCTAGTTTGGAAACTCTCTTTTTGTAGAATCTGCAAGTGGACATTTGGAGCGCATTGAGGCCAATGGCAGAGAAGGAAATATCTTCACATAAAAACTAGACAGAAGCATTCTGATAAACTTCTTTGTGATATGTGTATTCACCTCACAGTGTTGAACCTTACTTTTAATTGAGCCGTTTTGAAACTCCCTTTTTGTACTATCTGCAAGTGGACATTTGGAGTGCTTTGAGGCCTATGGTGGAAATGGAGATATCTTCACATAAAAACTAGACAGAAGCAATCTGAGAAACTTCTTTTTGATGTGTGCATACATCTCACAGAGTTAAACATTTCCTGTGATGGAGCACTTTTGAAACTCTCTTTTTGTAGAATCAGCAACTGGACATTTTGAGCTCTTTGAGGCCTATGGTGGAAAAGGAAACATCTTCACATAAAAACTAGACGGAAGAATTCTCAGAAATTTCTTTGTGGTGTGTGAGTTCATCTCACAGAGTAGAACCTTTCTTTTGATTGAGCAGTTTGGAAACACTCTTTTTGTAGAATCTGCAAGTGGACATATGGAGAACTTTGTGGCCTATAGTGGAAAAGGAAATATCTTCACATAAAAACTAGACAGAAGAATTCTGAGAAACTTCTTTGTGATGTATGCATTCATCTCATAGCCTTGAGCATTTCTTCTGATTGAGCAGCTTTGAAACACTCTTTTTGTAGAATCTGCATGTGGACATTTGGAGCGCTTTGAGGCCTATAGTGGAAAAGGAAATATCTTCATATAAAAACTATACAGAAACATTCTTACAAACTTCTTAGTGATGTGTGCATTCATCTCATAGAGTTGAACCTTTCTGTTCATTGAGCAGTTTTGAAAAACTCTTTTTGTGGAATGTGCAATTGTACATTTGAAGCGATTTGAGGCCTATGGTTGAAAAGGAAATATGTTCACATAAAAACTAGACAGAAGCATTCTGACCAATTACTTTGTGATGTGTGCATTCATCTAACAGAGTTGAACCTTTCTTTTGGTTGAGTAGTTTGGAAATTCTCTTTTTGTAGGATCTGCAAGAGCACATTAGGAGTGCTTTGGGGCCTAAGGTGGAAAAGGTAATATCTTCACTTAAGAAGTAGACAGAAGCATTCTGAGTAACTTCTTTGTGATGTGTGCATTCATCTCACAGAGTTGAACCTTTCTTTTGATTGAGTAGCTTAGAAACTCTCTTTTTGTAGAATCTGCAAGTGGACATTTGGAGCGCATTTGGGCCTATGGTGGAAAAGGAAATATCTTCATTTAAGAAGTAGACGGAAGCATTCTGTGAAACTGCTTTGTGATGTGTGCATTCCTCTCACAGAGCTGAAACTTTATTTTAATTGAGCGGTTTTGAAAAACTCTTTTTCTAGAAATTGCAAGTGGACATTTGGAGTGCTTTGCAGCCGACGGTGGAAAAGGAAATATCTTCACATACAAACTAGACAAAAGCATTCTGACAAGCTTATTTGTGATGGGTGCATTCATCTCAAAGAGTTGAACCTTACTTTCGATTGAGCAGTTTTGAAACACTCTTTTTGTAGAATCTGCAAGTGGACATTTGGAGAGCTTTGAGGCCTGTGGTGGAAAAGGAAATATCTTCACACAAAACTAGACAGAAGCATTCTGAGAAACTTATATGTAATATATGCAATCATCTCACAGAATTTCAACTTTCTTTTGATTGAGCAACTTTGAAACACTCTTTTTGTAGTATCTGCAAGTGGACATTTTTGGCGCTTTGAGGCAATGGTGGAAAAGGAAATAGCTTCACATAAAAACTATACAGAAACATTCTGAAAAACTTCACTGAGATGTGTGGATTCATCTCACAGAGTTGAACCTTTCTTTTGATTGAACAGTTTTGAAAGACTCTTTTTGTAGAATGTGAATTTGGACATTTGGTGCGCTTTGCAGCCTATGGTAGAAAAGGAAATATCTTCACATAAAAACTAGACAGAAGCATTCTGACAAACTTCTTTGTGATTTGTGCATTCATCTCACAGAGTTGAACCTTTCTTTTGATTGAGCGGCTTTGAAACACTCTTTTTGTAGAATCTGCATGTGGACATTTGGAGCTCTTTGAGGCCTATGGTGGAAAACGAAATACCTTCACATAAAAACTATACAGAAACATTCTGATAAACTTCTTTGTTATGTGTGCATTCTTCTCACAGATTTGAACCTTTCTTTCCATTGAGCAGTTTTGAAAAACTCTTTTTGTGGAATCTGCAATTGTACATTTGAAGCGCTTTGAAGCCTATGGCTTAAAAGGAAATATGTTCACATAAAAACTAGACAGAATCATTCATAGAAAATCCTTTGTGTTGTGTGCATTCATCTCACCGGGTTGAACATTTCTTTTGATTGAGCAGGTTTAAACACTCTTTTTGTAGAATCTGCAAGTGGACATTAGGAGCCCTTTGAGTCCTGTGGTGGAATAGGAAATATCTTCATTTAAGAACTAGACAGAAGCATTCAGAGAAACTTCTTTGTGATGTGTGCGTTCATCTCACAGAGTTGAAACTTTCTTTTCATTGAGCAGTTTTGAAACAATCTTTTTGTAGAATCTGCAAGTAGACATTTGGAGCGCTTTGCAGCCTATGGTGGAAAAGGAAACATCTATACATGAAAACTAGACAGAAGCATTCTGACAAACTTCTTTGTGATGTGTGCTTTCATATCACAGAGTTGAACATTTCTTTTGCTTGAGCAGTTTGGAAACACTCTTTTTATAGAACCCGCATGTGGACATTTGGAGTGCTTTGAGGCCTACGGTGGAAAAGGAAACATCTTCATATGAAAACTAGACAGAAGCATTCTGACAGACTTTTTTTGATGTGAGAATTCACCTCACAGAGTTGAACCCTACCTTCGATTGAGCAGTTTTGAAACACTCTTTTTGTAGGATTTGCAATTGGACATTTGGAGTGCTTTGAGGACTATGGTGGAAAAGGAAATATCTGCACATAAACACTAGACAGAATTATTCTGAGAATATTATTTGTGATGTGTGCATTCATCTCACAGAGGTGAACCTTTCTTTTGATTGAGCAGTTTTGAAACACTATTTTTGTGGGATCTGTAAGTGGACATTTGGAGCGTTTTGACGCCTATGCTGGAAAAGGAAATATCTTCACATAAAAACTGGACAGAAGCATTCTGAGAAATTTCTTTGTGATGTGAGCATTCATCTCACAGAGTTGAAGCTTTCTTTTGATTGAACAGCTTTGAAACACTCTTTTTGTAGAATCTGCATGTGGAAATTTGGAGCATTTTGAGGCCTATTGTTGAAAAGGTAATATCTTCACATAATAACTAGACCCAAGCATTCTGAGAATCTTCTTTGTGATATGTGCATTTATCTCACAGCGTTGAAATTTTCTTTTGATAGAGTGGTTTGGAAACTCTTTTTGTAGAATCTGCAAGGGGACATTTGGAGAGCTTTGAGTCCTGTGTTGGAAAAGGAAATATCTACACTTAAGAACCTGACAGAAGAATTCTGAGAAACTTCTTTGTGAAATGTGCATTCATCTCACGGAGTTGAACCTTTCTTTTGATTGAGCAGTTTTGAAACACTCTTTCTGCAGGATCTGCAAGTGGACATTTGCAGCCCTTTGGGGCCTATGGTGGAAAAGGAAATATCTTCATATAAAGACTAGACAGAAGCATTCTGGCAAATTTCTTTGTGATGTGTGCATTCATCTCACTGAGGTGAACCTTTTTTTGATTGAGTAGTTTGGAAACTCTCTTTTTGTGGAATCCGGAAGTGGACATTTGGAGTGCTTTGGGACCAATGGTGGAAAAGGAAATATCTTCACTTAAGAACTAGACAGAAGCATTCTCAGAAACTTCTTTGTGATGTGTGCATTCATCTCACAGAGTTGAACCTTTCTTTTGATTGAGCAGTTTTGAAACACTCTTTTCGTAGAATCTGCAAGCGGACATTTGGAGCGCTTTGAGGCCTATGGTGGAAAAGGAAATATCTTCACATAAAAACTAGACAGAAACATTCTGAAAAACCTCTTTGTGATGTGTGCATTCATCTCACAGGGTTGAAACTTACTTTCGATTGAGCAATTTTTAAACACTCTTTTTGTAGTGTCTAGAATTGGACATTTGGAGTACTTAGAGTCCTATGGAGGAAAAGGAAATATCTTCATATAAAAACTAGAGAGAAGTGTTTTGAGAAACTCTTTGTGATGTGTGCATGCATTCATCTCACAGATTTGAACCTTTCTTTTGATTCAGCAGCTTTGAAACACTCTTTTTGTAGCATCTAGAATTGGACATTTGGAGCGCTTAGAGTCCTATGGTGGAAAAGGAAATATATTCACGTAAAAACTAGACAGAATCATTCAGAGAAAATTCTTTGTGATGTGTGCATTCATCTCACAGAGTTAAACCGTTATTTTGATGGAGCAGTTTGGAAAAACTTTTTTTGTACGATCTGGATGTTTACATTTGGAGCGTTTTGAGGCCTATGGTGTAAAAGGAAATATCTTCAAATAAAAACTAGACAGAAGCATTCTGAGAAACTTCTTTGTGATGGGTGCATTCATCTCACAGAGTTGAACATTTCTTTTGATTCAGCAGCTTTGAAACACTCTTTTTGTAGAATATGCAAGAGGACATTTGGAGTGCTTTGAGGCCAATGGTGGAAAAGGAAATATCTTCACATAAAAACTAGACAGAAGCATTCTGAGAAACTTCTTTGTGACGTGTGCATTCATCTCAGAGTGTTGAACCTTTCTTTTGATTGAGCAGCTTTGAAACACTCTTTTTTTAGAATCTGCATGTGCAGATTTGGAGCGCTTTGAGGCCAATGGTGGAAAAGGAAATATCTTCACATAAAAATGATTCAGAAATATTCTGAGAAACTTCTTCCTGATGTGTGCATTCATGTCACAGAGTTGAACCTTTATTTCATTGAGCAGTTTTTATTTATTTATTTATTATTATTATACTTTAAGTTTTAGGGTACATGAGCACAATGTGCAGGTTAGTTACATATGTATACATGTGCCATGCTGGTGCACTGCACCCACTAACTCGTCATCTAGCATTAGGAATATCTCCCAATGCTATCCCTCCCCCCTCCCCCCACCCCACAACAGTCCCCAGAGTGTGATGTTCCCCTTCCTGTGTCCATGTGTTCTCATTGTTCAATTCCCACCTATGAGTGAGAATATGCAGTGTTTGGTTTTTTGTTCTTGCGATAGTTTGCTGAGAATGATGATTTCCAATTTCATCCATGTCCCTACAAAGGACATGAACTCATCATTTTTTATGGCTGCATAGTATTCCATGGTGTAAATGTGCCACATTTTCTGAATCCAGTCTATCATTGTTGGACATTTGGGTTGGTTCCAAGTCTTTGCTATTGTGAATAATGCCGCAATAAACATACGTGTGCATGTGTCTTTATAGCGGCATGATTTATAGTCCTTTGGGTATATACCCAGTAATGGGATGGCTGGGTCAAATGGTATTTCTAGTTCTAGATCCCTGAGGAATTGCCACACTGACTTCCACAGTGGTTGAACTAGTTTACAGTCCCACAAACAGTGTAAAAGTGTTCCTATTTCTCCACATCCTCTCCAGCACGTGTTGTTTCCTGACTTTTTAATGATTGCCATTCTAACTGGTGTGAGATGGTATCTCATTGTGGTTTTGATTTGCATTTATCTGATGGCCAGTGATGGTGAGCATTTTTTCATGTGGTTTTTGGCTGCATAAATGTCTTCTTTTGAGAAATGTCTGTTCATGTCCTTAAAAATCAATGTACAAACATCACAAGCATTCTTATACACCAACAACAGACAAACAGAGAGCCAAATCATGAGTGAACTCCCATTCACAATTGCTTCAAAGAGAATAAAATACCTAGGAATCCAACTTACAAGGGATGTGAAGGACCTCTTCAAGGAGGTGCTACAAACCACTGCTCAAGGAAATAAAAGAGGATACAAACAAATGGAAGAACATTCCATGCTCTTGGGTAGGAAGAATCAATATCGTGAAAATGGCCATACTGCCCAAGGTAATTTACACATTCAATGCCATACCCATCAAGCTACCAATGACTTTCTTCACACAATTGGAAAAAAATACTTTAAAGTTCATATGGAACCAAAAAAGAGCCCGCATCGCCAAGTCAATCCTAAGCCAAAAGAACAACGCTGGAGGCATCACACTACCTGACTTCAAACTATACTAGAAGGTTATAGTAACCAAAACAGCATGGTACTGGTACCAAAACAGATATATAGATCAATGGAACAGAACAGAGCCCTCAGAAATAATGCCACATATCTACAACTATCTGATCTTTGACAAACCTGAGAAAAACAAGAAATGGGGAAAGGATTCCCTATTTAATAAATGGTTCTGGGAAAACTGGCTAGCCATATGTACAAAGCTGAAACTGGATCCCTTCCTTACACCTTACACAAAAATCAATTCAAGATGGATTAAAGACTTAAACTTTTGACTTAAAAGCATAAAAACCCTAGAAGAAAACCGAGTCATTACCATTCAGAACATAGGCATGGGCAAGGACTTCATGTCTAAAACACCAAAAGCAATGGCAACAAAAGCCAACATTGACAAATAGGATCTAATTAAACTAAAGGGCTTCTGCACAGCAAAAGAAACTATCATCAGAGTGAACAGGCAACCAACAAAATGGGAGAAAAGTTTCACAAGCTACTCATCTGACAAAGGGCTAATATCCAGAATCTACAATGAACTCAAACAAATTTACAAGAAAAGAACAAACAACCCCATCAAAAAGTGGGTGAAGGACATGAACAGACATTGAGCAGTTTTGAAAAGCTCTTTTTGTAATATCTGCAAGTGGACATTTGGAGCGCTTTTTGGCCTATGGTGGAAAAGGAAGTATCTTCATTTAAGAACTAGATGGAAGCATTCTGTGAAACTGCTTTGTGATGTGTGCATTCCTCTCACAGAGCTGAAACTTTATTTTAATTTAGCAGTTTTGAGAACTCTCATTTTGTAGAATCTGCAAGTGGACATTTGGAGCACTTTGCGGCCTATGGTGGAGAAGGAAATATCTTCACATTAAAACTAGGCAGAAGCATTCTGACAAGCTTATTTGTCATTTATCTCATGGAGTTGCCATTTATCTCATGGAGTTGAACTTAACTTTCGATAGAGCAGTTTTGAAACACTCCTTTTGTAGAATCTGCAAGTGGACATTTGGAGAGCTTTGAGGCCTGTGGTGGAAAAGGAAATATCTTCACACAAAACTAGACAGAAGCAATCTGACAAAGTTTTTGTGATGTGTGCATTCATCTCGCAGAGTGGAACCTTAATTTCGATTGAGCAGTTTTGAAACACTCCTTTTGTAGAATCTGTAAGTGGACATTTGGAGCGCTTTGAGGCCTAAGGTGAAAAAGGAAATATCTTCCCATAAAAACTAGACAGAAGCATTCTCAGAAACTTGTTTACGATGTGTGTACTCAACTAACAGAGTTGAAACTTTCTTTTGATAGAGCAAAACAGTAAATTGAAGTTTAAAATAATTGTAACAATTGCATCTTATATATCAGGTGAGATTTCATAGTTTGGTTCAAGTAGTTTTCAAGTGACAAATTTTCAAGTTTTTAAGTTTTCAAGAGTTGTGCAAGTTCATCAGCCAGAAATCAAGCAAAAGGCTAGATAAGTAGCAGCAGGTGCAGGATTCTTGATATTGAAACTTTTAGGACTTTTCTCCTTCAGGATTCCAATGTTGTACATTTTATTTCCAGTATAACCCCTATGCATGGGATAAAGTAGTTTCACATGTTTGATTTTTCTAATTAGTTATTTGGGTTTCAAAATGTCCAGTTTATCAAAAAATCTTGTGCTGTGTACTGGGGACCATCTACTATAGCCTGATCATTGAATTTTTCAAGAACCTAAGGGGTTCCCTAAGTCCAAGGAAGACAATCAGTGTCTACAAGTCAGGAGGAGAAGGGGAAAGGGCATTCTAATCATTGCTTTGTTTTCATTGATTCTGTTGCTGCTTTCTTGCCATTGAAACTACTCTTGCAGTCTGGTAATGATTAACCTTTGCCACCAGGATGCCCTTTCTGTTTGAGATCCCTCAATCTTCATGTTGATCCATAAAAAGGCTTCAAAGTTACAACTATTTTTTTTAGTTCCCAGACTAACAAAAATAATCTAGCTTTTTGTCTTGACTACCAACCACTCTGGATTTTTTTTTTTTTTTTTTGAGATGGAGTCTCGCCCTGTCACCCAGGCTAGAGTGCAGTGGCGTGATCTTGGCTCACATAACCTCCACCTCCCAGGTTCAAGCAATTCTCTTATCTCAGCCTCCGAAGTATCTGGGACTATAGGCACACACCACCACGCCCGGCTAATTTTTGTATTTTCAGTAGAGATGGGGTTTCACCATGTTGGTCATGCTGCTCTTGAACTCCTGACCTCAGGTGATCCATCTGCCTTGGCCTCCCAAAGTGCTAGGATTACAGGCATGAGCCACCATGCCCGGCCCACTCTGGATTTAAGGACAGTTCTTCCTTCAATCAGCAGCCAAAGAGTCCTGATTCCTGATTCTAATTAAGAAGTTTAACTTGGTATTCTATTTCTGATGGAAGGATGGCTGAAAGAAGGGAGACTCAAACAACAGATGAAGGCAAAATACTCTGTACTGAATTTTCAATGTAATCTTAAATTCTATGTTTAATTGAGATGACCCAAATTCTTTTTTTTTTTTTTTTTTTGATACGCAGTCTCGCTCTGTTGCCCAGGCTAAAGTGCAGTGGCATGATCTCGGCTCACTGCAACCTCCACCTCCCGGGTTCACACCATTCTCCTGCCTCAGCCTCCCAAGTAGCAGGGACTACAGGCACCCGCCACCACACCTGGCTAACTTTTTGTATTTTTAGTGGAGACAGAGATGACCCAAATTCTTAACTGCCTCATAAATACTGTTAATATATTGAAAGTTTTGCCCTAGGCTTTTATTAAAGTCAACTATATAGAAAAAGTTTCTCCTATCTTGAGATGTATTATTAAAGACATCATCCCCAATAATATTCCATATTCTCTGTTTAGGAACCCCAATTGTTTTCAAATTCAAGAATTCAGAGAAATCTACTTGTTACAAAAGAGTAGAATGGATAATGGGCACCACATCCTGAAGTGTATTTTAATAAAAATTCATGTAAGATGGTTCAAAATTTCATTAACTACTTTATATAAAAAGAAATGCCTGGGAGAATTCTGTTTCTAGCAGAGTGGCAGACTGATGCCTTGAACAACCCTCCTATTACAAAACTGAATACTCCACATGAAAACAAATCTTTTCAAATGCATTGTTAAGCTGTGAAGAGAATAACGAAAGTTCTAAGAAACCAAAATCTAAATGAAAACACAAGTCCAGGCAGGCACTGAAAACCTAAAAAAAAAAAAAAAAACTGAAGAGGCCAATTGTTGGCAACCATGTGGAACAGCAGGAACTCTTCAAGCTGCTGCTGGTGGCGGAGGCCAAGCCACTGTGCTCCCAGAACACAACACAGAAGCCTCCACACTGAAGCAGAGCACAGGTGCCCTGGAGTCTCCACCCCACCCAGGGATCCTCCAGCAGAAGTGGGTGTGCCCCTGCATACCTGCAAGTCCCATATGCAGACCTACTGTTCAGGGCCGTGGGATAACAGCCAAAAATAGGAAATCATTTTACTCATCAATGGAAAAATGGTGACACAGTCATATAATGGAACTCAACAATGACGATAAATCAATGTCTGCCATAGACAAGAACATGGATGTGTTCTGTAATACTGAACCAAAGAAGCCAGGCTAAATAGAATGTGCTGTATTTTATAGAAGTCAAAACCAGGCAGAACAAATCTACATCAGGAACTGGGAAAGTAGCTATTTTGTGGGTTGGGGCAGCAGTGCCTGGGAGAGGCCACAGGTCAAGGCTACTGCTTGGTCCAGGGCGTGGCAGCCTGGTGTGCTACAGTTCATCTAGATGCACACTTATGATTCGGGCACTCTTCTGTATGTACATTAACATTTCAATAAAAAGCTTATTAAAACATTAAAGCTTTCAGAAAAATCCACATTGCTTCAGTAGAAATTAGCACATTAACGTTTAAAAAATACATGTATATGGTGGGGGAAAAAAACAGTTCAAAAGAGTATCCAGTGAAAAGTTTAAGAGGGAGTGATGCCAGCTAAGGGCTGATCAATAGCCCCTTGCACTCATCCCCTGACAAAGACAGCCAAAGCAGCAAACAGCTATATTTTGATGAAAGTCACTAAAGGAGAGCCCCAGAGTGCATCAAGGAGTAGCAGAAATCCAGTAGAGCCCGGAAAACAGGACGGTCACATAAAGGAGGGAAGGAAACATCTGGCCCCCACCACCCATTCCCCCAGAGGGATCAGCCTGAAGCAGAGGGGATGTCTCCCTGCAGGAATAAGGAAGCAAGAGGGGCCCAGTAGCCCCAGCACTCCCCTCAGAGAAGGAACTGACATTGTGCCCCACCCCCATGGACCAGCTGCTGCTGCAACGTGCCCTCCTGGACCTGGACCACTTCGGGAGCATGTCCCACCCAGGGTGAGCAGCCACCGCACCCTTCTTCCATCCTCAGGCTTTGTTGCTCTATATCACACCCACCTAGTGGCCCACCACCCCCGAGCCGCTGTTACACTGTCTTAGGCCATTTAGTGTGGCTGTAACAGAATACTTGAGACTCGGGGTAACTTATTTTATAAAAAAGGTTTATTTGGCTCACCCTGCTTGTGTCTAAAAAGTCCGAGATCGGGCAGCACAACTGGTGAGGGTCTTGTGCTGCTTCATCTCATGGGGAAAGTGGAAGGCGAAACAGGTGTATGCAAGGGGCTCACATGGCAAGAGAGGAAACACAAGAGTCTAGGAAGCTGAACTCACTCTGATAACAATCCACTCCTGGTAACTAATCCAGTCCCATGAAAAGGCATTAATCTATTCATAAAGGATCTGCCCTGTGACTCAAATAACTCCCACTAGGCCCCACCTCCCACACCACCACATTTGAAATCAAATTTCAAATGGATGAAATTTCAAATGGCTGGTGGGAACAAATGATGTCCACATCACAGCATACACCCCACCTGCGGGGCCACGCTGCTGTGCCCCTCCCCTCCCAGCTGCCATTGCGCCCTGCCCCTTGGAGCCTGAGCTGACTTGGTGCCCTGCTTTCCAGGGAATCAGTGTCTTGGCCAGTCTAAGCAGTCACACCCCCCACTGCATGAGAGCTGAAGCACTGCCCTGCTTCACAGGGAATCAGTGTCTTGGCTGAGCTGAGCAGCCACACCTGCCAGGGATGAGCCAACATGGCACCCCCATATCCCAGGAAAACGGCATTGGCTGAACTGGGGTACCTTGCCCTTCAGGACAAACAACTGTAGAACCCTGCTTCCTTGGAACTGGACTAGCCCTGGAGAATCTGAGTTGCCCAGGCACCTGCCTCCCCAGGGAGAGAAGTAGTTGCTGTACTGGTCCCTGCCCCCGAGGGCTCAAGCCACAGTAGTGCTCCACCATTCTGGGGTCCTTGCTGATGCTGTGCCTGGCCTTTCAGAGACTGAGATGCTGCTGTGTCCCACCACTGCAGGGTCCAGAGTCACTATCATGTCACTCCCATGTCCAGAGTCACTCCCATCCCCTGGGAGTTTACTTCTTAAACTCTTCGCAAAAACAGAGTGAGAGGAAATAATTCCAAACACATTTTACCAGGCCAGTATCACCTTAATACCTAAGCCAAACCAAAACACACACACACACACACACACACACACACACACACACACACACACACACACCGAACAAAAACTACAGGTCAACTTCTCCAATAAATTAAATACTGATGCAAACATCCTAAAAAAATTTTAGCAAATAGAATTCAACAACACATCAAAAACATTATACATCGTGTTTAAGTGGGATTTATCCCTGGCATGCAAGGCTGGTTTAAAATATGTAAATCAATCAATGTGATACATCACATTAACAAAATGAAAGATAAAATGACATGGTCACCTCAATTGATGCAGTAAAAGCATTTAACAAAGTTTAGCAACATTTCTTGATAAAACCTCTTAATAGTTTATGTATAGAAGGAAAGTTCCTCAACATAATAAACACCATTTATGAAAAACCCACAGTCTAATCATAGTTAGTGGGGAACAACTAAAGCTTTTCCACTAAGATTGAGTACAAGATAGGGATGGCCAGCCTCATCACTTTTATTCAACAGAGTACTTGCAAGAGCAATCAGATGAGAAAAAAAAGGCAACTAAATTAAAGAAGTAAAATTATCTCTATTTGCAGATGACAAGATCCTTTACGTAAAAAACTCCAAAGAGTCCACAAAAAACTGTGAGAACTACTAAATCAATTCAGTTAAGCTGCAAGGTATAAACTCAACATATAAAAATCAGTTGCATTTCTGTATACAAATAACCTAGCTGATGAAGCAATCAAGAAAATAATCTCATTTACGATAGCATCAAAGAAAAACAAAAACTTAGGAATAAATTTAACCAAGAAGGTGAGAGATGTGTACACTTAAAAACCATAAAACATTGATGAAAGAAATTTAGACATGAACAAATGAAAAGACATCCTATGTTTATGGATCAGAAGAATTAATATTGTTAAAATGTTCACACTACCCAAAGCAAATATACAGATTTAACACAATCCTCCTCAAAGTTCTGATGACATTCTTCACAGAACAGAATAAAACAATCCTGGCCAGGCACAGTGGCTCACGCCTGTAATTCCAGCACTTTGGGAGACTGCAGCGGGTGGATCATGAGGTCAGGAGTTGGAGACCAGCCCGGCCAACATAGTGAAACCCTGTCTCTACTAAAACTACAAAAATTGGCCGGGCATAGTGGCATGTGCCTGTAGTCCCAGCTACCTGGGAGGCTGAGGCAGAAGAATTGCTTGAATCCAGGAGGCAGAGGTTTTAGTGAGCCGAGATTATGCCACTGCACTCCAGCTTGGGTGACAGAGTGAGACTTCACCTCAAAAAAAAAAAAAAAAGAAAAGAAAAGAAAAAACAATCCTGAAACTCATATGGAACCACAAAAAACCCCAAACAGCCAACAGATCACTGTGAAAGAAAAAGTTGGAGGCATCACACCTCTTGATTTAAAATTGCATTACAAAGCTATAGTAATCAAAACAGTATGGTGCTGGCATAAAAACAAAAAAATAGACCAATGGAACGTAACAGAGACCTTTGAAATAAATCCAAACATATACTGTCAACTAATTTTTGACAAGGGCAAACAAGACAACACAATGGTAAAAAAGATAGTCTCTTCAATAATAGGATTTTCACATGCAAAAGAATAAAATTGGACCCTGATCATACACCATACACAAAAATCAACTCAAAACAGATACAAGACCAAAGACCCAAATAAGACCTGAAACCATAAAACTCCTAGAAGAAAACATAGGGGGAAAGCCTCTTGACATTGGCCTTAGCAATAATTTTTTGGATATCGCACCACAAGCCAGGCTACAAATGTAAACATAAACAAGGAGGACTGCATCAAACTAAAAAGCTTCTGCACAGCAAAGGAACAACCAACAAAATGAAAGGGGAACCTACAGACTGGAAGAAATATTTGCAAACCACATATCTGATAAAGTGTTAATATCCAAAAATCAGTAAAGAACTCTTACAACTTAAGAGCAGAAAAACAACCCAGTTGAAAAATGGGCCAAATAGGAAATGACCAATAGGAAATGGGGAGATGTACATTAAAATAATACAAAGTAGCAGACATGTAGGATGAACAAGTTAGAGATCTAGTGTACATCATGAGGGCAATAGTTAATAAAAATATATTGTCTTTGGGATTTTTGTTAAATAAGTAGATTTTAGCTGTTCCTGTCACACAAACAAAAATCTAACTATGTGAGATGGTAGCTATGTTAATTTGCTTCACTATAGTAACCAGTTTACTATCTATATGTATCCTTTAAGATCATGTTGTCAACCTCAAATATATAAAATAAAATTTATTTTAAAAAAGAAAAGTTTTCCTTCAATCCAGAAAGAACCACTATTACCATTTTTTGGTGTTCCATTCCAAAATATCCCACAAATATACAATTGTTCAATCAAATTTAACATTAGACTTTATACTTGAACATTCAAAGTATGTAAGAAATTATAGAAAAGTGTCTGTGTGACTCCCTGTCTGTAGAGCACAGGCTTCATCTCCACTAACACACACACGACCAGTACCTTATACAGAGAGTCCTTGTTTGTCTTTAGTCTGACACCATGGGCGAGCCTGAGTTGGCCCGTGGTCCACATTCCTGACCAGGTGTCTTTCTCACCCACTGGTTTCAACAAAGATGTTACTGGGTTATAGAAGGCTGGGATGGAAACAGGATACCAAGTTCGCATGAAGACAATATCTGAAAAGAGGTAATTTACTTTAACGTTTTCAAAAGAAGATTCATATCCATATTGTGAAGAAACAAAGAACAAAATCTTCACTCCAAACTTCTCTACCTGACTGCAAAGTATTTGAAGGGAAAGCTCGCTAAGGAAACTATTCTCATAGATCAAAGAACTGTTACTGGGTGTGGCCAGGGGACTGCAGACACAAGGCAAATGGGCACACTGCATAAGACTGGGAGATCTAAGGCTGGAGCTGCTCAACTCTCTGGAGACCTGACTCCAGCCTCTCGTCACACTGGCTAGAAGTCAAGCATGAATGGTAACACCCTGCCCTGAACACTACTTAAGACACTCACCGCTCATCCGCAGCTTATCCTCAAAGCTATCCTGGAAAGCTCCTTCTGGAGCTCAGAGTGCTCTCTTGATCTGCCCCCTTATCCCACTGACAGTTCGAATCACAGCATCTTCAAATTTGGCCACTTCCAAGGCAGAATTAAACATTCCCTACAGGTATAGCAAGATAAAAACACACACACACACAAAATCATATACTTTATGCTTTACTTCTTACTTCAAACATACATCCGTGATTAAAGAACAAAAACAACTCACTGAAGGGTGATAAAATAATCAAAATGTATTTGCCCCTGAAAGTGGAATTACTACCTCAAAAAGAATACAACTCTTTCATTTTCCCCAAAATAATCATGTGAGTTCATGGGCATGCTCATCACTGCTGTCTGTGTGGAAGAGAAGATCGAAGAGGGATTTACTGGACTGAATTGGCCTAGGAAGCCTTTGCTGGCATCTCTCAGACTGGACTGCAGCCCAGATCCTTTTACTCAGATGCATGCACTTAGAACATGAAAACAGTAAGATAAACGCCAGTGGTATTATTACCTTATATTGCAAGAACATTTTATGACTTCCTAACTCTGTTTTCAATAGAAACATCCCCACTAATGAAATTGTCAATAAATGCTGCTCAAACCACCCTCCCAAAATACTGAAAAACAGTACATCCGTTTCTCTGTACCCTTGCCAAGTTGTCTGCAAATGCTTTGTCGATTTTTCTACTGAGTTAGACAAACTTGTGATTTTTTTCCCTTTCTTAACACCAATTTAAAAAGTAGGAAACAAAACCTAGTGGATAAAATGACATATTTTCAATATGAGTTCTGTGGCAGTCTCACATGGAAGTCAGGAGTAACAGCCTCAATTCCTAAATAGCTGTTTACCACTGCTTTTTTGAGCATATTTAAGTAATACAGAATATAAAGGAGCAAACAAAATATGAAGTTTATAAAAGATTTCAAACACTTTTCTAAAAATAAGAGGCCCACATTTTAGAGGTATTTCATTCCTTTTCTCAAACAATATGGACATTTATAAATATGAGAATATATAGATATACAGACCTTAATAAATGAAGTGTTCTTGAAAATTTTATATGGAAAACCAGTTAGCTTTAATTTCTTCACAATTTTTATGGATTTATCCAGATCAAGGACAACTCCTGTGGCAGCTATCTGAAAATCAGGCTAACAGGAGCCCCAAAATTTGAAAATAGGAATAATATTAGCAAGAGAAAAACTTCAATTCTATGTGACACAATAAATTACCAAAGTGAATTTTACTTACAATTAGTTAAGAAAAACAAGAGAGACCATCTGAACTTGCAACCCATTGGTTTGACAAAAGCAATCCAAAACTTTAAAGTTGGTAAGCCAAACTAACAAGGGTGACTTGAGGCCAGGCACAGTGGCTCATACCTGTAATCCCAGCACTTTGGGAGGCCAAGGCAGGTGGATCACCTGAGGTCAGAAGTTTGAAACCAGTCTGGCCAACATGGCGAAATTCCGTCTCTACTAAAAATACAAAAATTAGCTCGGCATGATGGTGCATACCTGTAATCCCAGCTACTCGGGAGGCCGAGGCAGGAGAACCGCTTAAACCCAGGAGGCAGAGGTTGCAGCGAGCCAAGATCGTGCCACTGCACTCCAGCCTGGAAGACAGAGTGTGACTCGGTCTCAAAAAAAAAAAAAAAAAAAAAGAAAGAAAAAAAAAGGCTACTTGAGTACTTTCCTGAGAGTGATTTCAGAGGAATGTAATTTTACTATAATGATTTATTTGGAACGAAATGGAAAAGAAAAATACAGTTGCAATGTTTAGGAAATTAAAATTTGGACCTCCAGGGAAGATTCCATCTGCTCATTATTCTGCTTTCTTCTCTGTTAAATGGGACCAGTAAACCCTGCCCTGCCTGACTGGTCAAATGAAAATGGAGTGAACAGACTGCTACCCCAGCACAGCTGCAGGGAGTCTTGTGTCTGGGTGGTCTCTGACGGCTCCTCATAACCTCATATAGTGCTTAGCACATGGTGAGCACTGCTTAAATACTTGCTTGGATAAATAAATGCAAAAGATGCATAAAAATAGGAAATGTACCATTATAATTCTTCCACCTCCCCTCCTCTAATCCCACACCCTACTGAAAAGGATGTACGAAGATTAAAAGCAAAGGGAAATTTACTTTATATTAATAAAAATGAGTAATTTTCAACTTAAAGTCTCATGTACATAATAACCCACATTCAGGATATATTTCTCAAACCAATCTGTAAAAGAAATCATCCAAGATAGTTACCATTATGCCACTGACAGACTGTATTGCCAAGAAACCAGTTCCCTGTGGAGTGATAGGGTCTTAAAGGAAAAGGAAAAAAAGAAATATAGCAAACCAGAAATTTTAGATTCTAGTTTAACATACTGGATATGGACACTTAGATTTGGATATAGATGTACATATATACTCCAAACCACCTCCCCGCTCCCAGAAAAGAGAAACATCTTAGGAGTGGAATTTTATGAAAGGAAAAGCACAAAGCTAAAATAACACAGCCTGTAAAGTTTAATCTCGGCAATAGGCAAGTTATTGTAATCATATTTTACCCCAAAAGGCGGCTCCACAATGGATATGCTGTGGCGTATACTTTAGAAGCCTTTGTCTTCCATTGTGGTCTTCGATATAATAGAGCAGGATGGTCTGAAACCTCCTCCACCCTACAGAAAATATGATTGGATCTTGGGACTTGAGGATTTTCTTATACCAGAGATGTTTCTTCAGACGCATCTGAGGGGGATGAGAGGGTAAGATGATTGATGGAGGGGAAATCCACAGAGCCTCAGGCACCAAATACGCAGCAAAGGGACCCACCTGCACATGTCCAACATTTCCCTCACTGTTGCCCAAGCCACCCAGGATAATGGGGTAAAGGGGGTCAAAGTTCTGCACAAATTCACAGGGAACATTTTCAATCTCAACGCGGACATACATCCCAGGTCGAAAACCCTCATACTGAACTCTGGCTTCATCATCTTGATCTTCAAATTCTACGTGATTCAGCTGTACATGATGGGGTGGGGGGGGGGAACCTGTATGCTGTTATTTGTAATAAACATAGGATTAACATGAACAAATGAGCAATTTCTAAGTAAAGGAACTGTGGACAGAATTATGTAGGCTTTATCCTATTAAAAATACTACACATTTGGCCGGGTACAGTGGCTCATGCCTGTAATCCAGCACTTTGGGAGGCCGAGGCGGGCAGATCACATGAGGTCAGGAGTTTGAAACCAGCCTCGCCAACATGGTGAAACCCTGTCTCTACTAAAAATACCAAAATCAGCTGGGCATGGTGGTGCGTGCCTGTAGTCCCAACTACTCAGGAGGCAGAGGTGAGAGAATCGCTTGAACCTGGGAGACGGAGGTTGCAGTGAGTCAAGATCGTGCCACTGCACTCCAGCCTGGGCAATAGAGCGAGATTCCATCTCAAAAAACAAAAAAAACAAAAAAAACCCTACACATTTTACCTCTACAGTCTGTTCAGAATATGTCCCAACCATTTTCTTCTCTCCTGCTCCAAGGGACAGCAAATGTAGATAACTGTGGAGCCCTGCGTGCTCAAACATTGGAAACATCCCCAGTCCACACTTTCTTTCCTTCCTCTCCAAATAATTCTTTCACACTTTTCCCTTGTCTTCAAACACCCACCACCACCCTCACCTTCACTCAGCTGATGGCTGTTTCCTGATTCACTCCAAAACCAAAAGAACCTCTACGGTCAACCCTATACCAGGGTTTCCTCCCATATCCAGCCTTATCAGAGCTCTGACCTGCCCCATAGAGGAGCTATGTGTGGCTATTTAAATTAAAATTAATTACAATTACATAATATTTAAAATGCAGTTCCTCAATCACACTAGTCACACTGGAAGTGGTCCATATCAACCTGTGGCCAGTGTTACAATATTGGGAAGCACAGATGTGCATCTCCATGATCACAGAAAGTTCTACGGGCAGCTCAGGCACAGATGATTTGTCCATGCCTCTACTCAGGGCCACACATCACTTGCTCACTAGACACCATCCACTCTTCCTGGACTTTATTCCAACAGCTCTTCCCTCTGTTCTCTCTCTCATCTCAAAACCTTTTGATTCCACTTCTTCCACCAAAAACTGCTTCATTTCTCTGCTTCTCTCTGCAGCAAAACCCCACAAAAGTTTTCCACAGTTGCAGCCTCCAGTTCCTCTGCTCCCATTCTCCTACATCCATGAAAATTGGTGCTTGCCAAGATCGCTGAAGGCCTCCACGCTGAAAGACTCCTCCGGTGGTCAACTCTGCCTTTACCATAGTTAACACTGCAGCGGGATCTGAACAGTGTTTCGCCTCCGTGTACAACTGGACTCCTGCGTGCCTGCAGGCTCACACTGCTTCTCCCTCTCCCTCCTAGGCACTGCTCAGGCCTCACGGCCGCAATCGCCCCATCTCGCCCATGCCAGTCTTGCTCCTCCCAGTCACTCTGCACTCACTCCCCGGCCACCTCACAGAGTTAAGTGGCATCTACATGCTGAGGGCTGTACATCTAAGTCCCTGGCCAGACCTGTCTCTCCAGACTTGACACTCCGCTTGTCTGCATGATACCCAGCCGAAACAAACATCATCTTCCCAAAACTGCATCTGCAGACAGTTTCCTATCTAACCTGCAACAACCCATCCTTCCAGGAACTTCCAGTCGCCATCCTCATTTCCTCACACACCCCACATTCAGTCCACCAGGAGATCCTACTGACCCAGCTTCCAAATAAACTCTATCCGGGTTTGACTCTTTGTCTCATCTCCACTGCTAGCCCTCTGGTTTGTGCCACCGGACTGATCTCTACCGGACTGATGTCTTGGCAGAGTGATCTGATTACCTGAATGTCTCTCCTCTGCTCAAAACCCTCCAAGGACTCCCATTTCAGAGTGAAACATTCAGTCTCTTCCAATGGCCCACAAGGCTCTAGGTAATTTTAAATTGTAAATGGTGTGAAGCAGAAACTTCAGAGTTAGCCTAGTCATGCCTTTCAAAGGTCAACACAGACTAGCAACCACTAAGCTAATGCCTAATCAGGAAACAGTCCTTTGACTAGATGAAGATCTAGGATGAAACTCCGTTTCACAAATCATATACCTAATCTGTTCCAGCTTACACAGGCACTCCTGGCCTCACTAACAAGACGCAACTCAGATGCTCACCATCAACTGTACACACATTTCTGTGTCTGTCTCCTTCAGAGTGAGATCACCGCCTCCAGCAACCTGCTCAGCACCCCCAGGCAGGAGGGCCACACCATCTCCCTTTATCTCCGCATCTGACCTTATACTCCACATGTCCTTCTGAACTCTGACCAGGATGAGTTTTCAGAGCTGGGGAGTGGAGCCTGGGCCTGCGCCTCTCCGCGCCTGCGCCGCCGCTGTGCGCCTCTCCGCCGCTGTGCGCCTCTCCGCGGCTGTGCGCCTCTCCGCCGCGCCGCCGCCGTCCGCCTCGCCGCCGCCGCCCGCCTCGCCGCCGCCGCCCGCCTCGCCGCCGCCGCCCGCCTCGCCGCCGCCGCCCGCCTCGCCTCCGCCGCGCCGCCGCCGCCCGCCTCGCCTCCGCCGCGCCGCCGCCGACCGCCTCTCCGCCGCGCCGCCGCCGACCGCCTCTCCGCCGCCCCGCCGCCCCGCCGCCGACCGCCTCTCCGCCGCGCCGCCGCCGACCGCCTCTCCGCCGCGCCGCCGCCGACCGCCTCTCCGCCGCGCCGCCGCCGACCGCCTCTCCGCCGCTGTCCGCTTCTCCGCCACGCCGGCACCGGCGCTGTGTGCCTTTGCAAGGGCGGAGCTGCGTTCTCCTCGGCACAGACCCGGAGAGCATTGCGAGGGCGGAGCTGCGTTCTGCTCTGCATAGACCTTGGGGCACTGCCTCGCTTTGGGACAACTCGGGGCCGCATCGACGGTGAATAAAATCCTTCCTGTTTGCAGCCATGTTTGTGGTTGGTGGCAGCGATGGACACTGCAGCCAGCCAGTGTAGAAAGGCATTGGGGTAAGTGCGCCATCCAGGCTGCACTGCTGGTGGCCTGGGACGGGTTGGGAGCCCTATCTCAGGCGTCACTGCCCGTCTTGGGTGGCTGGTTGGGTGTGCTATCTGGGGCTGTGCTGCCTGCCGGGGGCGGGGGGGGGGGCGGTTTGGGGGCTCAAACCGGGGCTGCACTGCCTTTGGCGGGGAGCCGGTTGGGGGCACTATCCCAGACTGTATTGCTGGCAACAGTGAGGTGGGTTAAGTGTGCTATCTGGGGCTGCACTGTGTGGCTGTGGGGGGGGGGTGGCGGTTTTGGGTTGAGGGCGCTATGGGCTGCTATAATGCCCATGGTGCGGGGAGGCGGGGAGGTTAGGGTATGTTGGGTGTGCTATTGGGGGGGGGCGACACTGCTGGTGGTAGGGGGCAGGGTGGGTTGGGGGCCATATCAGGGGCTGCACTGATTGCTTTAGCTAGGATTTCTGGTACTATGTTAAACAACAGTGGTGACAGGGGGCATCCTTATCATGTTCCAGATCTTAGAGGAAAAGCTTTCCATTTTTCCCCATTCCATATGATTCTAGCTGTGGGTGTCTTTCCTGTAGTTTTTATTATGTTGCGGTATGTTTCTTCTGTGCCTGTTTCTTTGAGGATTTATAGCATGAAGGGATGTTGAATTTCATATGCTTTTTTGGTTTCAGTTGACATGATCATACAGTTTTTGTCGTTTATTTGGTTGATATGATGTATCACATTGTATGTTGAGTGACTCTTGCATTCCAGGGATACATCCCAGTTGATCATGATGAATTATCTTTTTAATGTATTACTGAATTTGATTCACTGGTATTCTGTTGAGGATTTTTGCATCAATATTAGAGATCCTGTCCTGTAGTTTTCTTCTTTGATGCTTTTATCTGATTTTCGTATCACAGTAATAATGGTCTCATAGAATAAGTTTGGAAGTATTCCCTCCTGTTTTTCAAAATAATTTGAGCAGGATTTGTACTAGGTCTTTAAATTGTTTGGTGTGAAGCCATCAGCAGTGAAGACATCATCAGTTCCTGGGCTTTTCTTTACTGGGAGACTTTTTCTGATGGCTTCAATCTCATTACTTGTTACCAATCTGTTCTGGTCTTGGATGTTTTCATTGTTTAACCTAAGTAGGTTGTATGCATCTAGGAATTTGCCAATTTCTACTAGGCTTTCCAATTTATTGGCATATAATAGCCAGTTATGATCCTTTGAATTTCTGAAGTATTAGTTGTAATGTCTCCTTTTTTTAATCTGTTGATTTTATTTATTTGAATCTTGTCTCTTTTCTTAGGCTGGTTAAAAGTTTGTCAATTTTGTTTAGCTTTCCAGAAAACCAACTTTTCGTTTAATCTTGTGTGTTTTTTATTTCAATTTTGTTTCTGCTACGATCTTATTTATTTTCTTATTTTCGGTTTAGTTTGTTCTTACTTTACTAGTTCTTTAAGATGTATTGTTTATTTGAAGTTTTTCTTTTGTTTGGATGGTAGGCACTTATAGCTGTAAATCTCTGCCTTTGTACTGCTTTCTGCGTAACAAGTTTTGGTATACTGTGTTTTCATTACCCTTTGTTTCATGAAATTTTTGAATTTCTGTCTTAGTATCTTCATTGACCTTTATTTATTCAGGTCATTTATTCAGGAGGGTAGTGTTTAACTTCCATGTGATTGTATTGTTTCCAAAATTACTTTTCTTATTGATACCTAGTTTTATTTCTTTGTAGTGAAAGAAGATTGCCACGGAGACAGACAGCAGCATGGTCAGTGTGGTAGGAGCCGGCCATCAGCGAGAGCTGCTCCATGCCTGGCTGCTGGGAGCTAGAGCCTGCGGCCCACTGGCTTGCCTCACTGTAGTTGGTGGTGGCAGTGACAGAGACTGCAGCATGACCAGAGTGGTAGGACAGGGGCTATCCAGGGCTGCACCTTTCGCAGTGTGGGGTGGGTTGGGGGCGCTATCCAGGGTGTCATTGCCTGCATTAGGGGTACTGGTTGGTAGCACTGCACAGGACTGCACTGCCCACAGCAGGGAGGGTGGGTTATGGGTGCTTTCTGGGGCTGCAATGCCCATGGAGGAGGACAGGTTAGGGCATATCGGGTATATGCTACTGGCGGCATTGGGGGACGGAGGTGGGGGGCGCTATTGAGGGCAGGACTAGCCGTGGAGCGGGGGCGAGTTCGGTGCTATCAGGGGCTGCACTGCTGGCGGCAGTCAACAGAGTTGGCATCCAAGGAAGGAGTGGTTCTCCTCTCCCTGACTCCACACTCCAGAGGGCGAACCACTCTTGGTCATACTGGAGTGCGGCAGGGCACGCAGCGTTTGCATGGGAATCCTGAGCATGGCAGAGCCCCCACACCCACCGTGGTTCCTGGGCCTGTGCACTCTGGGTCTGTGCCTCAGAGGCTGCCAGGCACCCCTGGGGACACCACGGGGAACAGGGCCCTGTGTGTGGAGGCATCCGGAACAGGAATTAGCACCTGGGTGCGGAGGGCTGGCTGGGTCTGAATTTTTCTGCTTCTCCTGTTCCCCGAGGAGTGCAGCCCCGGTGGGCCCAGTGGTTCCTGTGGAGTGGGGAGCTGGGTGCTGTGGTGTCTCCAGCACCCACCCCAGACCCCAGTTCCCGGCCAGCTTGGGCCAAAAGGAGAGGCTGGACTTTGGAGGGTGGGTGTGAGTGCCTTTGCTGAAACTGGCCCCTGCCACCCAGTGGCCGGCATGACAACTTGAGGCTCTAACGCTTCCACTCTTCACAACTTCCTCTAGGCTTTTCTGGCTTTGCCCGCCCAGCTGCTCCATGCCAGGAGGAGGAGGAGACACCTAGAGCCTGCAACACCACGGCTCACCTCGCTGCAGGTGGGTGGCAGTGACGGAGACTGCAGTGCGCCAGAGCGGTAGGAGAGTGGCCACGCTAGGAGGGCGGGCGGCTGCAGGCAGGGTTGGGAGTCAGGCTTACAGCGATGGACGGGCTGCAGCAGTGGCCAGGTGGTAGGAGCCTTGTAGGGAGGGCTGGTGCATTGGCAATGGGCCTGGCTTTGCCCTGTGCCTGCCGTGGATCTGGCCCTGTACTGCCCTGCCTTGCCCTGTACCTGCCCTACTGTTACCTGGACTCTCAGCCCTGTCCTGCTCTGGTCCCATCCTGACCCTGTCTTGGCCCCGTGCTACCCTGTCCCTGCCCTGGTCTTGCCCTGGCACTGGCCCTGCCCTGAACCTGCACTGGCCTGACCTTGGCTCTGGCCCTGGCTCTGGCCCTGCCCCTTGTCCTGACCCTGGTCCTGTCATGGCACTGGCCCTGCCAGTGGTCATGGTCCTGCTCCTGTTCTGGCCCTGACCTGGCCTTGGAAATGTCCTGGCTCTGCTTTGGCCCATCCCTGCCCTGGCCCCACCATGGGCCTTCCTGTTCTGCCCTCTCCTGGCACTGACCTGGCCCTGTCATGGCCCAGTGGTGCCATTGCCCTGCCTTACCCTGCGCTGGTTGTGCCTTGGCCCCGCTTGGTGCTGGCCGCTTCCTGGACCTGCCCTGGACCTGCCCTGACCCTGCCTTGGCTTTTGCCCTGCCCTCACTATGGCCTGGCCCTGGCCCTAGCCCTGGTCCTGCCATATCCCTGACCCTGCCCTTATCCAGGCCCTGCCCCTGCTGCTGCCCTGGCCCTGGCCTGGAACCTGGTCCTGTCAAGGACCTGCCCTGACTCTGCCATGGCCCTGGCCCTGCTCTGCCTTGTTCCTGGCCCTGACCCAGACCCAGACCCTTTCCTGGCTCTGCACTGGTCTTTCCCTGGCCCTGAGCTGGCAGTGGTCTGCCCCTGGTCTTGCCATCACCCTGCCCTGCTGTGCTCTGGATGTGTCATCACCCTGCCCTGGCTCTACTCTGCCTTTGACCCTGCCCTGGCCTTGCCTTGGCCCTCACCCTAGTCTTCGCTAGGCCCAGCACAGACCTGGCTCTGACCCTGGCCCTGGTCTTTGTCCTGCCATAGCTTTGGCCCTGAAGTGGACTTGGAGGTGTCCTGGCCCCGGTGTAACATGGCTCTGCATTGGCCTGTCTCTGCCCTGCCCCTACCATCGCCTTGCCCTGCTCTGCCCTGTCCCAGTACTGACCCGGCCACGCTATTTCCCCGCCCTACCCTGCCTTGGCTGTGCCCTGGCTCGGTTCTGGCCCTGGCCCCGGCCCTGCCCTGCACATGCTCTGACACTGCCTCAGCCTTGGCACTAGCCTGGCTCATTCTTGGCATCAGCCCTGCTCTCTCTGTGGACCGGCTCTTGTCCTGTCCTGCACTGGCCATACCATGCCCTGCCCTGCCCTGCCCTGACTCAGCCCTGACTCAGCCTTGGCCTTGGCATTGCCCCTGGTCCTGCCATATTTCTTGCCCTGTCCCTACCCTAGCCTTGGCCCTGACCCTTACCTTGCTCTGGCCCTGCCCTTGCCCTAATGCAGCCCCTGGCCCTGTCATGACCCTGCCCTGGACCTGTCCTGGCCCTGGCCCTTCCCTGCTTGAGACCTTGCCCTGGTTCTCCCATGGCCCTGACCCTGAAATGCCTGGCCCTACCCTGGCCTTGCCCTGCTCTGGCCCTTGCCCTGACTCTGGTCCTGTCACTGACCTAGCCCCAGCCCTGTTGCTGGTCTTACCATGGCCCAGACCCTGCCTTGGCCCTGCCCTGACACTGTCCTGGACCCTGGCTGTGCCAAGAACCTGCACTGTCCTTTCCCTTGTTTTGCTCCTGCCCCAAACCTGGTCCTGCCCAGGCCGTTTCTATGGCCCTGGCCCTGGCCCTGCCCAGGTCTTGGCACTGGCCTGGCCCTGCCCTGCCCTGGCCCTATGCTTTCCTGGCCCTGCCTTGGCCCTAGCCTGGCTTTGACCCTGCCCTGGCCCTACCTTGGCCTTCACCCTAGCCTTACCAGGGCACTGTGTTGGACCTGGCCATAGCACAGACCTGGTTGTGGCCCTGGCCCAGACCCTAGCCCTGCAGGTACCGGTCCTGGCCCAGCTCTGGGCCTGGCTTTGTCCCTAATTCTTAGATGACCCTGCCCCTGCCCCTGCCCTTGCCCTTGCCCTGGCACTGGCCTTGGACATGTCCGTGGTCCTAACCCTGGCCCTGCCCTGGAGCTGCCACTGTCTTGGCCCTGCCCTGGCTCTGGCCCTGCCCCGGCCCTGGCCCTGCCCCGGCCCCAGCCATAGACCTGCCCTGGTTGGTCGTGCCCTACCTTAACCCTGTGCTACCCTGGGCCTGCTCCACCCTGCCCTGGCCCTGCCCTCCCTTTGGCCCTGCCCTGACCCCGTCTTGGCCCTCACACTGGCCCTAGCACAGACCTGGTCCTATCTGTGGCCTTGGCCTGGCATTGACCCCTGCTCCTGACCCTGGTCCTGCCATGGCCCTGGCCCTGCCAATGACCCTGGCAGCCCTTACCCTGGCCCTGAACTGGCCCTGCCCTGGCCCTGAAGTGGATTTGCAGGTGTCTTGTTCATGGTTTAACCTGGTCTTACCATGGCCCTGTCCCTCCCCTGGCTCTGTCCTGGTCTTATGCTGACCCTGACCCAGACCTTGGCCCTGCCACAGCCTTGTCCTAGACCTGGCCATGGCCCTGCGTCTGCCCTGGACCGGCACTGGCACTGGCATGGACCCTGGCCCTGGCCCTTCACTACTTAAGGCCATACCCTGGCCCAGCCCTGGCCCTAATTTGGCCTGGCTCTACCCTGGCATGCTATTCTGGCCCTAGCCCTGACCCTGTCCCTGTCCCTGTCCTGGTCCTAGCCCCGTTGCTGGTCCTGCCATGGCCCTTGTCCTGACATTGCCCTTTCCTGGTTCTGGCCCTGGCCCTGTCCCAGCCCTGCTCTGGCCCTGGTCTGAACCCTGGCCCTGCAATAGACCTGCCTTGGTCCTGCCCAGACCCTGGCTCTGGCCCTACCTCTGCCCTGGCCATACCCTTGCCCTGGCCTGGACCCCGGTCCTGGTCCTTGTCCTGCCCCAGCCGTGGCCCTGGCCCTGCCCTGCCTGTGCCCTGTTCTATCCTGGGCTGGCCCTGCCATGGCCTGGTCTTGCCATTGCCCTGCCCTAGCTTGCCCTGCTTGTGCCCTAGATCTGCCCCGCTTGTGCCCTAGATCTGCCCCGGCCTTTGCCCCATCTTGGTTCTAGCCTTGACTCAGCCCTGGACCTTCCCTGACCTTGCCTCAGCCCTGGCACTACCCTGGCATTGCCTTGGCATTTGCCCTACTCTCTCTATGGCCTGGCTGTGGTCCTGCCCTGCTCTGCTCTTGTTCTGTCCTGGCACAGCCCTGGCCCTGGCCCTGGCCCTGCCGTATCACTGGCTCTGGTCCTGCCCTTATGCAGACCTGACCCTGCCACTGCCTTGGCTTTGGCCTGGACCTTGGCCATACAGTGACCCTGCCATGACATTTTCCTGGTCCTGGCCTGGAACCTGGCCCTGCCAAGGACTCGCCCTGGCTCTGTCATGGCCCTGGCCCGTTCCTGGATTTGGATGTGTCCTGTCCCTTATTTGCCCCGGCCCTTCCCTGGCTCTGCCATACCCCTTCTCTGGGGTAGGGCCAGGGTCAGGACCAGACCAGGGCAGGGTCAGGACCAGGGTAGGGCCATGTTAAGGCCTGAAGATGGGAAGGGCCAGGGCAGCGGCTGGACCAGGGAAGGGTCAGGGCCAGGGATGTAGTAGGACTAGGGGCAGAGCCGGCACTAGGGCTGAGCCAGGGCAGAGCAGGAGAGATTACTTTAGGCTATTACTAAAATTTTTATTTTAGATTTTTAAGATAACTATAGTAGTAGTAATGTCTATACTATGTTGTTTGTAATAGTAATAATACTTGCAGTAATCACTAAATTTTAACTAATACTATCTTTGCTTCCAGTAGTGTTCTATGAGTATAATTTTATCAACATGTAAATATGTGAGGCATTGATTCTCATAATAATTCTATATGCTAGGTACTTAAAGCATCCCCATTTTCCAAATGTAGGAAACAGGCAAAAAGAAGGTAAATACTTGGCCAGATTACTCCTGTAATCCCAGCACTTTGGGAGGCCAAGGCAGGCAGATGGCTTGAGCTCAGGAGTTTGGAACCAGCCTGGGCAACATTGTGAAACCCCATCTCTACTAAAAATGCACAAAAAGAACTAATTTAAGTTTCTTGTAGGATTCTGGTTATAAAACACTGGTCAAACACACAGGGCATGGATAGGGCAGGGCCAGGGACAAGGTCAGGCCAGGAAGGGGCCAGGGCCAAGGCAGGGCCAGAGCTGGACTTGGAGGTGTCCTGGTCTGATTTGCCCTGCCCCAACGTTGGCCCAGCCCTGCTCTGGCACGTCCTGTCATGCCCTGTCCCTGGCCTGAGCATTGGCCCTGGCCCTGTCCTGCTTCTGGCCCTGCCCCGGAGTTGACCAGGCACTGCCATGGCCCAGTCCTGCATTGCCCTGCCCTCCTCTGCCCTGGTGCTACCATGGCGCTGCTTGGGCCCTAGCTCTGCCTCGACTCTGGACCTGCCCTGACTCTGCTCAGCCCTGGATCTACCCTGACTCTGCCTTGGTGTTGCCCTCCCATCTCTATGGCCTGGCTCTGGCCATGCCTTGCACAGACCATGCTCTGCCCTGCGTGCCCCAGCCTGGGCCCAGCCCTCATCCTACCATATTCCTGACCCCAGCCATACCCTTGTTCTCGCCATGACCCTGCCGTGGCCCTCTCCTGGCCCTTCCTTGATCCTGCCCTGCCCTTCCATGCCCTGGCCTTGCCCTCACCCTGCATTGGCCCTGCACTGGTCCTGCCCTGCCCTGGCACTGCCTTGGCCCTGGCCCTGCCTTCTTCCTGGCCTTGCCTTTGCCCTGCCCTGGCCTGACCCCAGGCCTACTGAGTCCATGAAATGGCCCTGGACCTGCCTTGCCATCCTCTGTCCTGGCCCTATATTGTCCCCACCATGCTCTGGTCCAGCGCTTGCCCTAGCCCTGTTGCTAGTCCTGCCACTGCTATGGCCCTGCTCTGTTTTTGGCCGTGCCCTGTGCTACCCTAGCCCTGCCCTGCCTTGGCCTTGGCCCTACCATGGCCTTCTCCTACCCTGGCCTGGCCCTACCCTGGCCTTTTCTACCCTGGCCTTGCCCTTCCCTGGTGTTGCCCTGCCCTGGCCTTGCCCTGCCCTGGCCTTGGCTTTGCCTTATCCTGGTCCTGGTTCTGCCCTGACCCTGGCCTTGCTCTGGATCCTCTCTGGTTCTGCTTTCTCCCTGGCCCTGCCCTTGCTCTGGCCCTGTCCCTGGACCAGCCTTGACCCTGACCCTGACAATCCCCAGGTCTGACACTGGCCATGCTTGGCCCTGGCCCCTCCTTTTGGCCCTGCCTTAGCCCTGTGCTATCTTAGTCCTGCCCTGGCCCTGAACTCGCCCTGGTCCTACCCTCACCCTACACTGGCCCTGCCCTATCCTGGCCTTGCCCTGCCCTGGCCCTGCCTTTGGCCTGCTCTGGCTCTGGTTCTGCCCTGGACTTGCCCTTGCCCTGGACCCTCCCTGGCCATGTTTTTCCCATGGTCCTTCTCTGGCCTTGCCCTTGCCCTGTCCCCTTTCTGGTCCTGCCATGTTTCTGGCCCTGCCCTGTCCAGGTCCTGGACCTGACTCTGGCCCTGGACCTCCCTGTCCCTGCCCTGCCATACCCTGGCCCGTTCCTTGCTCTACACTGACCCTGCCCTGCCTTGGCCCTGTGCCACCCTAGCCCTGCCCTGGCCTTCTGCTGACCCTGATCCTGCCATGGCCCTGGCCCTGCCATGTCCCTGCCCTGGCCCTGGTTCTTCCCTGCTTCTGGACCTGGCCTTGGTCCTCTCATGTCCCTGGCTGTGACCCTGCCCCTGGTTTTTCTCTGGCCATGACCCTGCCCCAGTTCTGTCCTATCCCTGGCCCTGTCTCAGTTCTGTCCTAGCCCTGGCCTTTCACAGTACTTTATGCTTAGTAAGGGCTCCATGGTGTCTGTGAGTTGAATGTTGTGTTCATAGTATCTGCCAAAACAGAAAGAAAAAAGTAAAATATTTTGATAAGAAGTTAAAGCTTTGTATATAATATGCCTTGAATTGTAAGTGCCTGTTATTAGTTGTATTACATATGGGTCATGGCTTTGTACACGTAACTCCAAACCATTGATACTGTTAAAAGGATATATGAATATATGAAAGAATGTATAAACGTAAGAATGTATCAGTATCTAATGACCTTTCCAAATTAATTTTTATTTTTAGCTCTATTAGATTTTTCTCAGTGTAACAAATGTTTATTCTTATGTAATTAAGGGTGTGTTTCCTGTACAGAATATTCATAATACCTAATTGAAAATTATATGATACAAAAATATAATACTATTTTTAGGCCAAGCATGGTGGCTCATACCTGTAATCCCAACATTTTGAGAGGCCAAGTTTGGAGAATCATTTGAGTCCAGGAGTTGACCAGCCTGGGCAACATAGTGAGACCTTGTCTTTATTAAATAAATAAATAAATAAATAAATAAATAGGTTGGGCACTGTGGCTCATATCTGGCATCCCAGCATTTTGGGTTGCCAATGCAGGAGGATTGCTTGAGCCCAGGAGTTTGAGACCAGCCTGGGCAGAATAGCAAGACTCCATCTCTGCAAATAATAAAATATTAACCAGGTGTGGTGGTGCGCACCTGGGGTCCCAGCTACCTGGGAGGCTAAGGTGGGAGGTTTGCTTGAGGCTTCAGTGAACTGTGAATGCACCACTGCATTCCAGCCTAGGCCACAGAACAGGACCTTGTTTATAAATAAAGAAATAAGTAAAAATATAAATAAAAAGTAATAACTATAAGTAAATATAAATATAAAAATGCATACATGAAAAGAAACAATTTTTAAATTTAACATCACTGAGGGCATCCTATCCATTTCATTTCATGATTCCATTACATCATTTCACTTAGATGAAATGATGACTTGAGATGAAATGATGAGATGAAATGACGAAATGATGAGATGAGATGATGAGATGAAATTTTGAGATGAAATGGTGAGTAGAAATGATGAGATGAAATGATGAGACGAAATGACAAAATTGAAAAGAAATTGAAAGGAGAGGAGATGAGATAAAATGAGATGAAATGAGATGATGGATGAAATGAGATGAAACGAGATGAAATGAAATAATGAAATGATATGAAATAATGAAATTGTAATGAGATGATATGAGATGAAATAATGAGATAAAATGATGAGATGAGATGAACGATGAGATGAAATGATGAAATGAAATGAGATGAAAAATGATGAGATGAAAAATGAAATGAAATAATGAAATGAGATGAAATGAAATAATGAAAGGAAATTATGAAATGTAATGATGAAATTGAAATGAGATGAGTTGAAATGATGAGATGTAATGGTGAAATGAAATGATGAAATGAGATGAGATGAAATGAGATGAAATAATGAGATGAAATGAGATAATGAGATGAGATGAAATCATGAGATGAAATGATGAAATGAAATGAAATGATGGATGAAATTATGAGATGAAAGATGAAATGTAATGAGATGAAATGAAATGACATAATGAAATGAAATAATGAAATGAGATGAAATAAAATAATGAAATGATGAAATAATGAAATGAAAATGAAATGGAAATGATGAGATGAGAAGAAATGATGAGATGAAATGATGAAATGATGAGATGAGATAAAATGAGATGAAATGATGAGATGAGATGAAATATGATGAGATGAAATGCCATAATAAATGAAATGATGAAATGGAATAATGAAATGGAAATGATGAGCTGAGATGCAATGAGTTGAAATGAGATGAAATGATGAAATGATGAGATGAAATGATGAGATGAGATGTGATGAAATGATGACATGAAATGATGACATAAAATGAGATGAAATGAGATGTAATGATGGAATGAGATGAGATGAAATGATAGATGAGATAAAATGATATGAAATGATGAGATGAATGATGAGATGATGAGATGAATGATGAAATGATGAGATGAGATGATGAAATGAAATGGTGAGATGAAATGATGAGATGAAATGAAATAGTGAAATGAAATTGAAATAAAATCGAAATGAGAGATGAAATGATGAGATGATGAAATAAAATGATGAAATGATGAGATGTGATGAGATGAAATGATGAGATGAAATGATGAGATGAGATGAGATGACATGAAATAATGAAATGAAATTGAAATGAGATAAGATACGAGATGAGATGAAATGATGAGATGAAATGATGAAATGATGAGATAAGATGAAAAGGGTTGAGATGATGAGATGAAATGAGATGAAAAGATGAAATGATGAGATGAAATGAAATGATGAGATGAAATGAGGTGAAATGAAATTAGATGAAATGTAATGAGATGAAATGAAATGACATAATGAAATGAAATAATGAAATGAGATGAAATAAAATAATGAAATGATGAAATAATGAAATGAAAATGAAATGGAAATGATGAGATGAGAAGAAATGATGAGATGAAATGATGAAATGATGAGATGAGATAAAATGAGATGAAATGATGAGATGAGATGAAATATGATGAGATGAAATGACATAATGAATGAAATGATGAAATGGAATAATGAAATGGAAATGAGCTGAGATGCAATGAGTTGAAATGAGATGAAATGATGAAATGATGAGATGAAATGATGAGATGAGATGTGATGAAATGACATGAAATGATGACATAAAATGAGATGAAATGAGATGTAATGATGGAATGAGATGAGATGAAATGAGATAAAATGATAGATGAGATAAAATGATATGAAATGATGAGATGAATGATGAGATGATGAGATGAATGATGAAATGAAATGAGATGAGATGATGGAATGAAATGGTGAGATGAAATGATGAGATGAAATAGTGAAATGAAATTGAAATAAAATCGAAATGAGAGATGAAATGATGAGATGATGAAATAAAATGATGAAATGATGAGATGTGATGAGATGAAATGATGAGATGAAATGATGAGATGAGATGAGATGACATGAAATAATGAAATGAAATTGAAATGAGATAAGATACGAGATGAGATGAAATGATGAGATGAAATGATGAAATGATGAGATAAGATGAAAAGAGTTGATGAGATGATGAGATGAAATGAGATGAAAAGATGAAATGAGATGAAATGAAATGATGAGATGAAATGAGGTGAAATGAAATTAGATGAAATGTAATGAGATGAAATGAAATGACATAATGAAATGAATGAAATGAGATGAAATAAAATAATGAAATGATGAAATAATGAAATGAAAATGAAATGGAAATGATGAGATAAGAAATGATGAGATGAAATGATGAAATGAGATGAGATAAAATGAGATGAAATGATGAGATGAGATGAAATATGAGATGAAATGACATAATGAATGAAATGATGAAACGGAATAATGAAATGGAAATGAGCTGAGATGCAATGAGTTGAAATGAGATGAAATGATGAAATGATGAGATGAAATGATGAGATGAGATGTGATGAAATGATGACATGAAATGATGACATAAAATGAGATGAAATGTGATGGAATGAGATGAGATGAAATGAGATGAAATGATAGATGAGATAAAATGATGATATGAAATGATGAGATGAATGATGAGATGATGAGATGAATGATGAAATGAAATGATGAGATGAGATGATGAAATGAAATGGTGAGATGAAATGATGAGATGAAATGAAATAGTGAAATGAAATTGAAATAAAATCGAAATGAGATGAGATGAAATGATGAGATGATGAAATAAAATGATGAAATGATGAGGTGATGAGATGAAATGATGAGATGAAATGATGAGATGAGATGAGATGACATGAAATAATGAAACGAAATTGAAATGAGATAAGATACGAGATGAGATGAAATGATGAGATGAAATGAAATGATGAGATAAGATGAAAAGAGTTGATGAGATGATGAGATGAAATGAGATGAAAAGATGAAATGATGAGATGAAATGAAATGATGAGATGAAATGAGGTGAAATGAAATTAGATGAAATGTAATGAGATGAAATGAAATGACAATGAAATGAAAAAATGAAATGAAATAATGAAATGAGGTGAAATTAAATGAGATGATAAAATTAAATGATGAAATGAAATAATGAAATGGAAATGATGAGATGAAATGAGATGAATGATGAGATGAAATGATGAGATGCAATGATGAGATGAAATGATAAGATGAGATGAGATGTAATGATGAGAGGAAATGAGATGTAATGAAATGAGATGAAATGAATGAGATGAAATGAAATAATGAAAGGAAATTGAATTGAGATATGAGATGAAATGAGATAAAATGAGATGAAATAAATGATGAGATGAAATGATGAAATGCTGAGGTGAGATGAAACGATGAGATGAAATGAAAGGATGAGATGAAATGATGAGGTGAGATGAGATGAAATGAGATGAAATGAGATGAAACGAGATGAAATGATGAAATGAGATGAGATGAGAAGAAATGATTTGATGAAATGAGATGAGATAAAGTGATGAGATGAAATGAAATGAAGTGAAATGAAATAATGAAATGAAATTGAAATGAGATGAGATGAAATGAGATAAAATGAGATGAAATGAGAAGAAATGAGATGAAATGATGAAATGAGATGATGAGATGAAAAATGATGAGATGAATTGAAATGAAATGAAATAATGAAATAATGAAGTGAAATGAAATGATGAATTGATGATATTGAAATGAAATTGAAAGATGAGATGAAATGATGAGATGAAATGAAATGTTGAAATGATGAAGAGATGTGACATGAAATGAGCTGAAATGAGATGAAATGAGATTAAATGATGAGATGAAAAATGATGAGATGAAAAATGATGAGATGAAATGATGAGATGAGATAAATTGAGATGAGATGAGATGAAATAATGAAATTAGGTGAAATAATGAAATGAGATGAAATAACGAAATAAAATTGAAATGAGATGAGAGGAAATGAGATGAAATGTTGAAAAGAAAGGAGGAAATGATGAGGTGAGATGAAATGATGAGATGAAATGAATTGAGATGAAATGAGATGAAAAATGATACGAAAAATGATATAAAAAATATGACATGAGATGAAATGAGATGAAAAATGATACGAAAAATGATATAAAAAATATGACATGAAATGAAATGAGATGATATGAAATGACATAATGAAATAAATGAAATTACATGAAATGAAATAGTGAAATGAAATGATGAAATAATGAAAATGAAATGGAAATGAGATGAGATGAGATTTGATGAAATGATGAGATGAAATGATGAGATGATATGAAATGATGAGATGAGATGGGATAAGATGAAATGAGATGAAATGATGAGGTGAAGTGATGCACTGTCACGTGTGTGTCTTTTTCCCAACCAACAAAAATTATAATTCATTAATTTTATTATTTAAGAATATTCTTAAGAGTTGAAGGAAAAATAATATCTGTACATTATGGGTTACAATTAAGTATAAATAATACATAAATATATTAAAACTTACAAAGAATATGTTTCGGAATCGAATATACCATGCTTCTGTGATGACAGTTATTTCATGCTGGTTGTCACAATTTTACATGAAAAACTAATGAAACAATGTTTTTAACTGTTTCTAAAAATAACAGTTTCCAAAACAGTTTTACATTCAAAATATGAAAAAGATGTCTTTGTGTTCCTTAATCTGATGAGATTTTCACACTCTGCACATGATAGTTAGATTTTTATTGTGTTGATAAATTGTATATCAAATAAAAAATGTTATTACCTCTTAAATTAGGATTTTTAGGTGATATAGGCAGAAAGGAAGGCAAGTTTTTATAACTTTGTCTAAATGAACTTTCTAAATGCCTGAGTATTAAAAGATAGCATGTCTATAAATGACAATGTATATATTACTGTATGACCTAGGACCAATCAAAACCGTTACCTCTGATAACATTATATTGTGCCCAGTATAAAATAGATATAATAATACCTCAAATCCAGGCATTGTCATTGAATATGTTAAGAATATGCAGCAAAGGTGCTTTTAAAAATACAAGCTAGTGATTGTACTAAATTTGTAAATCACATAGGATAGTGGGTCATTTTAAGAATATTATTTCAATCTATAAACGTGGATGTCTTTGCTTTTTTATGTTTTCTTTAATTTCTTTCATTAATATTTGTCATTTTTGTTGTCGAAATCTTTTACTTGGTTAAATTTATTTCTAAGTACATTTTTGTAGCTATTGTAAAAGGAATTGCTTTCTTAATTTCTTGTTTCAGCTAGTTTACTATCAATATATAGAAATGCTACTGATTTTTGTATGTTGATTTATATCCTGCAACTATATTAATTTCATGTATCACCCTGAGAAGCTTTTGGTAGAGTCTTATTTTTTTCCATGTATAAGATCACATTGTCTTTAAACAAGGACAATTTGACTGTCTCCTTTCCAATTCAGATGTCCTTTATTTCTTTCTCTCACCTAATTGTCCTGGCTAAGACTTTCACTATGTGAAATATGATTGGTGAGAATAGGCATCCTTTTCTTGTTCCAGTAAAATCTTTTTCTTGTTCACAGTAAAATCTTTCACCTTTTCCACACTCAGTATGATCTTAGCTGTAGATTTGTCCTTTATGTCCTTTGTGTTAAGGCATATATTTTCTATACTAAATTGTTGAGAAGTTTTTTGTCATGTAAGAATATTTAATTTTGCCAAACGCTTTTATTGTGTTTATTAATTTAATCATATGGTTTTCAGTATATATCCAAAGGAAAGAAAATCAGTATATCAAAGAGTTACCTGCACCCCCATGTTTATTACAGCACTATTCACAATAGCCAAGATATGGAATCAACAAAAGTGTCCATCAACAGATGAATGGATAAAGAAATGTGACATACATATATAATGGAATATTATTTAGTCATAATAAAGAACAAAATCCTGTTGTTTGTGGCAACAAGAATGCAAGTGGAGGGCATTATGTTAGGTGAAATAAGCCTGGCATAGAAATATAAACACCACATAACTACGTGTTCTCACTTATGTATGGAAGCTAAAATTTTTAATCTCGTAGAAGTAGATAGTAGAGTTTTGGTTACCATATCCTGGAAAGAGTAGGAGAAAGAAGAGTATAAGAAAAATGTGCTTAATACATACAAAATTACAGCTGGAGAGAAGGAAGAAGTTCTAGTTCTCTACAGCACTGTTGGGTGACTGTAGTTAATGGGAATTTATTGTGTGTTTTCAAATAACGAAAAGAAAAGATTTTGAATATTCTCACTGCAAAGAAATAATACATGATTTAGGTAATGGATATGATAATGACTCTGACTTGATCTTTACGCATTGCATAAATATATCAAAATATCACTCTGTACCCCATAACATGTACATTTATTGTATGTCAATTAAAGTAAATTTAAAAGAGAAAAAATGAGGTAAAGGTAAATGTACAGAATTTAATTACTTTTTCTTCTATAAAACCCGAGTCAGTACCAAGAAGAGTCAATTTATTAGTTTTCTAAAATAAAAAAAATCAAAATCACCAAAAAAGAGCAATATCCAAGAAAACATTGAAAAGGAAACACAACATTTAGTAAGAATAGAAAACTTGGGCACTGTATCACCCTGTTCCTAGATACCGATTTACTGATGGCCATTTAAATAGAATTTTATTCTATCTAATTCATTTATACTCCCAGAGTTTGAAATTACATTTTACCTACAATAAATGAGATAACACTTGTAAATTATATGGTACTCTGCCTAACACACGTTAATAACTCAATAGATGTTAGCAATAAACTTTTAGTATAGTAGTCAAAGTATTAATTTCTCACATTGCAATTTCCTTCAAAGACATAAATACAACCTTTCTAATTACTCCTTGTTCATCAAGATACCTCTTCAAATTATTCTATTTGTTTCATTCAGTATATTATCTGTGTATACCGATATTACACTCTTTTCTTTTTTTGAGATGGAATCTCATTCTGTTACTGATGCTGGAGTGAGGTGGCATGATCTCGGTTCACTGCAACCTCCACCTCCCAGGTTCAAGCGATTCTCCTGTCTCAGCCCCCCAAGTAGCTAGGACTACAGGTGCACACCACCATGCCTGGCTAATTTTTGTATTTTTAGTACAGTCAGAGTTTCACCCTGTTGTCCAGGCCGGACTCGAACTCCTGACCTCAGGTGATCCACCCACCATGGCCTCCCAAAGTGCTGGGATTACAGGCATAAGCCACCGCACCCAGCCTGATATTGCACTCTTGGATTTTGAACACTGAATATCTTTTTGAAAGATTACACCTCTTTACCTCTTCGTGCTTCAGAAATTATTTTCCTTCAAGTGTTCTAAGAGGCTAATGAAGAATGAAGTCATGTTTTATCACTTTTGTCCTTAAAGATTTCAGACATGCTGAAACTGATTGAAGTATCATTTGCTACCAGATAGATTAGTTATCTCTAGTTGTAGGAGTGGATACATCTTTAATGGTATATTTTGGTTTATTGTCTTATTTTTGATGTAGTATTCTATCAATAATTTATTAAACCTGGCATCCTTGAGTGAGCATGGATTTTTCAACTTCGGTGTTATATTGTGTTTGCTTTTAAAAACTGCTTTTGAGGCCAGGTATGGTGGCTCTTGCCCATACCCAGCACTCTGGGAGGCCAAGGTGGGCGGATTACCTCAGGTCAGGAGTTCAAGACCAGCCTGGTCAACATGGCAAAACCATGTCTCTACTAAAAACACAAAATTAGCCAGGCATGGTGGTGCATGCTTGTAGTCCTAACCACTCGAGAGGCTGAGGCAAGAGAATCACCTGAACCTGGGAGGCAAAATTTGCTAGGTTGCTGTGAGCCAAATTCGCATCATTGCCCTCCAGCCTGGGTGAAAAGAGCAAAACTCTGTCTCAAAATAAAAAAAAAAAAAACGACCAAAAACTGCTTTTGAATGGAGTTGTACATACAATTTTGATGAAAAAAATTACCAAGTGCATAAGTTCATAATAGAAAAACCAATAATACTCCAGGCACAAGTTAGTACTAAAAAAATTATGTTGAATATGCTCTAATACAACATGCTTTTTCCCTTCATGAACAATTTGTGTTTTACTGAGAAGAGTCATTGTTTATGGTAGACATTAGACTACAGATGAATATGCACTTTAAACACTCTTAGTTGCTTTCTTAATTTTATATCTGCTGCTTTATGCTTCTGTTTATTTTCATTCTTTCCAATGTCCACATTCTAGTAAATTTGAATATTTTAATCCAAGTTTATATACTATTTAATATTGCTTGTATAGTTTAGTATTGTTAAGACTCAAAAAGGTTTACAGAAAGAAGAAAAAGATCAACATGTTATTAATCATTTAAAGATCATTTTGAAATCTTTGACCTTTATATTTTAATGAATAAAATATTAGTAGTTATTAGTATAAAATAATTTATGTCTTTTGGACTTAGCATCCAGTATTTCTTTTTTAATAAAGAAAATAATTATTCTCTTGCAATATACTATGTTTACCTGGGTTTTGAAAAGTGATGTTTCCTAATATGAGAAAGCCATTTACATTTTTAAATCTACAAAGGCAAATGGAATGGTACTAAATTATTTATATAATAATGTTTAGATGGTGGCCCTTATAACATTCTTTCTATACTTCCTACAGAGTTGGGGATATGCAATCCTGGAATATTTCTGGGAGCTAATCCTTTAGCTTGATGAATGAAACAAGACTTTTAAATAAAATTAAACTTTCAAATTATCCAGGTAATGGGCCTGTCTTTTAATTCAATGGATATGGAGCATAATGAATTATCCCCTGTTCATTGGGTAATAAGTTCTCATTCTTAATTTATAATACTCAAAATATCCTTTAATTTTTAATTTTTGATAGTCATATCATTATCCCTAGGTATTTTAGCTTCTATCTTAAATTCTAAAATAATTTTGAGACAGGAGAAAGTATTCTTTATTACTATATGTATTAAACATCATGGTTTTCAAATTTAACTGCAAATGTATCTTTTCATTGCTTCTTGGTGACGCCCTTCACCCTATCCATATTGTCACTACCAAGTGGTGATTACTTTTCAGGTTCACATACTTATTCTTTAGAAAAATCTTCTCTGTGCCTTATAAAGAATATGATTGTTGGCATTGAAAAGCCAGTGAAATATACATTATTAGCCTGTTGCCTAACTCATTTATTTAAGAAACTACACTAATTACCCACATACTTATGTTTTTATTTACTCATTATTTCTGGAGAAAACAAATACTGCTAACATGATATTTGTAAGAGAGAAAAAAGTCTTTTCTTGAAAAGTGCTGTCATTGTAGTACTAACTTATAGTATCAACTTCTTTATCAACTCCTTATACACTTTTTATTCTGAGAGAAATAAAAAAGCTAAAAGTGAAATGACTTTGTAACTCTCCATATTATAAGCACCCATCTTGGTAATTTAGGGTCTTTATAGTTAGGGTAAGTTGTGTCATACCGAGGTTACAAAATAAAAAGTATTTTGTCTCTTTGGGCCTTTCCTTATTCAGTAATACTGTCAGTTTGGCTTTTTTTGTAGGTCAACTTATTGAACTCAGTATTCTGAAATAATGTGTTTACTATCTTTTGATAAGCATTTAAAATATTAGATTTATTGTTACTCGTCTGCCTTCATTGGGCTGGAAGAATAATTGTTTCACTCCACAAAAGCCAAGTTGCAGAGAAAAACACATAGACATTCAACTGCAAAGCAGAGAAACTTGACTATTTTCTGCAATTTTAAAGTGTATATTGAATAAAACCATCTTTTTATTTTCTTTTTTGCTCACTGGCAACTATTAACAACATCAAGTGCGTTATTATAATGTTATCTAGTTAAAAATCTCAAAAAGTTTTCATAATTACCATTTAAAAATATATAAATAAGTGACCTAATGTTAATTTTTATTGTCTGAGACCATGTCTGTTATTTCACTCTTTAAATTCAGTTAGTAATGCAGAACCTAGCACTTAGTAGATACTCAAAAATTATTTGCTGAATAAAAAAAGGTTAAACATGTAATATACACAAAATGTACTGGAAAAAATGCACCAAACAATTTTGTTATACCAGTTTAATGTAAATATTGTCTTTAAAAGATAATATAGTTTTCAGGTGTCTACAGTGATTTTGTAATATTTGTGCACATATAAAGTAATATTTCCAAAAATGTAATCCAGTGGGGAAATATACTTTCTAAATTCTAGATTTATAATTTAGGGTTTAAATTATAAAATCATTAAATAAGACACAAGTGAAATATAGTCAAATATCCCCTTGGAAAAAAATTAAGTGGCCTCTAAAGTGAGGTATTCATATATGTAATTTTACAATCCTCTAGTGATAGAATTAATTAAATATGCCACCAAATTGATTAATTCCTACAGTGTTAAAAGAGAAGCACTAACAATGCCAGTGACCATGTAACATGGATTTAAGCTACAAGTCATAGAAATGTGATGAGAAGCCTCAGCACTGTAAAACCGAGGGTGGAGGAAAGCTTTTCCTCTCTCAAATGAGCTTTGCGAGGTATACTTCTTGAAGGATAGGAAGTTGAAGTGTTCAGGACTTTTATGTCTATTCTACTTTGGCTTAGTTTACATGATTCTTAGTTTATTAGCCTAGAAATGGCCAAGAAAACTTAAGGCTCAATATTTAGTTATAAATATGAAATATCCCCAATTTTTAAGATAAAAACAACTTATAAATGTATTTGTCTGTAAAAATTGTGTATATTTTTACAGAACATCTATTTCTTTCTTTATTTTTTTATTTTTTTTATACTTTAAATTCTAGGGTACACATGAACAATGTGCAGGTTTGTTGCATATGTATACGTGTGCCATGTTGGTGTGCTGCACCCATTAACTCATCATTTATGTTAGGCATATCTCCTAATGCTATCTCTCCCCCCTCCCCCCACCCCACAACAGGCCCTGGTGTGTGATGTTCCCCTTCCTGTGTCCAAGTGTTCTCATTGTTCAATTCCCACCTATGAGTGAGAACATGCGGTGTTTGGTTTTTTGTCCTTGCGATAGTTTGCTGAGAATGATGGTTTCCAGCTTCATCCATGTCCCTAGTAAGGACATGAACTCATCATTTTTTATGGCTGCATAGTATTCCATGGTGTATAATGAACCTGAAACGGGAAAGGGCGAGATTAACTAAGCCTGTTTGCCATGGACAGCAATGGGGTTGCTAGAAGATTAGCTGTGTGGAAAAATTATGCATTTACCTTTGGGCATAATAAAATGCAATTGACTCTCCATATTCATGGGTTCTGCATCCACTGATTCAAACAACTGTGGAACAAAATTGTCAGAAAAAACAATACAACGATAAAAAATGATACAAATAAAAAACAACATGGTATACCAACTATTTACGTAACATTTACATCGTATTAATTGTTATTAAGTAATCTAGAGATTATTTAAAGTATATAGGAGGATGTGTGTAGGTTATATGCAAATACTACACTATTTTATACCAGTAACTTGAGCATCCATGGATTTTGGTATACAAGGGGGATCCTGGAACCAATTCCCCATGCATATCAAAGGATGACTGTATGAGTTATCTGTAAAATGGTTTGGTTGAAATGTTTAGAAAACAGCTAGAAATACAAGACTGGCTGTTGGATGAAAAAAACATAGGACTAGGAAATTCAGGTATGCTAGTCTTTTTGAGTATTGCTTAAAGCCATGGGAAAAGAGCTCTCTGTGAGTTCCAAGACAGATGCAAGGACTGGCATTCATGCACAGCTTCTAACAGATAAATCTGAAGAGTTCTTAGTATGCATGTTGACTGAAATTACTTTAGAAGTAATTTTTCTCCTGGTGATAAAAGGCATGTAAGGCTATTTTAGGAAATTGAAAAATGCAAAAAGGTATAAAGAAAAAGAAAAGATAATCATTAATAGTACGTTAGTAAACAAGACTTGACTAAAGATACGACTTTCCTCCCGCTTGTTTTCTTATGCATATAAAGGGATAGGAAATATGTATGTATGTATGTGTGTGTATAGGATCATGCACTGTATATAGCTTGCTTCTTTTTCCATTATGATAATTTTCCCATGTCATGAATTACGGCTTGCAAGTGCTTATTCTTAAAGGGCTGCATTATTTTTCATTATTTGGATTTATTGTTATTTAATTGGAGCTCTATTATTGAACATTTAGATTGCTTCCAAAATTTTTTGCTCTTGTTAATATATTGTAATAAACTTCTGTGAAACACATACTCTTCACCTGCTACTTACATATGACTTCTGTAAGCAGAGACCTCTGTATCCCCAGGACCTAGAAGGTTACCCAGACATAGTAGTTGCTTAATTAAAAAAAATTATTGATTGAATGAAAGAAGACTATTAAATGTTCAGTTCTTCTTTTTTTATTCTGATTCCCTGTGTATCCAGGGGCCTCTTATTTGGCTGCATATATGAGTTTGGCTGTAATGAAAGTATTGGCCGTATATGACCATAAACAGGCATTCCTATTTCTGTCACAGTTATATTTGTCATTCTGTATTAATACATCTATATCCTGATTTCTATTGAAGCATGGTTAATTTTGTTTGCTTCTAAGCAATGTAGCTACCCTGTTGATGCTGATAAAAATAAATTTCTGAACCTATAAGACTGAGGATTGGGCCTAGGTTGTAGTAAATTGGCAAGATAATGGATGCTACCCTGTCAAGAGTCCTCTGAAGAGAAAAGTCTGCCACCCTTCACCAGGTAGAAACTCCAGGCAGTGCCACATTTTCCAGTTTGACGCCCTGTGATACCCTGAAAAGACAGATGTTTGACTCTTTTCAAATAATATTTTAACATATTTTAAGACGCAAAGGCATTGTGTCGGACTTTTTTCTTAAGAATATATTTCATTACCACTCAGAAGTTAGCTTCCAAAAGAAATAAGTGTGTGCAAAGGTTTATGATAGTGGTGTAGAGAAGTTTTTAAAATAAATGTGCATCTTTTATGGTAATAAAAGTACATTACGAAGAATTTTTTAGGTCCAGTTCACAGATTCCTTGTGCCTGGGGAAAACTTTATTAGAAAATTAGATAATTTCTAATTTGATTAGGGGAAGTCTAATGGGAAAACTTTTTAACTGAGTGGTCCAATTTGAAACATGAATATCTGTGCTGGAAGCTTCTATTGAACTTTACTTAAGTCACATCTGAGCCCCTCTGCCTGTCAGTCCACCATTACCCTAACAGTGGTAGAAATTCTTTATATGACACCTAGATCTTTTTTTGTTGCACTTTTAAGCTGTGTAGGAAACACACTGCCCACATGTTCATACAACACAGAGTGATTATCCACTTAGTTCCTAAAAAGTTGTGTTTGGTTATGGGATTTGATCCCACTTGTCCAGGGTTTAGGTCAGCTACTGAAGATTAGGATATCTGGGTACCTCTTACTGGAGAATCCATTCCTGTTTTCATTTCATTCCTGGGGGCAATATTCAATCTGGTGTGGCCCTCTGTATTATAAAATGTTTCCCAGATTGTGTTTATCTGAAATACAAATCCAAGAAGAAGCATGGTGTTAATTGCCATGTAAAAAAGATTCCAGAGTCAAGAGCTTGAGAAGTTCTATTCCTTCCTTCATAGGTTCAGTTGTTTAACTCAGCATTTTTCAAACATATTTTACTCCTAGAACCTGTTTTTCCTCAGACATATTTAAGAAAAAAGCGTTTTGTAGAACACATTTGGACAAATGATACTTTATATCATTGCTTTGTTTTTTAAATTTTAGTTTGACTCAATTTTACAGTTTCAGGATTTTGTTTCTGTTTCAGGTTTTAAGCTTTTCTTTTATAAATAGTTACTTTCCTAGTCTGAAATCTATACATTGTTTCAGTAATGAATTCATTATGTAAATTTGCCCATCATTCATCTAAAGGGAATAAACATTAAATTGTTTTTTTAAATTTTGACTTGTGTCACATATGAGAATATAAAGTATATCTGTACAATAAAGCAAAATGAAACATCAAAGTATCTACCTCAGGTTAAGAAGCAGAACTTGGCTGGGCATGGTGGCTCACACCTGTAGTCCCAGCACTTTGGGAGGCAGAAGTGGGAAGATCACTTGAAGCCAGGAGTTGGAGACCAGCTTGTTCAATAAAGGAAGACCTCATCTCTAACAACAACCACAACAGCAAAAAATTAGCCAGGCACGGTGACACATGCTTATAGTCCCAGCTACTGGTGCAGCCTCGAACTCCTGGTCTCAAGCCATCTTCCCACCTCAGCCTCATGTTGTAGTGAACTTTGTTATGCAGTGTCTCCTATTCTACTTGTGCAGGAGTATTTTTCCAGTATGTACCTGGAGTGGAATTGCTTGGTCATTGGGCATGTGTGTGTTCAGCTCTATTGAGTGGCATCATACTGTTCTCCAAGGCAGTTGTACCAATCTACACCCTCACCAGCAGTGAATAGTCTTCCCATTGTTCTTCCTCAATGAAACTAGATATTCACAGCCTTTTAGGTTTTTCCTAGAGTATGAAGTGGTATCTCTTTGGGGTTTTAATATTTATTTCCCTGATTAGAATTGTAGTTGAGTATCTTTTATTATGTTTATGGGCCATTTATGTTTTCTCTTCTGTGAAATTCCTATTCGGGTTTTTTGCTCATTTTAAATGTTGTTGTTTGTGTTTTTCTTATATAGGAATTCTTCACGCATTCAAGATGCACGTATGTTGTTCAGCATAGTACCTGAGACATAGAAACAACTTTGTAAGAATAGCTATCATTACATTACCATTGTATTTAATCCTTTGTTTTTATGTGTTACAATTATCTTCTGCTAATTTGTGGCTTATTTTTCATTTTGTAATGCTCATTTTTTAACCTAGTATTCTATTATTTTAAAAATACACAATCTTGAGTAGTCTACATGTTCATAACCATGACATATTCATGTTGCATTTGTTCTGTGTCATAACCCAGAACTTTCTTTTTTTTTTTTTTTTTTGAGATGGAGTTTTGCTTTTGTCACCCAGGCTGCAGTGCAATGGCGTGATCTTGGCTCACTGCAACCTCTGCCTCCTGGGTTCAAGAGATTCTCCTGCCTCAGCCTCCCGAGTAGCTGGGATTACAGGCACCTGCCACCATGCCCAGCTAATTTTTGTATTTTTAGTAATGGTGTTGTTTCGCCGTGTTGGCCAGGCTGGTCTCGAAATCCTGACCTCAGGTTATCTGCCCACCTTGGCCTCCCAAAGTGTTGAGATTACAGGCATGAGTAGCTGCACCCGGCCAACTTTCAATCTTAAGTACCATTTTTTGCTGCTGTTTCTTTTTTTGAACCCCAGGAAAAAATTAACTCATTTAATCCCCTATTCAAACTGCTACAATTTTATTTTCAGTGTTGTCGCCTGGTTGTAGATGCATTTGTCTCTCCAAATGCACTGTGATTATTTCGAAGACAAAACATTTTTGGCATTGTGATATATATATATATATATATATATATATATATATATATATATATATATGTATGTATATATGTATGTATATATGTATATAATATATATTGTATAAATATGTTTTATATATCATATAAAATTTATATATAAAAATTATATATATATATATATATATATATATATATATATAAAAATGCCACTTATCCCTAATATAGGGACTCGATTAGTTTCTGCTAGTGTGGAGACAAGTCATATCATGGCTAGGGGCCATGATGGTAGGAGCAGTCAGAGGATTTCTTGCATTGTGATGAGTGCCTATAAGTTAAATGAGCCACTTATCAGTAGATTTGATAGCAGGATAATAGTTATATCACTGATACCTAGGCAGTACATGACACTCGGTAAAGAATAGATTAATCCTCGTGCTCTTCATCTTCCTCCTAATCTCTTTACCTGTGCTGCCCTCCAGCTTTCAAAGTGCTCTGAGTCATCACTTACACAGTGTTCCTTAGCTGCCCCTTCAGTGAGCCAGTGTTTCTGTGCCCCAGTGTTCCTGAGAGTTAGAACACAGAAAACAGAGCAGGCTCTTGCCCACATCACAGAACATCTTTGTCTCCCTGTGGATCCCGCACATTTGTTCATTAGAGCTCAGGAATTGCCAGAGACTGGCTTTTGTGGCAATGGACACTAGATTCTTCAGAAGAATATTGGTTGAAATCTTCCTGCTGTGACAATTCCCTGCATGCAGGGCAGGAGTGTGTGCTTCTTCCCAGCAAAGGCAGAGGCAGGGCCTACAGAAACTGTGCCCGCAGCCTATAGTGATGGGGTCTATGAGGTAATTCAGGCAGATGAGGCAGGTGAGTTCTTTCTGGAAGGCTTGTGGGAAGTCTAAGTCCATTTTTCTGAGGGAAGAAAACCAGAAGAATTTATTCTTATGCCACAGAGAGGCAAAGATCTACACAAAGTTTGAATCAGGTTTTGAGTAGGATTCGCTCACAGGTTTAAATCTATAGCAGGATACGATTTTATTTTGCACATAACAAAAATGAAAAACTGAGGCATAGAATTCAAGCTTTGCAGAAAAATGTGTTGGCTCCCTAACCAACACACACACACACACACACACACACACACACACACACACACACACCTACTTTCCAAATTCTTTCCTCCTGTATGAAAAAAACTTAAGGCTGGGCACAGTGGCTCATGCTTGTAATCCAGCACTTTGGGAGGCTGAGGCAGCAGGATTGCTTGATCCAAGGAGTCCAAGACCAGCCTGGGCAACATGATGAGACCCTGTCTCTACAAAAAGAAAAGGAGAAAAAAATTAGCTGAGCATGCCAATAGTCCCAGCTACTAGGGAGGCTGAGGTGAGAGGATTGCTTGAGCCTAGGAGGTCAAGGCGGCAGTGAGCCATAATCCAGCCACTACACTCTAGCCTGAATGACAGAGCAAGACTCTGTCTCAGAAATGAACAAAGAAAGAAAAAGAGAGAGAGAGAGGGAGGGAAGGAGGAAGGAAGGAAGGAAGAAAAGGAAGGAAGGAAGTTTACAGAGTTTTTTGAGGTGTTAGTGTTCCCTAAATTGTATGGTCTTCAGAGGTTTACCCTCCTATAGCTTCAAGGGGTGAGTCCTGACTGGTAGGAAAATCAATCACACTCTTACTTGCCAGTGATTCATTTAGGGAAGACAGCTAACTAAGCTCTTCCACTTTGATTATTTCATTTAATTGTAACAACCATCTTATTATGACTTCTTCAAAATTACCCTGCCAGTAAGTGTTGGAGGACTCCCCAGAAGCAGAAACCACCATGCTTCCTGTATAGCCTACGGAACCATGAGCCAACTAAAGGTGTTTCTCAGGTATTTCTTTATATCTTTGGCCAAAATTAAAGAGTTAGGCTTTACTCTCCAAGATACTGCAATGGACAAAAACAAGCCACCACTGTTTTCTAATGTTGTTGTCTTGTTAATTCAATCAACAAGTATTTTCTGGTAAGTTTAGTGTTCCAGAGACTGGTAACCTGGTGATGCACCAGTTAATAAAACATCCTTAAGAGAAATAAAAGTTGAAAAATGAACCAGATGATAAAATGCAGTAGTGTACACAATGCCACTTATCCACAGGTCTTCTGTGTGTCACCCATGATCCAGAAAATGTCTTTAGTATAAGCCATTGATAAAGATGCCTGAAAAATTTACGTATAGAAGACATAGTCACAAAATTATTTTTTTCCTTTGATATCCCTTGTTACTTCAAACAGAATTTACCACTCCAATTCGATTTCTGAATACATGGGAGTTAATAGAATACTTCTAATCCATTTATAGGATCTACACTAAGTAAAAAAATTAAAGACATCTGAAAACTATTTTGTGAGTCCTTATAATCCATATCAACAATCATGGAATATATTAAGTAATAGACCAAAAATTAATCATCATATTAACCAAAAACACATAGCAAGACAAGATAACTAAATATTTTCATTTGGAAATTGGGAAATTTAGTCAATTTTAAAACTCAGCAAATGAGATCATTTCACAGAAGCAACCTAGGTTTGCTGGTAAATTAAAATTATGACGTTTTGGTTTGGGAGGGTAGTTCCTCTTCTGTAAATTGTGTACTCACATAAGAAATATATCTATGTTCTCACGGACACTTGCTGTAGAGGTAATAATATGAAGTTAGCTCAGGGATCAGGGCCTCACAGTGCAGTGCTGGTAGTTTTTTTTGTTTTTTTTTTGTTTTTTTTTTTTTTGCCCTGCACCTTGAGTAAAAGTTTCCTGAGGCCTCCCCGGAAGCAGAAACCACCATGCTTCCTGTATAGCCTATGGAACTGTGAGCCAACTAAAGGTATTTCTCATGTATTTCTTTATAGGAATGCAAGAGCGTACTAATACAGCTAAGCAGAGGCCATCAGGACCAGCAAAAGTCTGAGCTGGATGAGAGACAAAGCTAAACTTTGAGCAGCAGCAGGAGCTGCCAGGGATTACAGAAAGGAAGGACTGACTCCTAAATTCCAGGATGTCTCCTTTAAGTCTGTAAGAAGCTCAGCCACTGTCTCCTTACCTGACTCCTCTGGGAAAGAGTTTCCCTAGGTTAAACCATACAGGGATAGGGTAGGAGATGCCATTTGGATCTAGGAGCAGAGGGCAGAGACTCAGCAGGAAGAGTGTCTCTTTGAGAAGGATACACAGTGGAGCAGGTGTGTAGGTTCACAGGGCCAGCTATGGGTAGAGTCGGGTGTACATTTTTAGAAGCCACAATTCCCAAAAATCTCCTGACTATAAGATCAGTGCACAGAGCCAGTCAAATGGAGGAGGAGTGGGTCCAGGCAATTCAGGAAGAAGGAAAGTAACAAATGAGTGGTTGCAGGAGGACACTTTTTCTGTCGAGGTCACTAAACAAAACATTGTCTCCTCCCCTTAACTTCGGAAACAATGGAGGGTAAAAGTGTTGCCTGGGCCCTGGGGGCAAAGGCAGTAGATAACTTCTCTGTCGTGTTCTCCAGAAGGGCCCATTCCAGCCTCACAGGCCGAGAAGTCTGTTCGGTTCCCAAGTACTAGAGATGCTGCTATAAGGGACTCCTGAATTTCCTTCCTGAACCAGAGGCTGCCCAGCCTTTTCTTCCTGTTTTATTTTTTCCCAGGAAGAAACTTGCCTGTACAATTACAAGGTTCTACGGTTCTAAATTCCAATCTAGTCTTCCACATCATTTTGAAGGTATAATATTACTTGTCAAAGTGGGATGATAGAAGATATGTGTGGACATAAATTGTTGACAAGGAAAAAAACTAAAATCAGAAAATAAGAAAAAATATATGTATGTACAGTGGTTAGCTAGAAATGTGCCTTTTAAATATTTGGCATGTGGTATGTGGGCCTCAATGTGTACTATTGCACTAGCTTCCCAAATATTAAAGGATGTCTTTTAAAAGAAAAACCTCTTGCTAAAAGGTTAACAGTTAAAATAACCAGAGTGGCACAGGTACCAGTCATTAAGTGAAACCTTTCATCTTCCCAGAATAGTACCTGTTCCCAAGCCAGCTTCTTTGAAAATCACTTTTCTCTCCTTTACTATTTAGTTTACAGATTGTATAGTAACAATACAGAAACCACAATAGTAGCAAAAAAAATAAAGAATATTTTTAAATGAAAACTCACATCCTAACTCTACCAAAACATGAAAATTAAACCTGAATGCCTCCCATTCCTGATATATTTTCACCTAAATATTCAGCTCTGGGATTGCATTGTTTTTGGATTGAGTGGAAATTATTGCCTGGTCTTGAAATCTTCCATAATGTGTGTGTGTGTGTGTGTGTGTGTGTGTGTGCGCGCGCGTGCGTGTGTGCATGTGTGTGTGTGTATATGTATGTATGTGTGGTGAATATATTTCTTTTTGTTCGGAGCAAAGATTTTTTCAATATGTATATTTATTTTAGGCAGATTATGCTAGTAATTTTCTACAAATGTGCTTTTTAAAAAATAACCTTTAATTTAAAAAAAATTATTCTTACTCAGTGGCCCACAATTGTTAAAAACGCTACTAATGGAGCTGGGTATGGTGACACACACCTGTCATCCCAGCTACTTGGGAGACTGAGGCAGGGGTATTGCTTAAACTTGGGAATGTGAAACCAGCCTGGGCAACATAGTGAGATCCCAATCTCAAAAATCAATCATTAAAAAATAAAATAAAACACTACTAATAGCTTTTTAAAAAATAGTTCTTAACCAATTTTCCTAGCACCTTCCTTTCCTCAGTGAAGTATAGAAATATGTGGTCAGTCACTGTGGCTCACACCTATAATCCCAATAATTTGGGAAGCCAAGGCATGAGGATCAGTTGATTCCAGGAGTTCAAGACTAGCCAGGGTGACATAATGAGACTTGGTCTCTAACGAAATTTTTTTTTCTTTAATTACCAGGGCATGAGGGTGCATGCCTGTAGCCCAGCTACTTGGAAGGCTGAGGTAGGAGAATCACTTGAGCCCAGGAGGTGAAGGCTGCAGTGAGCCATGGTTGCACCACTGCACTCCATACCTGGGTGACAGAGTGAGACACAGTAACAAAAACAAACAACAACAAAAAGTATTTGTTTTAGAAAAAACATTTGGTGAGATTTGGGCTTAAAAATATATTATTCTAAAATATTCATAAATATTCTCTAGTAATGATAAGATTAAAGTGACAAAGACAAACTTTTTTCCTGTGCAGTTCCATCTCTCACCTTCCTGTAATTTGTCTGTCCCATCCAGCTTCCAAAGGAAATTATTTACAAAATAATGTCTGCATCCTGGGTCTATATATCTATTGCCTATGAGGAGAGCGTTTAAGATCTGAGCCGTCTTCAAGTCTTATACTTTGTGTATAGCTCTCATGTTTTTGCAGGTTATGTAAGTTTGTATACCCTTTCTTTTATTAATCTGTGTATGGTCAGTTCATTTCCGGTAATCTTCAGAGGGTGAAAGGGGAAGCTTTTCACTTCACTCCTACTGTGACAACTAACTACCTTCTTACTTATTCAATTTTTTAGTCTATATCAACATTTTTATATGCATTTACTTTTAAACAAAATTTTGCATCATTACACTTAAAATTTTATTTAACTTTTAAAAAGGAAATTAAAAATAAAATTAAAAATTATAAAATTTTACATAATAAAAATAAAATAAATGATTTATATAAAAATTAATCTGACCTGTGAAAAACACTGTCCAGAGGCCAGGTGCGGTGGCTAACGCTTGTAATCCCAGCACTTTGGGAGGCCGAGGTGGGTGGATCACGAGGTCAGGCGATCTAGACCACGATGAAACCCCTCTCTACCAAAAATACAAAAAATTAGCGGGGCGTAGTGGCGGGCGCCTGTAGTCCCAGCCACTCGTAGAGGCTGAGGCAGGAGAATGGCGTGAACCCGGGAGGCGGAGCTTGCAGTGAGCCGAGATCGTGCCACCGAAATCCAGCCTGGGTGACAGAGCCAGACTCTGTCAAAAAAAAAAAAAAAAGAAAAAAGAAAAACACTATCGAGAGAATAAAAAGACAAATCACAGACTGGGAGTAAAAATTTACAAAAGCTATATCTGGTGAAGATACATTTGTTATCCAAAATATGCAAAGAACTCTCAGGACTCAATAATAGGAAAACAAATAGTCTAACACAAATGTAGAGATCTGAACAGACATTTCACCATAGAATACAGATGGACGATACATAAGCACATCATTCATCATTAGGGAAATGTAAATTAAAACCACAATGAGATACTGTTACTTGCCTATTAGAATAGCTAAAATTTAAAAGACTGACCATACTAAACATTGGTGAGAACACAAAGGAACAGGAATGCTCATATACTGCTGCTGGAAATACAGCCACTTTGTCAGTTTCTTTAAAAGTTAAACTGGCTGGGAGCGGTGGCTCACGCCTGTAATCCCAGCACTTTGGGAGGCCAAGGCGGGCGGATCACGAGGTCAGGAAATCGAGACCATCCTAGCTAACACGGCGAAACCCCATATCTACTAAACATACAAAAAATTAGCCGGGCGTGGTGGCGAGCACCTGTAATCCCAGCTACTCCAGAAGCTGAGGCAGGAGAATGGCGTGAACCCGGGAGGTGGAGCTTGCAGTGAGCCGCGATGCACCACTGCACTCCAGCCTGGGCGACAGAGCGAGACTCCGTCTCAAAAAAAAAAAAAAAAAAAAAAAAAAGTTAAACATATCACACCACCTAGTCATTCAAATCCTGCTTATTTGCCCAAGACAAATGAAAGTGTATGTCCAAACGATTGGACAAACATTCGTAGCAACTTTATTTGAAATAGCAAAAACAACTGGAAGCAAACCAAATGTCCATCAAGAGGTGAATAGATACACTAACTGTAGAATATCCACACAATAAAACTATTTTTTTAAAAACTACGGGGCAAAAAACAAAAAACCAAAGATAGAATCTAATTTCTTGGTAAATACATTCACTATTAGGGTTTTTATAACAGAGAAGTCATTCTTTATTAACACTCTTTTGACTATGAAAATATTTTGACATCAAAAATCTGCAAAATATGAAGAAACAAAGGACACACAGCTTTTTCTATTTTTTATTTTTATTTTATTTTTATTTTTTTGAGAAGGAGTCTCTTTCTGTCACCCAGGCTGGAGTGCAGTGGCGCGATCTTAGTTCACTGCAAGCTGCGCCTCCCGGTTCACGCCATTCTCCTGCCTCAGTCTCCCGAATAGCTGGGACTACAGGCGCCCGCTACCAAGCCCGGCTAATTTTTTGTATTTTTAGTAGAGACGGGGTTTCACCGTTAGCCAGGATGGTCTCAATGTCCTGACCTCGTGATCTGCCCGCCTCGGCCTCTCAAAGTGCTGGGATTACAGGCGTGAGCCACCACCCCCGGCCCCAGGACACACAGCTTTAAAATTTCTCCTTGGTCTCACCCAGTGCCAACCACCTAAAACCTCTCATTTTCCCCCAGACATTTCTTCTGCCTCCAGGATGGAGGTAGAGAATCTTGGCCTTGGACCACGCACTGGGGACCATGCTGGGCTGCCGTGGACAGTGACGGACTCAGGTTCTCACCAGGATCCCCAAAATAGGCCCCTGAAAAAAATGTTACCATCAGGGTGCGCTCCCTGATTCTTGTGTCTGCTGGAAGGAGGAAATCAAGCCAGGAACATTGTCAGGATAGAGATGAAAATGGGGCTCACTTTTCTGTCTTTTGTGATGTCAGACAAGCCTTTCAGCTCTGTCTCTTCAGCCCTCATGGAATTGTTTGGTGTGGACGCACCGAGATTCTGAACTGGGTCCCCTTTCCCTCTGCCCTTCTCTGGGGCCAGATTCTGAGCTCTCCATTCCAATTTTTCCCCCAATTTTCCCTTGCATTTATTTATCTGGATTACTGTCTGCCTGTCCCAAAGAATAAAAGCTTTATCACAGTGGGGATTTTGTTTAAAAAAATAATAATAACAGCTATATTTTTAGGATCCATGACACTGTCCAGCATATCGGTGGTATCTGATAAAAAATGTTTGTTGACTGGATGAACAAATATATTATTCACAATTCACATTATCCTGAACTGGCTAGAAAATTAAATATCTGATATCAGTATTGGCAATATTATGAAGTAAATATAAGTCTGATACAGTGCTCGTGAAAGTCTAATATGCAATGCTCATTTTAGAAAACATTTTCTTGTAGATTTGAAAATGTTTCATCTCCATGAACTAGTTGTATATCTGCAAGTTGTGTATCTTTGGGTTAGGCAGAATAATTGCCCCCCACCAAAGACAGCCACATCCCAGTCTTCAGATAAGGTGAACATGCTAACGTAAGTTAGCATGTTCAAAGAGACTTGGCAGATGTGATTACCATTAAGGGCATTGAAATGGGGAAATTACCTTGAATTACCTTGGTGAGCCAGTCTAATCTCATAATTCCTTGAGAGCAGAGAATATTTTCTGGATGCTGAGATTCAGACAGATGGCAGTATGAGAAAGATGTGGCCTGCTATTACTGGCTTTTAAAACAGTGGTAGGGGGCCACAAGCCAAGAAAAGCCAGTGACCTTTAGAAGCTGGGAATGACCCAAAGTTTACAACCAGGAAGAAACTGAGGATCTACAACCACAAGGAACTGAATTCTGCCAACAACCCAGATGCTCTTTTAGAGCCTTCAGAAAGAAATGCAGCCTGCCAACATCTTGATGTTAGTTCAGTGAGAGCCATGCCAGATTTCCAACCAAAACAATTCTAAGACAATAAGTCTGTGTGTGTTTTTTAAAACTGACTCAAATCTTACAAAAATGTGTTCTTTTAAGCCACTGAATTTGTGGTAAATTGTTACAGCAGGAATAGAAAACTGATACAACCCTAGAGAAAGTCTTGTACATGTGCCCTATAAACACACAGCAGAATTTTTTTAACTTTTTATTGAGTTAAAATATATATATATATAATTTACCATCTGTACATTTTTAGAGGACAGTTTAGTGGTGATAAATACATTTATATTTTCTTCTCTTAATCTCCTCTTCCCACTCCCCTTGCTGGCCTCTAGCAACCACCAATTTACTTTCTATCTTCATGAGATCCACTTTTTTACTGCCCACATATGAGTGACAACATGTGGTATTTGCCTTTCTGTGCTTGGCTCATTCCACTTAACATAATGGCCTATGTTCATTACGTTAAACCAAATGGCCAGTGCCACCTATGTTGCTGTGAATGACAGAATTTCATTCTTCTTTGTTTCTGAGTAGTATTGCATTATGTATATATATGACTTTTAAAATCTATTCATTTGTTGATGAGCACTTACGTTGATTCCATATTTTGTCTATTGTGAATAGTGCTGCAGTACACATCGGCATGTAGATATGTCTTTGATACATTAATTTCCTTTATTTTGGATATACATCCAGTAAAGAAATTGCTGGACCACATGGTAGTTCTATTTTTACTTTTTTGAGGAACCTCCATACTATTCTCCATAGTGGCTTTATTAATGTGGATTCCCACCAACAGTGTACTAGTATTTCCCTTTCTCCACATCCTTGCCAGCATCTGTTATTGCCTGTCTTTTTGAAACAAGTCATTTCAACCAAGGTGAGATGATATTGCATTGTGATTTTGATTTGCATTTCTTTGACGATTAGTGATACTGAATATTTTTTGTCTTCCTATTGGCCATTTGTTTGTCTTCTTTTGAGAAAATATCTGTTCAGATCTTTAGCCCATTTTTAAATTGTATTTATTTATATATTTTTAACTATTTTTTTTGAGAAGTAAGGTCTTGCTTTGTCACCCAAGCTAAAGGGCAGTAGCATAATCATAGCTCACTGTAACCTCAAACTCCTGGGATTAAGAAATCCTCCTGACCGGGCGCGGTGGCTCACGCCTGTATTCCCAGCAATTTGGGAGGCAGAGGTGGGCGGATCACGAGGTCAGGAGATCGAGACCATCCTGGCTAACATGGTGAAACCCCATCTCTACTAAAAATACAAAAAATCAGCCGGGATTGGTGCCGGGCGCCTGTAGTCCCAGCTACTCAGGAGGCTGAGGCAGGAGAATGGCGTGAACCCCGGGGGAGCAGAGCCTGCAGTGAGCCGAGATCACGCCACTGCACTCCAACCTGGGCGACAGCGAGACTCCATCTCATTAAAAAAAAAAAAAAAAAAAAAAAAAAAAAAAAAAAGAAATCCTCCTACCTCAGCCTCTTCAGTAGCCCATTTTTCAATCAGATTTTTTGTTTGTTTATTATTGAGTTGTTTGAGCTCCTTATATATTCTACTTGTTAATCCTTTGTCAGATAGATAGTTTGAAAATATTTTGTCCCATTCTGTGCTTGGCTCTTCACTTTGTTGATTGTTTCCTTTGCTTGAGGCTTTTTAGTTTGATATAATCCCATTGTCTATTTTTGCTTTTGCTGCCTGTGCTTCCGAGGTCTTACGCAAAAAAATCTTTGCCCAGACTAATGTCCTGGAGCATTTCTCCTATGCTTGCTTTCTTTCTTTTTTTTTTTTTCACGCCATTCTCCTGCCTCAGCCTCCCGAGTAGCTGGGACTACAGGCGCCCACCATCATGCCCCGCTAATTTTTTTTTTGTTTTTTGTATTTTTAGTAGAGACGGAGATTCACCGTGTTAGCCAGGGTGGTCTCGATCTCCTGACCTTGTGATCCGCCCGCCTTGGCCACCCAAAGTGCTCAGATTACAGACAAGAGCCACCGCGCCCGGCCTTTCCTATTTTTTTTTTTTTTTACTAGCTTCATAGTTTCAGGTCTCAGATTCAAGTCTTTAATCCATTTTTATTTGATTTGATTTTTGTGTATGGTGAGATGGGATTAATTTTATCCTTCTGCATATGGTTATTCAGTTTTCCCAGGATCATTTATTGAAAAGACTGTTGTTTTCCCAGTGTATGTTCTTGATGCCTTTGTCAGAGATGAATTGTTTGTAAATGTGTAGATTTGTCTGCGATCTCTATTCTGTTCCACTGTCCTATGTGTCTGTTTTTATGCCAGTAGAAATATATTGGCAATAATTAGTACAGAAGAGCTGAAACAATGAAATGACAAAAGTGAATTATACTGATATAATTCATTATGCTCACTAAATGCAATAGCATACAGCTAGGAAAACAAAGTAGTGCACACGGTATTAAAATACAACACAATTCAATATACACAGTGCTCACAGTGGCCATCGTTAGAGTGTTGAAGAAGGGGATGTAGTCAGCAAAAGTTGTACAGGTGACTTCAAAAGTAATCATAAGCACTTATGATTACTTTTGGCTTAATTTCTTAAACCAAGACTGGAGACACAGGTGTTCATTATGTGCTTATTATATATATAAAATAAATATTTTATAAATATATTGTTTCTATTCAGTATTTAATAAAGTAAATCAGTAGAAAAGGTTAAAAAGCAATGCACACATATTTCAAATATTTTTTGCTCCAAATTATATAAACATTGCATAGTTATTGCCCTGGGCCTGGCAAGGTGACTCACACCTCTCATCCTAGCACTTTAGGAGACTGAGGCAGGAGGATAGCTTCAGCCCCAGAGGTCAAGGCTGCAGTGAGCCTTAATTGCACTACTGCACTCCAGCCTAGGTGACAGAGCAAGATGCTGTCTGAAGATAAAAATAAAAATAAGTTAATAAATATATGTTTATATATTAACTGATTTTATTAACTATATATATATATAGTTGTTGTCTTGGTCTATAGGCAATCTTACAGTGCTTAAGACTTTGATACTGAGAACAGATCTCCTAGGTATATGCTATGTTTCTGGGGTGATATGATGCTCTCATCTGGCCTCCGTGAGCCTAATTCTATCTTACATTTACCCCACTCTTCAACAACAACTTGGGGAGGTGTCCCTAAACATTCCTAGGTGAACCCAAACCTGTGGCCCTCAACACATTTCTAGGTAAAGCAAGCTCCTGACATATCTGTGGATATCCTCTCACTGGAAGAAGGGGGAAGAGACCATCTCAAAATAATTCATTTAATATAGCTTTTCAGCATTAATTTTATTTTGATAAAGAGACACACAGTAAATAAAATTTCTAAAAAACTATAAACTTTCAAGCATTCTCACGCTAAATCTAGCCCTGCTTACATGCCAGGGAAATATAAAGGTAATCTGTTTCTCAACCTGACCAGGATGCTACAGTAATTAAAAATAAACTCAATCCCTGGATCCCTACCAAAGGGACATTTCATATGGATCAAAGTTCTGGAAAAATTATTTGTCTGGAAATAGACTAATTCTCCAAAATGTAATTGAAATAACGGCCTCTGGAAAGGGCCAAATACGACTCTTAATGAAACAACAGCTAAATATAGGTCTGATGCTCATTCCGTGTGGACAACAATAGCAGCCATTCCCACAAATGGCTGATTTGTGGGAAGTAAACACTACTTTTGCAGAATCTTACATGATTTCAGTAGAAGGTCAAGGACATTTCAGTTGGGAACAGATTGCTCCATGGTAATACGATCACTATGTACCCAACAATGGCTCTTTCTTCCTAGCCTCAATGCAGATGTTATTTTCACCTTAACTATTATCATTGCTGTTTCTAACCACATAAAAGTGTATCCTTTATATATCTGAAGTAAATTCATACTAGTGGTGTAACATCTCCAGCCATTTAAGTGTAAAAACAGAAAACATATGATGTGTTTACTTACTGTTTTATACTCCTAACGCATGAAGAGAAGATCCTTTTATTCATTGCCTATACTTTTATTTCTAAACTTTCTGTAACACTTTATCTTATATCCAGCATAGAATTGAGATTTGCTTTTTGATTTAATCTGACAATATTTTTTCCTCTAATAAGAGTCAAGCCCACTTACTTTTAATGATAAATTGTGTTTGGTTATATTTTGATTACAGTATATTATGCTATGATTTATATGCACATATCTGTCTTTTGCTGTCTTGTTTTATTGCTTTTGTTTTGATGTTGTGATATTTGGAAGAGTTAAACTTTTATTCTGATGGCTACCTTATGTAATTTCATAAAATCATCTCTTTCTTTAGACAGTAGCTAATGTCTCTAAACTAAGAACAATGGTATTAGCTGTATTCTCTTTCTTGTCCTCCCTATGTGATTTTTCATCCCACAATTTGATTTAATCATATTAACTTTGTTTCCCCTGGTGCCATTAAGTATGCTTACATTTCTATAAACAATATCCTTTGACTCCCAGGCATTACAGATGAGCAGTCAGTAAAATCATTCTGAGGAATACTTTCTCTTTCCTTTTCTTCCATTTTTCTTAGTTGTATCATTTCTATATTGCCAGAGCACCTACAGTTGCATTTCTTTCTGTCAGCTTTATCCAGCATTTGTTCTTGTCTTTTATTTGAAGTTAAATATATTCCTTGCTCACTACAACACTGGGGGAAGGAAGGTTTCTGTTGTCGTCGTGCTTGTACAATTGTTTATTTAAAAACATTGGTGAAAACAAAAACTGTATGTAGATGGAATGGAGATAAGACAGAAAATGAGAGAGACTGATGATGAGTGTGCCTATTCTAGACTGGGAGGCATGCTACACTGAGTAGTGTCTCCAAGGCTGCAGGAAAGGATGGTTGATTGTGAGCAGGTGGACTTTCCACTGGAGGAGAGAAGTCCTGCGCTCAACAACCTGTGCAGAACCAGAAACTGGTAATGCTTCAAATCAACTTACAGACCTGGAGGTAGAAATTTAAGAAAACTCGTTTAGCACATAGTTTCCTAGAAAATATTAGCTACTATTTGCTGAGCATCTGTCAGGTCTGTCTGTAGTATGGAAGATCTGAGTACAGGGGAAACTGGATTAGTAACAGTGGGTCAGAAAATTATATAATATTCAACCAAAATTCCTGCTTTACATACACAGCACCTGGTATTTCCAGAACTAGAAGGTAAAGAAATTATTTGTGCTTGAACTTGCAGAAAACTGCCTTTTCCCTTCTTCTCTTGCATCTTAACCTGGAGCTTCCCTTTTCTTGAGCCTCAGTGTGCTTCCCAACTCAATTTATAATTGACTTCCTGCAGTTTCTCCTTAGGACAGGGCTTTGTTTTGGGGGTGGTTAATTTGTAGGGTTCATAGGAAACAGACCACTCACAGCACTGCTTTTTGCCACCCTCACTCTCAGCTATGAGTTGAGGCCCAGGAAGCCTTCTGCCAGCCTCAGCTGCTGTTCTCAGATTAATCTGCTGAGTTCTTTTTGCCTAGTAAGAATCTCTGAATTTAGGAACACAGATGTTAGCACTTGTATTTCTAGGTTTTCCAGTTCCCAGGGCCATTAAACATTTTTTTCCTTTCCTTTCCTTCTTCCAAAAAAATTGGTGATTCCCCTGGGTCCCTGTGGTTTAACCTCACAAAACGTCCATGATGACACCCTGTTACATTGTTTTGTCGTAGTTAATACCTTGTTATCCCAGTTGCTCAGTCAGTTTTTGTGAGAGATTCAGGGATCTTAATAAAACTGTGCTGCTACTGCTACTAACATCTTGCATAAAAGCCCGATTAATTAAAATGTTTATTTTGCATGTGATTTGAACTTGTAATTTTTATTCAAAGTTTTTCAACAGAGATCCAGAAAAGACCCTCCTTATATTTTTAGTTTTGTGCATTGCAACACTTTTTAGTGAAAAAAAAAAATGAGAACAACACAAGTGATTTTAAAAGAATAAACCTACAATCCATTAATTATAAAATGAAATACTATGCAGGTGTTAAGAATGAGGGAATCAATAAGAACTTGTGTGGGGTAACTATAAACTTTTAAAAAATAAATTTAATGCTCATGTGACCATATTATCGTTAAAAAAAATACAAGCATACTTGCACACACCTTCAAGCAAAATGGGTACACGCATTTAAAAATATTTAAATTAAGTAAATGGCCCAATAATTTAACTTCGTACAATTCTATGTTCTCTGATTATTTTATATGCCAGAAACAGGCATTACTGTTTTGTTTATTTCATTTGAAATAATTGTAGTCACATGAGGTTTAAGTTATAATACAGAGAGGTCACATATGCCTATTTTCTAATTGGTATCTTATTACCATTGAGTTTTGAGAATTTTTTACATATGCTAGATGTAAGTTCTTTGTCAGATATATGGTATGCAAATTATTTCTCCCAGTCTGTAATTCATTTTTTCAACCTCTTTACAGGGTCTTTCTAAGTAAAAAAAAAAAAAAAAAAAAAAAAAAAAGTGTTTATTTATTCTAATGAAGTCCAGTTTTATCACTTTTTCCTTTTGTAGATTTTGTTTTTAATATCAAGCCTAAAAATTCTTTGCCTAGCCCAAGGTCTCAAGAGTTTTCTTCTATTTTAAAAAGTTTAGTGAATTTATTTATTTATTAATTATTTTTGAGACGAGGTTTCGCCCAAGCTGTAGTGCAGTGGTGCCATCATTGCTCACTGCAGCCACTAACTGCTGGATTGAAGTGATGCTTCCACCTCAGCCACTTGAGTAGTAGCTGGGATTACAGGCACGAGCTACCATACACAACTTTAAGTTTTATAATATTACATTTTACATTTAAGCCTGTGATTTATGTGAGCTAAATTTTATATAAAGTATAAATTTAGGTCAGTCTTAGTTTTTGTACCTGTGAATGTCCAATTGCTGTAGCACCATTTGTTGAAAAAGATATCCTTCCTTTAAACTGATTTTGCATCCTTGTTAAAAAAAAATCAGTTGAATATAGTGTGGTCTGTCAGCTTTTAATAAGATAAAAACATTGACACTCACCAGATATCGAAGTTTAGAAATTTTTTTAAAGCTAAACTTCTGAAAATAGAATAAAAACACCTTCACATGTCAAATTAGTCAATTTCTATAGGACTAATTCATTTAAATATATTAAAATACAAAATAATTCAAACTACTAAAGTGATAATACAAGACTATAAATTTAAAGGCTAATTATTAAGTCAAATTGCTGTATTCTACGTGTTAGAGTGAGTTCAAAAGATCCATTGTATTACTGAATAGGCAAAAGTTTTAATTTCAGAGGATGAAACTGATATATTACTGCCACCTTGTGGATATTCTGTTATTACAGGCTATTATAAAAAGCAATGAGGGTATGTAATCTGTTCTAAGAAGAAGCATTTCCTTTTTTTGAGGTTTTTATTATTGTTATTATTACATTTTAAGTTCTGAGATACATGTACAGAACGTGGAGGTTTGTTACATAGGTATACACATGCCATGGTGGTTTACTGCACCCGTCAACCCATCATCTACATTAGGTATTTCTCCTAATGCTATCACTCCCCTAGCCTCCCACCCCCCTGACAAGCCCCGGTATGTGATGTTCCCCTCCCTGTGTCCATGTGTTCTCATTGTTCAACTCAAAAGAAAAACAGAAGCATTTTCTGCTTTCCCAATTTCTTAAATACAATGCAACTTTATGTTTAATTTAACTAACTTAATTTTTTGAGACAAGGTCTAGCTCTGTTGCCCAGGCTGGAGTGGAGTGGTGTGAATATGGTTCAGTGAAACCTCCACCTCCCTGGCTCAAGTGATCCTCCTTCCTCAGCCTCTCGAGTAGCTAGGACCACAGGCACGCACCACCATGGCCAGCTAATTTCTTTTTTATTTTTTGTAGAGATGAGGTCTCACTTTGTTGTCCATGCTGGTCTCAAACTCCTGGGCTCAAAGGATCCTCTTGCCATGGCCTCCCACAGCGCTGGGATTTATAGGTGTGTGCCATGGCACCAGGCCTAAGCAACTGTAGAGAAGCCTTTTTTTCTTTCATAAAAACAGTTGTAGATATTTTCCTTATGGAATTTATTTGTGGTGAAATATTTTAATAGATGGTTTGTTAATAATTTGTCTCAGATAATAATAATTGATTAATATTAAAACTACAAAACAAGTAGGATCTTCTTTTTCTATGAAAAATGAAAGTTGATTCTGACATTTATGTAAACATTTTAAATATTCAAAGTATATAAATGTGAAGTCCTATCAAGAGTAATTAGACAAGAGAAAGAAATAAAGGGCATTCAAATCGGAAAGGAGGACATCAAATTGTTCCTATTTGCAGATGACATGATCTTATATATAGGAAAACCTGAAGACTACCAGAAAACTTTTAGAACAAACAAATTCAGTGAAGTTGCAAGACACAAAACTAATACATGAAGATTGGTTGCATTTTTATATATGAACAACAAACTTGCTGAAAAAGAAATTAAGAAGGCAAACCCATTTACAATAGTTACCAAAAAAAAAAAACCCAGACATAAATGTAACTAAGGAGGTAAAATGAAAACTACAAAACACTAATGAAAGAAATTGAAGAGGATACAAACAAATGAAAAGACATTCATACTCATGGATCAGAAATATGAATGTTGTTAAAGTGACAGTACTACTCAAAAGCAACCTACAGATTCAATGCAATCTCTATCAAAATACCTATGAACATTCTTCACAAAATTAAAAAAAAATCCAAAGAGATTTTATGGAATCAAAAAGTATCCTGAATAGCCAAAGCCATCCTAAGCAAAAAGAACAAAGCTGGATGTATCATGCTACCAGACCTCAGAATACACTACAAAACTGTAGTAACCAAAACATCATGGTATTGGCATAAAAACAGACACATAGACCTATGGAATAGAATAAAGAACCCAGAAAATCCACATATCTCAGCCAACGGATTTTTTACAAAGATGCCAAGAACACTCATTGGGGAAAGGATAGTCTCTTCAATAAATGGTGCTGGAAAAACTGGATATCCATATGCAGAAGAATGAAACTAGACCTCTGCCTCTCACCCTATACAAAGATCAACTCAAAGTATCTCAAATACCCAAATATAAGACCCAAAATGGTAAAGCTACTAGAAGAAAACATAGGGGAGATCCTTCAGGACATTGCTCTGGGAAAATATTTTATGAATAAGGCATCAAAAGCACAGGCAACAAAAGAAAAAATAAACAAATAGGATCACATCAAGCTAAAAATCTTCTGCACAGCAAAGGAAATAAGAAAGTGAGTGAAAAGACAACTTACAGAATGGGAGAAAGTATAAACTCATCTGGCAGGAAATTAATATCAAGAATATACAAGGAATTCAAACATATCAACAGCAAAGAAGCACAACAATCTAATTAAATATAAACAAATGCTCTGAACAGACATTTCTCAAAAGAAGACATACAAATGACCAACAAATATATGAAAAAATGTTCAACACCACTAATCAGCAAGGAAATGCTAATCAAAGCCACAGTGAGGCATCATCTTACTTCAGTTAGGATGGCTATTATAGAAGAGACAAAAATAACAAATGCTGACAAAGACGTGAAGAAAAGGGACTTTTTTTTTTGACAGAATCTCACTCTCCGTCCAGGCTGGAGTGCAGTGGTGGTGTAATCTGGCTCCCTCTGCTTCTAGGGTTCAAATAGTTCTCCTCCCTCAGCCTCCTGAGTAGCTGGAGAAAAAGGAACTCTTATGCACTGTTGGTAGGAATGTAAATTAGAGCAGCCAGTATGGAGAACAGTATTGAAACACCTCAAGCAATCCCACTACTGGGAATTTATCCAAAGGAAAGAAAAGCATTATATTACAGAGACATCTGCATCCCCATGTTTATTGCAACAGTGTTCACAATAGCCAAGATATGGAATCAACCTAGATTTCCAACAACAGATGAATGGATTTTTAAAATACGGTATATATACACCAAGGAATGCTATTTAGCCATAAAAAAGAATAAATAAAACCCTGTCATTCTCAGCAACATGGATGGAACTGGAGGATATTATGTTAAGCAAAATAAGCCAGGAATAGAAATTTCAACACCACATGTTCTCACTCACGCAGAAGCTAAAGAAAAGTTGATCTCATAGAAGTAAAAAGTAGAACAGAGGATACTGCAGGCTGAAAAGGGTAGGGAGAAAGGAGGAATGGTAAGAGATTTGTTAATGGATACAAAATTACAGCTAGGTAGGAGTAATAAGTTCTAGTGTTCTATAGTACTGTAGATGACTATAGTTAACAATACTATATTATGTAGTTTAAAATACCTAGGAGTAGTTTGAATGTTCCCAACACAAAGAAATAATAAATGTTTGAGATGATAGATATGCTAATTACCCTGATCTGATCACCATCTACATGTACTGAAACATCCCCATATAGCCATGAATATGTATAATCTTTGTCAATTTAAAAAGTAAAAAAAAAAATTAATCTTGGAGAATGCATTTGAAGAACTTGTACTCAAGAAATCAACTTAAGAACCTGAGTCTCCTTGGAATTTGTGTTTTCTAGACCAGTACTTCTCCAAATTAAAGCAAATTTAGGCTGGGCATGGTGGCCCATGTCTATAATCTCAGCCTTTGGAAGGCTGAGGCAGACAGATCACTTGAGGTCAGGAGTTCGAGACCAGCTGACCCAACATTGTGAAACCCTGTCTCTACTAAAAATACAAAAATTAGCCGGGCATGATGGCATGTGCCTGTAATCCCAGCTACTTTGGAGGCCGAGGCAAGATAATCGCTTGAACTGGAGAGGTGGAAGTTGCAGTGAGCCGAGATTGCACCACTGCGCTCCAGCCTGGGCAACAGAGCAAGACTCTGTCTCAAAAAAAAAAAAAAAAAAGCGAATTTAGTTCACTTTGGTATTGTGTCAAAATGTTGATTCTTTGAAAGTAAATCTAAAGAATTTAGATGTAGTTGAAGCTTGTCATCTGTTCTTAATTTTTTTAATAAAAATATAATATTTAGATTCAGAGTAAATCTAAAGTGAGACCTGAAGCTGCTCCCAGGTGATACTGATGCTGCTTATTTTTGCCCAGATTTTTAGTCACAAGGTTCTAAATTATCGTTTTGAAGTCCTACATGAGTAATCACTTGGGGAGCTCAATTAACACCCAGCAACAGACTAATTATTAATAAACCAGAATCTTCAGTATTAGGCTTCAATCATTGGCAATTTTTTTTTTTTTTTGACACACAGTCTCCCACTGTCGCCCAGGCTGAAGTCCTGAGGCCAGAATGAGACTAGGACATGGTTCCTTTGCCTAAGTAAACTGAGGCAGAAAATGGAATACTTCAGACTTCAAATTAGTATGGTAAGTGCTATGAAGAGTATGATTAGAGTTCATTATTTACCCAGAAAAGGGTCACTCAGCCCAGCCTGGGAGTTAGAGAAGGTTTCCTGAATTCTTGACATGTGAGTCGTGAAAGGACATAAGGAGTTAACCACGTGACAAAATAAGCTAAGAGAATTCTCAACAAAAGACAAAATATTGACAAAGGCTTTTAGGCATATACTAGCTTAGTATTATTGGGAGAATGTAATGATTTTCTGTATTTCAAAAGTGTAAAATACAAAGTGGGCCATGATATGAGATAAACCAGTAAATATGTTCTGGGAACAGATCATAGAAGGGCGTGTATGCTGTCCTAAGGAGCTTAAACTTCAACTTCAGTTCATGGGAGCCAATGACAAGATCTGAGCAGGGGAAGGATGTGGCTAGAGGGGCATCTTAGACAGACAAGATCCTCTGTGGATTACACCTAGGCTAAGCAACGGGTTAAAGTTGTTGTCTTAAGACAATAGTCCAGGTAAAAGATAATAAAGTTTTAAATTAGGATGTTAGTAGGAATGAGGAAGAGGGATGGATTTCAGAAATAGTAAGGAAATGTATTAGCAGGACTTGATTAGTGATTGACTTGGGGAAGGAGGGGAAGATAGAGTTCAGGATGACTCCGAGACTGTCTGGTGTCGGTGGCTAATAACTGAAGCTATTAATAGAGGTAGGAAATGCAGACCAAAAGCAGGCCCGGGGTGAGAGATGATAAATTTGAATTTTAACATGTTGAGTTTGGACATCCAGGATGAAATAATCACAAAACATTTAAATATACGAATCTGAAAAGGTAAGCATCATAAGCATATGAGCTATTGGTAAAATTCTGATACTTAATGAAGTCTCACAGGGAGGCAGTACAGAGGCAAGCAATGGGCTGGGGATAAAACATAGGGAAATATTATTTAAATAAAGATGAAAGAAAAGGAGCCCACAAAGGAAGCTGAAAAGGCATAGTCAAAAAAAGAGGCTTGCCAAATGCCACCTTTGAAGCTCTGCTGTTACACTTTATAAGGAAACTTTTGGTTACCTGGGATTGCATGCATTTATAAAAGTTTCTATTATTAGGAAGACAATAATAATGATAAGGCTCTTTCTCATTGTTGTCAGTGTAATTTATCTATTTAATTATAGAACCTAGTTCCAGGATGCTTAATCTGAAGTATATACTTGGGGCAAAATGAATTATATCTTAATAATAATCTGGAATTTTTATCTCTAACTTGACATATTTTAATTCTTGCTAGATTTTCAAAATGTCATACCTTGAACCACCGCCAGATGGCTATGAGAATGTTACAAATACTGTGTCACCATATAATGCTTTCTCAGCCCAAGGCATGCCAGAGGTAAAATAAAATACATTTGTAACCCAAGTCTTTAAATGGTTCTTTTGCTATATAAAACCTGTATAGAGGACTAAAACCAAGGAAATTAGGTGAATCATTCATGCGGATTCATTGTTTGATATTCAGTGCTATGAAAACCTCATCCCTCAAATTTAAAAAATTATAATAAAATAGAAAACAACACCAGACAGAGAAAAAAGAAACAAAACAAATACATTAAAAACTGACCCTGCTGAAGCAGATGACACTCTTCGAAATAACAAAGAAACTGCTGAACACACCTTTAATTCAGTGAGGCAGTAGGTGTTTTTTTCTTTGTTTGTTTTTGTTTCTTTTTTTTTTTTGAGATGGAGTTTCGCTCTTGTCACCCAGGCTGGAGTGTAGTGGCACAATCTGGGCTCACTGCAACCTTCGCCTCCCAGGTCCAAGCAATTCTCTTGCCTCAGCCTCCTGAGTAGCTGGGATCACAGGTGCACACCACCACACCCTGCTAATTTTGTATTTTTTTTAGTGGAGGCGGGGTTTCTCTATGTTGGTCAGGCTAGTCTCGAACTCCCAACCTCAGGTGATCTGCTCACCTCGGCCTCCCAAAGTGCTGGGATTACAGGCGTGAGCCACCACGTTAAAAAGGGAAACTTCCTATTTGCCCTCTGAAGGTTTGCAGAAAATGAATGGACAAAACATAAATTAATAGAAGAAAGAGGCAAAAAAAAATTCTGTAAAATGTAGGGGAAAAATCACAGGGTCTCACTCAGTTGCCCAGCATGAAGTGCAGTGGTGTGATCATGGCTCCTTGCAACCTTGAATTCTCAAGCACAAGTGATTCTCCCCTCTAAGCCTATGGAGTAGCTGGGATCACAGGGGCATGCCACCATGCCCACATACATAGGTATTTGCTGGAGAGGAGATGGAGACTCTCTGTCCTGGATGTGAGACAGGTGGCTGGCATCTGGGTAAGGATGACATTCCCTCATTGCTAAAGAGTAAAAGAGAAAAGTGTCATGGATAGTGCAAGCAGGGACATGCCCTGACCTAGTGAGGTCCAGAGGCTTATATTGTCCTTCATAGGGGAGTGGGAAGAAGCGAGTGTAGGCAACCCAGGGGAAATAAATGACCTAAAATAAAAGAAATAGATCATCAGAAGTGTAGATGTATTAGTCAGGGTTCTCTAGACTGACAGAATTAAAGGACTATATACATATATATATGAAGGGGAGTGAGATGGTTAATAATGAGTGTCAACTTGATAGGATTGAGGGATATGAAGTATTGATCCAGGGTGTGTCTGTGAGAGTGTTGCCAAAAGAGATTAACATTTGAGTCAGTGGGCTGGGGAAGGCAGACCCACCCTTAATCTGGTGGGCACAATCTAATCTGCTGCCAGCAAATATAAAGCAGGCAGAAAAATTTGAAAAGGAGAGACTGGCCTAGCTTCCCAGCCTACATCTTTCTCCCATGCTGGTTTCTTCCTGCCCTCAAACATTGGACCCCATGGCTCTCCTTTCTCATCAGTTTGCAGACAGCCCATTGTGTAACTTATGATCCTGTAAGTTAATAAACTCCCCTTTATAAATAAATATATATATGTGTGTGTGTGTGTGCATATATATGTATGTGTGTGCGTATGTATATATATATGTATATATCCTGTTAGTTCTGTCCCTCTAGATGTCACTGGCTAATACAGGAAGTTTATTAAGTATTAACTCACACAATCACCAAGTCTCACAATAGGCCATCTGCTGGATGAGGAGCAAAAAGAGCCAGCCAGAGTTCCAAAACTGAAGAACTTGGAGTCCATGTTCGAGGGCAAGAAGCATCCAGCATGGGAGAAAGATGTAGGCTGGGAGGTGAGGCCCGTCTCTTTTCACATTTTTCTGCCTGCTTATAGTATGGCTGGGTTGGCAGCTGATTGGATTGTGCCCACAAAGATTAAGGGTGGGTCTGCCTTTCCCAGCCCACTGACTCACATGTTAATTTTTTTTGGCAACACCCTCACAGACACACCCAGGATGAATACTTTACATCCTTCAATCCAATCAAGTTGACACTCGTTATTAACCATCACAAGCCCACCCCTTGTGAACTTGAACCCACACACATCTCCTGAGATCATACATAATCTTAAAATACAGACAATAGTAAGGTCATAATTACCCCTAACATAATAAACTATCCTTCCTACAACTGGAAATGCACCCATCCCCAACCCAAATACTCTTACATAAAGTAAACAATACTTAAATGCTGATATGAGGTCAGCAAATCTATGTCACCTGATAAAGAAAAGGGAAATGAAATGAAGATATTTTCTTAGTACAAGTGCATACATGCACAAACATGTTTCTAACAAAAGAAGGAAATACTCATGATAGTTCCAGTCCTCATTTCTGCAGCTGGTCAGGTGTTTGTAGCTGGTATTGATAACTACTTTCTTCCACTATTCATTCTGTATTCCCTTTGCCTTCAGCAAGCACCTCAGAAGGTCGTGACCCGGAGAGGATCTGGACCGTTTGTAGTCCTACCTGGATTGGGTATAGTTTCCCATTTACCTTAATCAGAGTGCATGATAATACCAAGAGACGCCCTAATGGATCTCCTATATTCCATGCATACTCTTCCTCACTTCCATTGTGGAGTAGCGGACTGACTTCATCTTGATAGTCTGGGTCAATCACTGCCACCAACACTGTAACTCCATTCTTAGCTTGTTGACTTAAAGGTAGGAGGACCCCAAAGCATCCAAGTGGCCATCTTAACTTCCAGTTTAATGGAATTGTTATTGTGTCTCCTGGTAGCAGCGTTCTTCCCTCTGGAGTTAAGATGACTAGTAAAGCAGAACCTAATGTCGTGGGAACAGAAAGCAAACATTTTGCTAGTGCATCATAGTGAGTGGTTCCACTTTCACATCCACCCCTTGAATCCTGGATCTGTGAATCCTGGCTATGGGAGAAACAATACCATACATTGGGCGCTGATTCAGAGCACACATGGTCTTCTGGAGTATGGTGCCCCGGCCCGGCAAAGTATTGCAACCTAGTTGATGTTGTAATCGCGACCTCAAAAGGCCGTCCCACCATTCTATCAATCCAGCTGCTTCAGGAAGATGGGGAATATGGTAAGACCAGTGAATTCCGTGAGCATGAGCCCACTGCCTCACTTCTTTACCTGTAAAGTGAGTGCTTGGTCAAAGGTAATGCTGTGTGGAATACCGTGATAGTGGATAAGGCATTCCTTGAGTCCATAAATGGTAGTCTTGGCAGAAGCATTGCATGCAGGTAGGCAAACCCATATCCTGAGTAAGTGCCTGTTCCAATGAGGACAAACCTCTCTCCTTTCCATGGTGGAAGAGTTCCAATATGATCAACCTGCTACCGGGTAGCTGGTCGATCACCCCAGGAAATGATGCCATACAAAGGGTTCACTGTTAGTCTCTGCTGCTGCTGCTGGCAAATTGGGCACTCAGCAGTGGCCACAGACAGTTCAGCCTTGGTGAGTGGAAGTCCACATTGCTGAATCCATGCATAACCTCCATCCCTGCCACCATGGCCACTATGTTCATGGGCTTATTGGACAATGACAGGGGTGTCTGAGGAAAGAGGCTGAGTGGTATCCACAGAACGGGTCATCTTATCCACTTGATTATCAAAATCCTCCTCTGCTGAAGTCACTTGTTGGTCAACACTCACACAGGGTACAAATATCTTCAGTTTTTGACCACTCAGAGAGGTCCATCTACATACTCTTTCTCCAAGTTTCTTTGTCACCAATTTTCCAATCATGCTTCTTCCAAGTCCCTGACCATCCAGCCAAACCATTGGCTACAGCCCATGAATCAGTATATAACCGCACATCTGGAAATTTCTCCTTCCATGCAAAGTGCACAATCAGGTGCACTGCTCAATGTTCTGCCCACTGGGAAGATTGTCCTTCACCACTGTCCTTCAGGGATGTCCTAGAAAGGGGCTGTAGTGCTTCAGCTGTCCACTTTTGGGCAGTACCTGCCTATTGTGGAGAACCATCTGTGAACCAGGCCCTAGTCCTCCCTTCCTGTGTCAACTGCTCAAAGGCAAGTCCCCATGAGGTCATCAGTGCAGGCCATGGGAGAGAAGGCAGGGTGGCAAGAGTAGAGACCGTGGGCATTTGAGCCACTTCCTCATGTAACTTACTTGTGCCCCCCAGGACCTGCTTGAGCCCAATCACTTATACACCATTTCCATTTGATGATGGAATGCTGCTGTGCATGACCCACTTTATGGCTACATGAGTCAGAAAGCACCCAGTTCACGATAGGCAGTTCAGGTCGCATGGTGACTTGTTGACTCATAGTCAAATGTTCAGTTTCCACAAAAGCCCAGTATAGGACAAGAGCTGTCTCTCAAAAGGAGAGTAGTTAACTGGAGAAGATGACCGGTCCTTGCTGCAAAATACTAGAGGCCTCCACCATGATTCACCTATGGAGGCTTGCCAAAGCCTCAAAGCAGCATTCCTATCTGCCATGGACACCTCAGGGGGACCCAGCCTCCCCTTCATTCAAGGGGTTCTGGGTCTGTAAACTGGCTCAAGGCTGGAAATTGATTGAGGGGCCATGAATCTCTGTTTTTATGATTCCAGTTAGTCTTTTATCTGTTTGACCTTAAGTTTCCTCCTTACATAAATTAAGTAGGAATGCATTAGTCTTCCTGTCAGTTTCACTTCCAGGAACACTGTGATTAGTTAGCCAATGCCAGAGCTCTACGTGAGTCAGACTGTTCAGATTGCTGCTTTGTCTTTTCTGCCCATTACGGTAGCTACGCCCACCGTGCCTTTGAGGGTTGAGTGCTACCACTTGGCCCCTGCCACTTCAGGATCCAATTATTCCAAATTGTATTTAACTTTTGTAACTGAGTGACTGCAGTTCTCACCATTAGATCTGACATACAGAGAAGAGCCTTTACAGGGCTCTTCAAAGATGCAGGTGCTGTCCTCACAAATCTATTTTGCAAGGTGTTTGTCAAGGGTATTAGGTACAGAGTCACTAAACTCCTTGCCTCTCATGAGCGATGATTCATTAGTGTCAAATGAATTTGTTTTGCATAGCTCTTTAAACCTTTCATGCCAAGAACTGTCAATATTCTCTACACTATTAAAAGTAGAGTCCTTAGCATTTTGGGATCTAATCATATTTAGCAGCCAAATCCAGAAACCCCAAAACCAACAAAAGAACTCCAGCCTTAATATTCTGATCCTGCAGAACCATTCCTGGTACCAAAATCTGTATTAATGAGGGTTCTCTAGAGGGACAGAACTAATAAGTTCAATATATATATATATATATGGGTTTATTACATATTAACTTACAGGATCACAAGGTCCCACAGTAGGCTGTCTGCAGGCATGAGGAGTGAGGAGTAAGGAGAGCTAGCTCGAGCCTCAAAACTAAAGAACTTGGAGTCCGATGTTCAAGGGTAGGAAGCATCCAGCACGGGAGAGAGATGTAGGCTGGGAGGCTGGGCCAGACTCAATTTTTCACTTTTTTCTGCCTGCTTTATATTCACTGGCAGCTGATTAAATGGTGCCCATAGATTAAGTAGGGGGTCTGCCTTCCCCAGACTACTGACTCAAATATTAATCTCCTTTGGCAACACCCTCACAGACACACCCAGGAGCAATGCTTACATCCTTCAATGTAATCAAGTTGACAATCAGTATTAACTATCACAGGATTACAGACCTGAGCCATCACACACAGTGTTATTGTATATTTCATACAATATAAAATATTCCTGATTTTCCCATTTTATCTGTGACTTAATAAAGTTTTTCAGCTATGACCCCAAACTGGTAATACTTGAAAGCACATTCAAATGTATTTTGCAACAATTCATAACTGGCAAAATGTTGAGCCTTGTGGAAAGAGTCACCTTACTTCCCCGTCAGCTGTCAATTCCCCATCATTACTATCACTTCCGGGAGCACATTTTCCAAAACTCCTTTTCTCTCTATGGTTTCTTTAGAGTTGCTCCATGAGGTTACAATAAGTTACAACTAATTACTGTCATGAGATTGGGAAGTCAGAGTGGTGGATTCATGTACACTGACACCTGAAGTAAAACACATGCAGTTAGGTGTGGACTGGAGAATCACCTGGAGATGTGCTGCAGGCAGCTGAGAGCATCAGCACCCCCAGCCCTGGGCTTCCCAGACAGGACTGAGGATCATCACACGGTGTTCAGCACATACCACCAGGGGCAGGTGCATCCTGGCTTCTGAAGTAGCACCTGAGAATCCCCTGTGTCTAGTACCTGCTTCATGAATAACACTCCATAGGCTTCGGAAAGACTGTGGTTTAGACTCTAATTTATTCAACTTGAATAATTTCTCCTTGAAATACTGAGAATAGCTTCTCTTTTGCTGTACAAATTCCGATTATCCCATAACACAGACTCCTCAGCTGGACTTATCTCTCTTCTTTATTCAGTCAGGACAGGCATTGTCACGTCTTTTCTGCTGGGGATGAGGGCGAAAGAGGCTTAGGGTTCAGAGGAACCTCCCTGGCCTCCTCTAGGAAAATCTCCCGATGACTTTCCAAACCTGACTGAGTTTGAGAACTTCCCTCAGCAGATAGAGGCACCAGAAGGAGCATTGGGGCAGCCCAGCCTCACACATCTGCTTCCTTGGGGTTTATGTTATGACTTGTAACACTGTGGGAGGGTTACTGTCACTCTGTTGACAGTAATAGGTTGCAAAATCTTCAGGCTGCAGGCTGCTGATGGTGAGAGTGTAATCTGTCCCAGATCCACTGTCACTGAACCGAGAGGGAATCCCACTTTGCAGACTGGATGCAGCATAGATCAGGAGCTTAGGAGTTTTCCTTGGTTTCTGCTGATACCAATTTAAATTATTGCTAATGCCCTGACTCGCCCGGCAAGTGATGGTGACTCTGCCTCCTACAGATGCAGACAGGGAGGATGGAGACTGGGTCATCTGGATGTCACATCTGACACCTGAAGTTAGAAACATAAAAACAGATATTCTTGCAATTAATCATGTTATCAGAGGACTTCCCTGAAGTTCCAGACAGTACTGAGCACACTGACCGAGTATAATCCTAGTGTTCTCCTTCCTTACCTGGCAGCCAGAGCCCCAGGAGCCCCAGGAGCCCCAGGAGCTGAGTGGGGGCCCTCACGTCCGTGCTGTGTCCTGACTGGGGCTGACTCCTGCACCGGGTGTGGCCAGCCTATAAGAAGTCTTCAGGGCAGGGGGCTGTGCTCTAGGAACAGGCAAATCAGCAGGGGATGGGGCAGGCTGAGCACAGCTGCAGGGCTGGCTCATCTCAGTAACTCAGCACACGGGCGCAGTATCCCCAGAGTCCCAGGTCAGACCAGGGCAGCACAGATTTACCTTGAAAGAGTACACTTCTCATTGGTGGCCATATGGTTACAGAACATATTTTTGGAGTGAATTTTCAAAATTTTAAATCAACCTAAGACTAGATTAAATAATATATTTATACTTGTATTAAGAGTGTATAGGAAAGCATCATTTTTGGCAGAAAATTTACAATAAAGTTATAGAGTGTGGGGCTGTCAGAAATTTCAGTTAGTCTCAAAGGAATTTGATGAGTGTAAAAGTATTTAGTGCTATAATAACAATGTCTCTGTCAGTGTGAAATTGCTTCTTTTTTGAAATGAATATAAAAAGAATTTATCAGAAGCATCTTTAATAAATTCAATAGAATTTACTAACAAACTTAAGACATTGTTCCTAGGAGTAAAAGGAAAAACAATTCTCTGAAGATGCACAAAGATGATAATGTGTCACGCATAGATCTGCCATTATCCAGAGCTATGGGTCTCTTTAAGACCTAGGGGCTAAATGGGCTGCACCTTATTCTTGGCGTGATGATCCCCATATTCTATCCCCTTTCCTGCCTTTGGTATAATTTCTTATGTTTCTCCAGCATGGAGAGCTGACTAGTAATACCAGGTCTCATTATTTCAAAATCTCTGTTTCACTCGCGGACTATAGGAGCCAGGATTAAAATCAACTTGAAGCCCTCTATCAATCTAGGCTCAAATAATCAATTGTTTCAAAGTAGGATGACAAAGGCCACATCCCCTGAGTAATGCTCTGAGCTGCGCTCCCCACCAGCCTGTTCCTGGGGTCTCAGGAGCATCTGCCCTAGAGTCTGGCTTTCTGGAGAGCAGGTGAGGGGGGAAAAGCCAGGTCAGTGAACCTCTCTGCTTAGCGAGGACAGCTGCTGCCCAATGCATGTTCTTGCCATGCACCAGGGCATCATCCTGACCCAGATGCCAGCCACCCTGTCTCACATCCATTTAGAGAGAATCTCCATCTTCTGCCAAGACACTGCCCATGTAGATGAAAAAGTATTTTGCCTCCAAACATATCTTAAGCACTGATTTGAACCTCAATACTTCACACAGATGCCTTTGCCCAGGGCGTGTCGGCCTGGCTCAACAGCAGGGGAAGTGGAGCCAATTACATCAGTGTCAGTGGACTGAGAAATACTCCAGGGAGTAGTTCTCATGCACGACTACCAGTGGCCAGACCAAGGTAGTGCAGCCTGTGCACAAACCTCCTGCTGCTTTTCCAGAGAACTGGATTTCTGGGAAATGGCTACTGAACAGGCTGCCAGGATCCATATATCCAGATTCAGAGAGATACATCTCTGGATTCAAATGCGCTTTTTCTTTGTGCATAATTTTAGCAGTCATTGTTACTACGCCTTGGGGATTCTAGTCATTATACTTCAGCTGACTCTCTATGGCCCTTTCTCCCCTTCACTGCTCTGTCTGAACCTGGGGAAGCAGCTCAGGCTGCAAATGAGGCAGACCTCATGGCCTGGAATTAGCATCCCCTAGGACGGCTGTCAATCAGTGATGACAAGGGAGGTGTACACATCCCGCAGCTCCCTCACCTCTCAGGTGGAATAACAGAGGCATTTTTCCTGTGTTTCTATGTGGGCTTGAGCTGTCGTCATCCTCAGAGGTGGCTCCTTCTGAGGCACCTTTCACTTTCCCTTTCCCTCCTCCCCTCCCTTGCTCATTTGCTTGTTTCCCGCACTTTGTAAATATACTGCCTGCATGCGAATCTTTGGCATCCTTCTCACTGAGGGGACCCAACCTAATGCATTGGAAAAATCCTCATTCTTGGAGGGCATCGTTGGTTTGAATTATTGCCACTTCTCATGCTTTAATGCATAGGGAAATTCCAAAAATTTAGGAAATCTTTAAATTCCCTTTGCCAATCTTTCTTAGATTTGATTTTAGCAGAGATTCATTTTCTCTAGGTCACAAAATCACAGAAGCCTTCCACAAATGGCTACACAACATAGAGTCCACATAGAGCAGAGACTCAGAATCTCCCAGGATTTGACATCCACACATCAGACAGTCCTAGATTCTCAGGTTTTTTCTAGGTCGATCGCCTCGTAAATCTGCCTTGTGATATTTTTATTCTACCTTAGGGGAAGACCATTGTGTGGATGATGAGGGTTGTTTGTGGAATGAATAATACACCCACTAAAGACATCATTGTCCTAATATCTGGAATCTATGATCATTACTTATGAATATGTCAAAAATAACTTGGCAGACATGGTTGAGAATTTGGGGGTCAGGAGAGTATCCTGAATGATCTGGGTGAGACCATCATAATCACAAGGGTCCTTATAATAGGGAGGGAGGAAGGTAACAGCCAGAGAGGACCTGGGACAACGGACAGGGAAACTGGAGTGATGGAGGAAGGGGCCATGCTGCTAGGAATGTGGGAACATCAGAAAGATGGAATGCTCGATATTGGATTCTCTCTCTTGAAGCCTAGAATGAATAGAGCCCTATTACTCCTTGATTTTACTTCATTGAGACTTCTGACCTCCAGAAATGTAAGATAATACACTTGTGTTATGGGGAGCAGTAAGGTTGTGGTAATTTGTTACGGCAGCAACAGGAAACCAATGCAAGGGGAAGGGGTGTGTTTTACTTCCCTAGTGTATCACTGTCCTCTGTTCTCCCAAATAGTTCTGTGTTTTTGTGTTTGCTGTCAATTTCAACAAGAGACAGAAAACATTTTTCTATGAGGAGAGCTAGCACCACAATTCTTCTTACGTAGAAAGTGTCTTGAGTAATTCTCTGGGTTAGGTCTTGTACAATCTTGGTATCTGAGAGCCTGGAGGTCATCCCTCACAGCACATGAGAAGAGGAAGGGGATGTGGGTTTGCTGTTTTAACATTTGTAGGGCAAATTAGATGTACAAGACCCATTATTATTATTATTATTATTATTATTGTTCTTTAAGTTCTAGGGTACATGTGCACAACGTGCAGGTTTGTTACATATGTATACATGAGCCATGTTGGTGTGCTGCACCCATTAACTCATCATTTACATTAGATGTACCTCCTAATCCTATCCCTCCCCCCCCCACACCCCACCCCACGACAGGCCCTGGTGTGTGATGTTCCCCTTCCTGTGTCCATGTGTTCTCATTGTTCAATTCCCACCTGTGAGTGAGAACATGCAGTGATTGGTTTCTTTGTCCTTGCGATAGTTTGCTGAGAATGATGGTTTCCAGCTTCATCCATGTCCCTACAAAGGACATGAACTCATCCTTTTTTATGGCTGCAAGCGAAGACTGAGTCAGAGAGATGGGGATGGCAGAGGAGACAAAATGTGGTCAGGGCCGTGTAAGATGTGACCCTGCTGCCATATCTGAAAGAAAGGCTGTTGGTGTTTGTAAAGGCTTTGGGCAAATTGTGCTTTGTAGACAAAACTGTAGAAGGGTCTGGGTTTAAGCTTAGTGTCAGCGTGATGAGGAGTAGAGGTCGCAGTGAGCTTGTGTTAAGAAATCCACCCTGCACTTCTGGCTTTGTCTCTTTTCTGGTTTTATAGGTGGTGGGTTCCTCTATGGAATGAACGTGGCTCTGTGGAAGGAACATAGTTAAGGTCAGATAGACCTAGATTCCAAGTTCAGCTTCAACAACTGCTGACCAAGTGACTTTTATGCAAATCAGCCATGTGCTGTCATGAACAGTTTCCTCATGTGTGAAATGGGGCACTGAGGATGTGAAGGGGTGTCCTGAGGGTTCTGCCAGCTGATGCACCATGAAGTGTACATACATGTATAGACAGACACACACACATACATGAGAAGAGTATCTAGTGCCCCTTTTATGCATTCTTGAGTAACTCAGAATGTTATGTGAGATATTAACAGTCATATGTCATTTTCAACTAAAATTATCAATATTTATCTTATAACTAACAGATGCTTCTCTGTACACTGTAGGTTTCATGTACATTTCTTCATTCACAAAATTTTTCACCAATCTATTTACGTCTAGTATCAGAAAGTTAAGCAAGGAGATTGCAAACCAACACAACACCTTTAGTCTGGATTTTCCCGGAGCCCCATTTGTGTTAGTGTCCTCGGGCTACTGTAACAAGTTCTCAAAAATGTGGTAGCTTCAAACAACAGGAATGGAATCTCTCATAGTTCAGAAGTCCAGATCAGTTTCACTGGGCTAAGATCTTGGAGTCATCAGTTCTGGCTCCTTCTGAAGCTCTAGGGAGCAGTCTGATTTAGCTCTTCCAGCTTCTGGTGGCTTCTCTCTCCCGGGATGTGGACACATCACTGCAATCTCTGTCTCTGTGTTCACACTGCCTTCTCCACTTCAGTCTATGCTAAATGTCTCTCTACCTCTTGTTTTTATTAGGACACTTGAGTTTGCATTTAAGTCCCAGTTGATTAATCTAAGACCATCTCCCTGTTTCAAGCTCCTTAATTTACACCTGCAAAAGCTGTTTTCCCAAATGAGATACATGCATAGTCTTCTTGGAATGAAACCTCACTATTTGGGGATGATACTCATTACTACACCATTACATAACCAGGTCTCAGTGTTAGTCCTGTACATACATCACAATCTCTCTCTCTCTCTCTCTCTCTCTCTCTCTCTCTCTCTCTCTCTCCACACACCCTGGCTTCCTCCTTTTCTCAATGTCATAAATCTCTTCAATTCCTTAAGTGTATCCTGTGATACCTATAAACAAATAAGTATCTGAGAAAAGTCTCAATCAGTTTAGAAATTTATTTGGTCAAAGTTAAAGAAATATCAGTGAAACAGCCTCAGGAGGTCTTGAGAACGTGTGTCAAAGGTCGTCGGGCTACAGGTTGGTTTTACACGTTTTAAGGAGACATAAGATATCAATCAATACGTGTAAGCTGTACATTGCTTTGATATTGAAAGGCAGGACAGCCCGAAGGAGGGGGGATATTGGGGACTTCCAGGTCATAGGTGGATTCAAAGATTTCATAGGTGGTTGAAAGAGTTTATCTAATGACCTGTAATCAACACAAGGGAGTTTCTGGGTTTAGAAAAAGGGTTTTGGAGCCAAGGTTGCATCATGCAGATGAAGCCTCCAGGTAGCAGGCTTCAGAGAGAATAGATTGTAATTGTTTCTTAGTAGACTTAAAAGGTGCCAAACTCTTAGTTAAATCTCTCTGGGTCAGGAAAGAGACTTAAAAAGGAATCTCTACAGAATTTAGATTTCTCCCACAAAAACCAGCTTTGCAGAGGCATTTTTAAATACATTAAATAACAATATCTTGGGGAAAATACTTTGATTTCTCTTAGGACGTGGTATCTGTCACATTGGTATCTTATTGCTATAAAGAGTTTTCTTTGTCAGTCTCAAGGTCTCTGTCTTCATATTAAAAGCTGGTCAGTTCTGCCTGAATTTTAAAGGGAAGAGGGTAAGTTAAGGCATGTCCAATCATCCGTTCCGATCATGGACTGTATTGTATTTCAGGTTGATTTTGGTGTGTCCTTGGCTGAGAGGAGGAGTTCATTCAGTTGGTTAGGGAGCTTAGAGTTTCATTTTTGGTTTACACACCTATGTCCAGGTAAGAGGGCCCCACACAGGAGGGCTTGCTCAGAACCTGGCTTGCAGGGCTGCTTACAGACCTTCTATGTCTCCTGTTGTCATGCACAAGGAAGGACACAGCCAATGACAAAACTCAGCCATCCGGGGAGAAGCTGTGTCTGCAGAGTACGGTCATGAGCTGTGAGTCTAGAGACCTGTGATTGTCTTCAGGGGCCTGTGGTCCTCGGCTTTCATAGGAGTTGTGGGGGCATGGCTCAAATAGCATCCACCAGGATTCCAATCAGAATATCTCATTCACAGAAGGCAGTGGGTGATATGACAGCACAGAGGGACTCCGTGGGTCCAGCTGCATGGAGCACTCTGGGAGAGTCACTGGCACCCGTGCTAGACAGAGCTTCATTCAACTTCTGGAGCACACGGATTTAGATCTCTTTACATCATTTTGAAAGACCATTTATCATTCTGAAGGAAACCACTGTAATTAACTAAGGTAACATCTTTAATAGGTAGAAAGAAAAAAGTGACTATTTTATTGCCAAGATGATGACAAGAAAAGAAACAAAAATAGCATGAAGGAAAGAGCAACACTAGACTGAGGGCTTTGGGTAAGAGGTTGAGACTTAGTAGTGAATGCCCTGGGCCATCTTCTGTCAAAAGGGAGGGACAATCAGCAAAGGGAAATATGCAGTAGAGGCAAAATCTTGGTTAGTAAAAGAATCCTAAGAGAAAACAAGAAGTCTCCTTCCTGAGCATCATGTTGGTGTCAGGAAGATGCACATAATCCCCCCATTGCATGTCTTACACTTTTCAGCAATTAGGGCTCAGCATGAATTTAGAAGACACCATTCACTTCACAGCAGATGGGGACACAGTCAAGGCAGTGGTGAGAGGCAAGGCTGGGCTTTCAGTCTCAGAGCACAGAGCAGGTTCCCCACTACTCCGCACCCTGGTGTCTCCCCCCAGATGTTCCACCTCATTCTTGCCTTAAGGGCTCCAAGTTGTTAATGGGACAGTAGCCCTCTTCCTTTCCCAGGGTTTCTAAGAATTTGGCTCTCTTTTGTGTATTGCGGGGTTTGTTTGCCATCTAGAGGCAGGTTTTTGGCATAGCAACTTATAGGCTTTTTCTACTTGTGATAGCGAAAATAAATACATAAATAAATTCATCATAAATAATAAATGGACTTAATGCATTCAATCTGTAAAAAAATATAAGGTCAGTTTGAGAGCTTAAAAGGAGCCTGATGAGGTTAAAAAGACAAATTACCTTTAGTAAAGAGCAGTTGGAGCAATAGATGATTCTTTAATCAATGACATTTTAGGAGTAACTATCAAATGGTAAATAAAACTTGAAATAAGATGATAAACTATAATTTTATATGCAAAAAAAATATTTCCAAGAACCATACAAATACATTTTCAGATTAAAACAAAAAATGTGGGTTTATCATCATATCCGCTAAATGGAAGATTTCTCAAATGTGTGCTTGGAGCAAAAATAACACTTATCCCTATTTGAAAGTTCAAGATTTTTGAGCTTTCGAAGAAAACAGCTTTCCCTTCACTCTGTTCCACTCACGCTTCTGAGGATGGCCATGGGGCAAAAAGCCACGGGGGCGGGGGGCAAAAAGCCGCGGCGCCTGGGGTGCAAAAAGCCGCCGCGGGCAAATAACCGCGGCAGGGGGCGGGGGGGCGTGGGGCGCAAAAAGCCGCCATAGCGGGGGAGCAAAAAGCCGCGGCGGCGGGGGTGAAAAAGCCGCGGCAGCGGGGGTGGGCAAAAAGCCGCGGCGGCGGGGGGTAAAAAGCCGCGGCGGGCAGAAAGGCGCGGCGGCGGGGCAAAAAGCCGCGGCGGCGGGCGGCAAAAAGTCGTGGCGGCGGGGGTGCAAAAAGCCGCGGCAGGCAAATAACCGCGGCACCCGGGGCGCCAAAAAGTTGCGGAGGGCAAAAAGCCGGGGCAGGCATAAACCCGAGGCGGCGGGGAGACAAAAAACCGCGGTGGGCAAAAAGCCGCGGCGGCGGGGGGCAAAAAGCCGTGGCAGCGAGGGGCAAAAAGCCGGGTCGGGCAAAAAGCCAGGTCGGGCAAAAAGCCGCGGTGGTGGGGGGCAATAAGCCGCGTCGGCGGGGGGGGGGGGCAAAAAGCCGTGGCGGGCAAAAAGCCGCGGCAGGTAAAAAGCCGTGGCGGGCAAAAAGCCGCGGCAGGTAAAAAGCCGCGGCTTTTGGCGGGGGTGCAAAAAGCCGCGGCGGCGGGGGCACAAAAAGCTGCGGAGGCAAAAAGCCGCGGCGGGCAAAAACCCGAGGCGGCGGGCGGGGGGGCAAAAAACCGCAGTGGGGAAAAAGCCGCGGCGGCAGGGGGCGAAAAGCCGAGGCGCGCAAAAAGCCGCGATGGTGGGGGGGCAAAAAGCCGCGGCGATGGGGGGCAAAACGCCGCGGCAGCGGGGGACAAAAATCCGTGGCGCGGAAAAAGCCGCGGTGGCGGGGGTGCAAAAAGTCGCGACGTGCAAATAACCGCGGCACCGGGGGGGTGGGGGTGTGGGGGGGTGCAAAAAGCCGCGGCTGTCAAATAACCGCGGAACCGGGCGGGGGCCGCGGCGGTGGGGGGGGCAAAAAGCCGGGTCGAGCAAAAAGCCGCGGCGGCGGCGGGGGGGGGGTGGGGGGCAAAAAGCCGGGTCGGGCAAAAAGCCGCGGCGGCAGGGAACTAAAAGCCGTGGCGGGCATAAACCCGAGGCGGCGGGTGGGGGCAAAAAACCGCGGTGGGGAAAAAGCCGCGGCGGCGGGGGAAAAGCCGAGGTGGTGCTTGGGGCAAAAAGCCGCGGCGGCGAAGGGCAAAAGAGCCGCTGTGATGAGGGTCAAAAAGCCGCGGCGACGCGGGGCAAAATAGTGGAGATGGGGTAGAAGGCCGGCACAGCTTGGCTTTGCTGGAGTGTGATGTGATAGGAAATGTGCAGCCAAAGACAAAAAAAGATGTAAGTAGGCTTGACTCATTGCAGCCAAGAACCCAGATGTTATCTTGAGGGTTTTAACTAATAAGCAGTTTAAATCAGAATGGCACATTCTGATTTGTTTTTTGTATATTCACATTTGGCAGGCATAGATACCGTTCGAAGAGAAAAATGTCAGTAGATAGAGGTAACAAACTTAAATATGTGCCGAGTCTAGAAACAAGAGACTAGGGGGATAAGGACCTTTTGAAATAAAATGCGAGATTTGAAAACTGATTGGGGGATGAGGAAAAGGCAGGTCTTTAAGGTCAATCCCTGTTTTGCTTTAAGTTGTTAGGGGGTGGTTTTATCACATATTGTAGAATACGTCATTTCAGTTTTGAACATCTTGAGTTAAATCGTCCTAACATAGCTTATGAATTTGATTTTCTTCCCTGGGAAGCTAATATTTCAAAAACTGAAAGAGTATATAGATTTCCAACTTGTATCCAATTTATAAAACTATCTCTAGGCTGCTGATTTCAGGAGGAGGCTCATGAATATTCTATTTGCAGAGAATATATCAGGAGTTAACATCAGCGTCAATATTTGTGGACGACCAGTTAACTAAGCCACCTCTTAGTGTATTTAGATGGGAAATCTTAGCTGAAGATATTCAATAATGAACCAACAGTGACTAAAAAATGCAATATTTAAGTATATTTCATTGTAATTAATTTGAATTGAAGTAGCCCTATACAGCTAGTATTTACTACATTGAACAATGCAAATAAGAGGAAAAAATAACCATCTCTAATACCACATGCCAAAATCCTCATCAATTTATTCTAGCTGAAGGAGTTGATCAGAAGCAGCAGTTGAAAGCATCAATTAAACCAGCTGGGGTTAGTTCACTGTCATTCTCTCAGAACCATCTCTTCTCTGAACAAAACAAGTACAAGAGTTCATTGTAAATCTGCATTTTCCTTGCCTATTTTAAGGTTTTGATGTTGACACTAATTTGTGAAATCCCTCCTGTGGTGTGATATTTCATTTTCCTTGCTTTTTGTTAGGACAAGAATGCTTCAGCTCTTAATTTAAAATTATGTTTCTCCCTCCTAGGTTGAGTGAACTTAGAATGCATTCTCTGACATATCCAAGTTTTTGTTAATATAAATTTGGGGAACAAAGCATACTTAATTAGCTAAGACTTCTTATTCTAGGCTTGACCCTGTGTTCGACATCTATTGAATTTGTAGTTGCATGGGCTGCTCTCTGACACTGGTTACTGACCTGGAAGCTATATTAACGTTAGGGGAGGTGGTGTATGAGCATTAGAGGTATCCTTGCAAGGAAAGACTTGTCTTAACTCAATACGTCTTTTTTTTTGCACACAAGAAAGTCAGTGTTTGAGTCTTCTAAAATCTTCCTATTTCCAAGTTGCAGAGTACCATTGATTCCTAAACAAAGACCTAATTTTTGACTCAGAGACGTGGCAAGGTAGTGAATCACCATTATAATTTAACAATCTTCAAGATAAAATTATCTCTCTGATATTTAGATTTTGCCCAATTATTAAGATATTTGGGTGTTTCGTTAAGAATGGAAGACTCTAGTCTCTTGAGCAGAGACTATAAAGGCCTCAGATGATCATTTTTACTTTTATGCTCTTTTCTTTAACACCTTCAACACAGTTGGAAGCAGCCGATATTCCCCAGAGTTGTTGTGTTTTTTAAACCAAATGCATGGTTCAGTGGTAGAAAACTGGGCTGATCCAAGCTGTTTTCAGGAAACACTTCATTTCAGGTGACCTATTTCATATTAAATAATCTCTAGATCCTGTCTTCAAAACTAGATCAGATAACCTACCCTGGATTTTCTCCTTTTAGGGTCTGTGAGCTGCAGACACTTTTGTGAAAATGATTGCAATGAAAAGATAGAGTTGTAGATGGGGAAAATGTTTTGACTAATTTAAGCATAGTGGTATTTCATATGAGAATTTAAGTTACACACATTTGAAAATTATAATGGAGTCTCTTGGCTGAGCTTTAAAAAAAAATAGCGTTTAGGCTAAACGGGGAACTGCTACCTCTCCTAAAATCAGAAAGATGTTACAGTAATTCTCCATTCTCTAGAATTATCAGGAAGCACCTTTGTGATGATTTACTTTTGTTCTTGGGAGTGTGAGCCCGTGTAGTCTTGGAACCATCAATTAGAATGATGGCTTTCTGATCCCAAAGTCATTCGTTCTGAAAACAATATTTTTCATAAATTTGAAAGTGAGAAGTTTTGATCTTGCCATTCCCAAGTAACTCTCTTAATAAGAGGCATCAGCATGCTTCAGTGTCACTTTCCAGTGCTGAGAGTCATCTTTGAGTTCTCCATTTGACTCCCTACACTCCAATTTAGCTGCAGTTCTCTTGGCTAGTCCTATGAAATACATCCATGGCCTAATGACTTCTCACCACTACTACCACTCATCCTGACAGCATTCTCACCTAAGTCACTACCTTTTTTCTCTGGATTAGAGTAGCCTCCCAATTTATTTGCTCACAAAACCTATTTATTCTACACGGTGCACAAGATACACCCCTTTGAAATGCAAACACAATCATGTTATTCTCTGGTTAAGTTATCTCATATATTCCTATCGCATTTAAAATTAATTCAGAATAATCCCCTGATTATCAAAACCCTACATGCTCTTCCACAATATGGTTTACTTCCAAGATATCTCTTCAACTTTTTTTTCACTGTACTGAATTGGTGACTAATAATCATATTTTTGTTTTTGCACAAAAAGTCTTGACTTGTAAATTTTTCAGTTTCTCCTTTATCCACAGGTAACTCTTTCCTCATAAGGCGAATTGCTTGTTTCCTTGAGTTCTGCTCTCAAAGATACCCTTCATTTTCTACCTAATATTAATAACTTCAATCATTATTCCATTACTATGCTCTATAGTGTATACAATTTCTGTTCTTTGTCATGTTATTAACTAAATTATTTATTTGTTCCAGTAACGTATTCCATAAATATTGTACACATAAAAATTATGTTATTTTTATTGCTGTATGCTCAGCTGCCCAATAACAGTCTGAGGATTAACATATTTGTTAAATGCACAAATACGTTCTTTCACAAATATTAGTTTAATAATTTTATATTAAACTCCCTCTATACTTACAGTATGAATTAGATAATTGAGAATAAACATTCCAGTGGAAAAAACTAAACAATTTGTTGTAAAACATCCTTAAAAGCATCAGAAAGTTAATACAGCAATGAAGAATTACAGGACCAAATTAAGAATGGTATGGAAGCCTGTTTGTGAGGCTTATGTTTGGGTTATCTCTTTACTTAGAGAGACTATAAATCTCAAAAGAGGATTAAATGGAGAAATAACCATATCAACTCACATGGTAAGGGTATTCAAACATCTCTTAGTAATGGAGAAAATTGAAAGAAAAGGAAAAAGAGAAAGGGAGAAAGAGAAACAGAGCGAAAGGGATAATGAAGGAGAGAAAGAAGAAGAGAAAGGAAGAGGAAGAAAAGTAAAAAGGAGGAGGAAGAGGGAGGAAGGTGAAAAGAAAGAATGCTAAAGTTTTCAACAACATAATTTATCCTTCTAGAATATGAACGTTGGTCTATTTGATGATGTCCCACAGATTCCTTAGTCTCTGCTCATTTTTTATCTGTTTCTCAGAGTCAATATTTTCCATTTTCTTATCTTCAAGCTCATGACTTCCTCTGTGTGTGCAAATATACTCTTAAATCCCTCTGGTGATTTTTAAATTTTTATCATTGTAGTTTTCCACTCCAGAATTTCTGCTATCTCTGTTGATATTCCTACTTTTTAATATTTTTTCTGAATCCTTTATTTCTTTGTTTATGCTTTCCTTGCGACATTTGAGTATAATTAAGAGAGTTGTTTTAAAGTCTTTGTCTGGTAAGTTTGAAGTCTGGGTTTCCTTAGAAATATTTTCTGTCAGTTTGTTTTGTTCCTTTGAATGAGCCATACTTTCCCGTTCTTTGTATGCCTTGTAACTTTTTTTGAAAACTGGGCATTATAATAATTATAATTACTATGTGGTTACTCTGTAAATCAGACCCTCCCCTACAAACACAGTAATGTTTTGGGGTTTTAAATTTTCTTTACTTATTATATTGTTAAGGATTTTTTTTTTAGTGAAATTTTCCAAAGTGATTTACAAAACTGTTTGCTTTATAAGGTGTGGTCACCGAAGTCTTTTTGTTTCCTTAACAAATGTTAAGCTAATGTTTTGACAGTGATTTTCTTGTATGTCAGGAAGTAAGCAAAGAGGCAAATACAACAAAAACAAAAAGAAAAACAAGTAATCATTGTCCAGCAAAATATGCTTCTAGGCCATGCAGACTGGCTTTGTGCTGGGTTCTTTAAAGCCGGCACAAAGTGTGTGTTCACTCTTGCACTGAGTGAAGTTCAAGTTCACTCTTGCACAGAGCTTGCACTGAGGGGAGGGATCGGCCAAGGTAAAAGTGTAGGGTCTTCTTATGACATTTGTCAGCATGTGGCTTAACCTATGCATACATGTGACTTTCTAGACTCTCCCATGTACGTGAATAATTTTGAATGTCTTAGTTTTCCAAATACTCTTCTCCAACTTTTCTTCCTGTGCTGAAGGTGATCTACTATATGTGTAAACTCTAATTTTTGCCCTAAGCATCTGTGGTTTGTTAGGTCTCCTTGCAGAGTTCCTTGATAATGTCCATTCCTTATCTGTTCTGTATTCTAGCAACACAGAAAAACAAAAGCCTTTCATGAGTCCTTTAGGTATCCCCCAGACCAGTCAGAACAGACACATAGTAATTTGCGGGTAAGATCTTCTCTTGTTCCTTTGGACCATAGACCAGTGTTCCTCACTGGGAACGTGGGCTTCTGACACTTCAAAACTGCCAATTTGCTGGGGCAAAGGCAAGCTAAAAATGTCATAAAGTTTTCAAGTTGTCTTTTTCTTGAGTCTGCTTTCACTCGGTTGTTGTAATCTTTTGACTGTTTTCCAGAGTTTTGGCAAAGTTTATTTGGACAGTTTCTCTTAGTTGTGTGATGTTTCTGTGGGGAAATGAAAGATTGCAGCTGTCTCCACTGCCATTTTGCTGATGCTCCTCTTTTGTCAATTTTTGCTTCATGTTATTATGCTTTGTTATTAGTTCATGTATTAGTTTCCTAGGGCTGCCATAACCAAGTAACACAAACTGGGTGCCATGAACAACATACATTTATAGTCTTATAGTCCTGGAAGCTAAAAGTCTGAGATTGAGGGGTCAGCAGGGATGGTCCCTTCAAGGGCTATGAGAGAAAGCCTGTTCTGTGCCTTGTTTCTCGCTTCTGATGGTTTAGTGGCAGTCTTTGGCATTCCTTGGCTAATCTCTGTCCTCATAATCACATGGTACTCTCCCTGTGTGTATGTCTCCCTCTACTCAAATCTCTTCTTTTAATAAGGACATCAGTCATATTGAATTCAGGCTCATCTGATTGTATCTTAACTTGATCAGCTGCAAAGAACCTATTTTCCTAATGAGGTCATATTCAGTGGTTAGAATTTCAGCATCTATATAAAGGAAACAATTTAGCTCATATCTGTGCATACATGATTGTAATAGCTATGTCTTCCTAAAGCGTTGACCCCCGTTTTACTACAATATAATTTTTAAAATTCTATTCACATTTTTAATAGTCTATGTTGTGTGTTATGAGTATAATGAGTTCAGTGTTCTTATGATTGCTCTTTGCATGATATTTTTTGTCATCTTTTTACTTTCAATCCATTAGTATCCTTGCATCTCAGCGTATATTGGGATCACTTGTTTTAATCCAGTCTGACTATCTCTGCCTCTGGAATGGATTTTAATCTGCTCACATTTAAGATTATAATTGGTATAATTCTATTTATGTCTGCCATTTTACCGTTTGTTTTATATATTTCTCAAATATTTTTCTTTATTGCTTTATTTTGCAATGAAAGAATATTTTCTAAAATAGGGAACTTTAGATTACTAATGAATTATTTTATTATATATTTTTGAGAATTTTTGTTGTTGTTGTAAGTTTACCATATAGGTATATGGAAAATTAATTATTCAAATCATCTTCCAATTTATACTAGTAAACTTCTGGTAATACATAGAAACATCATTCTTATATAAATCTCTTTTATTTCCTCCATTTTAAAGTATTATCACTTTACACATTACATCTATTAAAGTTACAAAGCCAACAATACATTTTAGTAATTATTACTTTACCATCTAGAGTGATTACCTTATCACAATACATTTTTCTTCCAACTACCTCCTTTTTGATGTTACTGGAAAATATGTTATAGACGTATTACATTTCTACATGTCAAAAACTCAGCAATACATTATACACATATTATTATTATTATCATTGAGACGGAGTCTCCCTCTGTCACCCAGGCTGGAGTGCAGTGGCACAATCTCCGCATACTGCAAGCTCCATTTCCCGGCTTCATGCCATTTTTCTGCTTCAGCCTCCCGAGTAGCTGGGACTACAGGCGCCCGCCATCACGCCCGGCTCATTTTTTGTATTTTTAGTAGAAACGGGGTTTCACTGTGTTAGCCAGGATGGTCTCGATCTCCTGGCCTTGTAATACGCCCGCCTTGGCCTCCCAAAGTGCTCAGATTACAGGTGTGAGCCATCGTGCCCGGCTATTATACACATGTTATTTAATAAACAATTTATGATAAAGAGAAAAAATGCATTTTTACTGTCTTTTATAATGTCAATGTTACCTATACCAGTACTTTTTTAAAAATGTGGATTCAAGTGACTGTCTTCTGTGACTTGCTTTTAGCCTTAGGAATTTATTTTAGCGTTTTTTTTAATGTGGTAGGTCTGCCAGCAACAACTTCAGTTAATATTTCTGTTTATCTGGGTAAGTCTTTGTGTTATCTTCATTTTTGAAAAATAATTGCTGGATAAGGAATTCGTGGCCGAGAGTTTTTTTTCCTTTGCATCTTTTGAATATATTATTCTACTGCCTCTTGCCTTCCATTGTTTCTCTTAAGTCAGCTGTTAATCTTACAAAACATAGGTGCTCAAAAAATAAACATGTGCATGAATATTTACAGCAGTAATATTCATACAGTCAAAAAGTGGAAACAATCCATACGCTTGTTGACTCATAAATGGACACCTAATTTTCAGCTATAACAAAGAATGAAGTACTTATATATGTTATAATATGGGTGAAATTTGAAAGCATTATGTTAAGTGCACAAAAGGACAAATATTACTTGATTTTATTCACATGAAACATCAGGAATTGGCAAATCAATTGGGATATAAATTAGATTAGTGGTCGTTAGGGCTCAGGGAAGCAGAATAGGGTGTAACAACTTTATGCATAATGGGTTTTTGGAAGGGACATGATGAAATTGCCCTGGAACATTGTGAATATACTAAAAGCAAGTGCATTGTATGCTTTAAAATGGTTGTTATTAATTTTATATTATGTGATTTTTACCTTAAAAAAGAAAATAGCCTTACTCTATACATAATAAACTCAAGATATGTTACAAATGTACATGTGAAATCCAAAATATTATAATATTTAAGGAATAGCTAAGTAGAATAACATTGAAATTTAACATAATGAAACATTTCCTTAAAAAAGAAAAAAGCACAGTAATTAAAAAGGGAAATATATTTAATATTTTTTCTCTCCATTAAGCATGCCATTAACTGAGTAACAAATCAAGCTGCAATTATGTAAACTACATTTTCTAAAACCATAAAGAAAAGAAGAAATAAAAAGGTATTTGGGAAAAAAATCCAAAGGTACAGTCAACTACACAAAAAAAGCTTAGTCTCATTAATCATTATGAAAATGCAAATGGTAACTGAAAGAAGATAAAACTACAATTCAAAGAGAAAGCCTAACATTTCAACCCCCCAAAAAGTCTGGGTTTTGGAGATCTGGGATGGAATAGGGTTCCTAACCTGACAACAATGAAAGAACCAAACTAACTTCAAAGTCATGACTTTATTTTTAGAGCAACCAGGTTGCCAAGAACTGAGTCAAAATGTGAGGGAAAACAAGCACCTGCAAGGAGAAAGAGGACAGATGCACTTACATAGGACAGATGCAAATAGACACCACTATGACAAGTAAAGCTGGAATAATCAATAAATTCCTAAAGACAAAGTGGGGCTGGTGAGATTGGGAGACCGCTGACAGTTGCAGAAGTTGGGAAAGATCCATCATCTTGAAAACTTTTTCCCCACAAACCCACTGTGATCTCTCAAGCAATTGGTAAGGAATCCAAGAGAGTCTGTATATGACACAGATCAGGGAGAGCAGAACACTTGGGAGGTGACCAGGTCTTGGGGGCCGAGCCCTTATGAATGGGATTAGTGCCTTTATAAAAGAAGCTCAATGGAGTTCTTGTGTGACTTCCACTGTGTGAGGACATAGAAAGAAGGCACCATCTATGATCCATGAAATGGGCTCTCATCAACACTGAATTTGTGAGCATCTTGACCTGAGATCTTACAGCCTCAAGAAGTGTGAAAAAAGAAATATCTGTTGTTTTTGAGTCACCCAGTTTATGTTATTTTGTTATAAGGGTCCAAATAGACCAAGATATTCCACTTAATATGTAGGGGAAGGCAACAAAAACTGCCACACTTAGAATACTCCTGATGCTGGGAGTATGAAAACAGGAAAAACAAAACAAAACTGCTCTTAAAGGTGAAGGAGGAATATCACTGAGCTCACCAACACAGCCAGGAAAAGAACAGAAGTGTGAGAAGGCTACATTCCTGAGACCCTGAGAAAATGTACCTGCATAAGACTGAGATGAAATTGCCTACTCTAGTTATGATTGAAATCCCAAAAAGAAAAGAGGAAAAAATAATGGAGCAAAAGAAATATATTTCAAAATAACTGCCAAAAATATTCTAAAAGAAGTGACAGAAAATCAAACTTCAGATATAGGAAACTCAGAGAATGTCAAATAGAACAAAAAGAAATAAGAATTCCATCTTGAAAAATCTTTAAAAAATCAAGTCGAAATTTTATATCTTGCTCCAAATATATAGAGATATAAATAGGTTATCATCAAGATATGGAGAAAGCCATATCATGGAAACACTAAAATAAGGCTGTGGAAGGACTACATTGATATTAGACACAACAGAGTTCGGAACAAGAAATAGTATCAGAGATGAGAGATAATAGATAATAGAATAATCAATTCTCAAGAAGATGTAAACATCCTACTAATTAGGGTATGCAGCTAACAACAGAGCCTCCAAATACGTGAGGTAAAACATGAAAGAATCAAAGGTGAACTAGAAAAATCCAAAATTATATTTGCAGACTTCAACACTTTTGTCTTAGTAATGGAAAGACTAGGCACAAACTCAGTAATCATGTGGAAGATAAGAACAACAATATCACCAACAAGACATCCAATCTTCAATGGCAGCTACTCTTTCCTTTCAAGTGAAAAAAAAACAGTATGGCATATTCTCTAACAAACACAGAATTTCTAATGTTTGCGGTCTTCCTTCTTTCCATCTTCCTTTGTCTTCTCTTCCCTTCCCTTGCCTTCTTCCTTCCTTTCTTCTTTTCCTCTTCCTTTTCTTTTCTTTTTTCTTTTCCTTTCTTTCTTTTCTTTTTTCTCCTTCCTTCTTTCCTTCTTTCTTTCTTTCCTCTTATTCTTCCTTCCCTCCTCCCTCCCTTCCTTTCTCCCTCCCTTTTCTTCCTTCTTTTCTCGTATTCTTTCTTTCTTTCTCACGTTCTTGTTTTCTTTCCTTTTTTCTCCCTTCCTCCCGCCCTCCTTTTCTTCCTTCCTCCCTCCCTTCCTTTCCTCTTTTTCCTTCCTTCCTTCGCCTCTTTATTTTCTTTGTTTCTTTGCCTTCCTCCCTTTTACCATTCTCTCTTCCTCCTTTTCTTCCTCCCTTCCTCCTTTCTTTCTTTCTCTCTTTCTCTCTTTCTTTCTGTTTCTTTCTTTCTTTTCTTTCCTTCCCTCTTTCTTTCTTGTGTTCATGTTTTCTTTTTTCTCCCTTCCTGCCTTTCTCCCTCCCTCCCTTCCTTCCCTCATCTCCTCCTTCTTTTCTTTCTTCTTTCTTTATTTCCTTCCTCTTTTTCTTTCTTTGTTTTCTTTTCTTTCTCTTTACTACAATTCATATTATTTTTAAAAAATTAAGAGAGGGAGACAGAAAAATAAAGAACGCTTTAATCTGCAGGTAAATAGATTATGTCTGCTGCAGGCAAAAGAATGGCCTCCCCAAAATTTTCATGTCCTAATTCCCAGAGTCTAACATACAAATATGTTAGGTTGCACGGCAGTGTGAAATTAGATTTCAAGTGAAATTAAGGTTGCGGAAAAATGATAGAGAGATTGTCTTAAATGGGTGGGATCAATGAAATCACAAACTTCCTTATAAGTGAAAGAAGAAGACAGAAGAAATGCAACCTTGGAGGTGGTGGCATGAGAAATTACTCAACATCACTGACTTTTAAGATACAAGAATGAGGACCCAGCGCGGTGGCTCACGCCTAATCCCAGCACTTTGGGAGGCTGGGGTGGGTGGACCACGAGGTCAGGAGATCGAGACCATCCTGCGTAACATGGTGAAACCCCATCCCTACTAAAAATACAAAAAATTAACTGGGCATGGTGGCAAGTGCCTGTAGTCCAAGCTACTCATGAAGCTGAGGCAGAAGAATCACTTGAACCCGGGAGGCAGAGGTTGCAGTGAGCTGAGATCATGCCACCGCACTCCAGCCTGGGTGACAGAAGGAGACTCCATCTCAAAAAAAAAAAAAAAAGAAAAATAGGATATAAGAATGAGGTCATGTTCCAAGGAATAAAGGTGGCCTCTGGATGCTGAAAAAAATCAAGTAATAGATTCTGCCACATAGCCCTCAGAAAGACTGCAGCCCTGCCCAAAACTTGATGTTAGCCCTGTGAGTTTCATTCAAGTCTTCTGAACTACAGAACTGTAGGATTAACGGTCACTTTATTGTAAGATATGAAGTTTGTGGTAATTGGTTACAGCAGCAAGAGGAAGTTTATATTGTAATTGTATCATGAAAATGAGAACCATAATTTACAACTGCTTTTAATACTGCACTTGGATGTTTGAAATCACGTACGTGGAAATGATCTCTATGTGCATGAGGGAGGATAGCAAATTGATGCCAAAATAATGCAAATGCAAATCTTACACACATTTCTATGTAGGTTTCATTTAATCTTTGAAATTAAAATGAAATTAAAAGACTGTGATATTTTGATGAAATTAGACTAAAATGAACAATAACAAAATAAGAACTCACTTATATTCTTTATATGGTCAATAAAGAAGTGATAGTGGAAAAAAACAAGATCAAATGAAGGTGATGATTTAGGAAGCTGGAAAGATAGCTGAAACTACAAAATGGTATATAACCAGTGAACACTTAGACACACTGATTGATGAACTTCAGCTTTAGCTTGGTGAGAGCATAAAATGAGAGCAGCTGAGGTTTGCAAATTTGTAATCTCCTTGTGGAAAAACAGGGGAAAACACATCTCAGCCTAATAAGATTTATCTACTAAGGAGTCTAGACTTGGTCCATTTGTCCTTGTAATTCAAAAGCTAATTCAAATACTGATTTGATGTATTGTGTGAACAACCATTGCTGATTATCATCGCATATCTGGCATTCTCTTTTATCTGATATCTAAAATATTTGGTAATCCCTGGACTTTCTCTTTTCAAACCCAGTACGGTTTAATTTGAGTCTTAGAACAGTTGTCTTTGAGAAATTCTTCCCTCTACTGCATCTGTGAATGGGCATAGCATGGTTACATACATACTGTCACTCCATAGAACATTTGTTAAATTAAAGCCAAAGTTTAAAGCAACAGCTTTAACTCACTGGTTTTACTAATGTTTTCCTCCCCAATAGCCACAACAATATTGATACCCTCACACCTTTTAACATAAAGCTTGGTGTTGTCTATTTTTCAGGTGTTGTCGTCTATATGATCTCAGTATTTTAAAAATCAGCTTCCGGCCCATATGGTGGTTCATGCTTGTAATACCAGCAGTTGAAGAGGCTGAAATGAGAGGATTCCTTGAGCCCAGGAGTTCAAAAGCAACCTGGGCAACATAGCAAGACCCAGTCTCTATCAAAAGTTAAAAAAATAAAAAGTGGGCATGGTGGTGTGCACCTGTTGTCCTAGCTATTTGGGAGGCCAAGGTGGAAGGATTGCTTGAGCTTGGGAGGTTGAGGCTGCAGTGAGCAGTGATTGCACCACTGCACTCCAGCCTGGGCAAAAAACCAAGACCCTATCTCAAAAAATATATATAATAAAAATAAAAATCAGCTCTCATTGATTTCTATGTAAATATGCACAGGTGATGTCCATATAGACATAAATAATAATATTTCTGACAATGGGTCCATATGATCTTCAACATGTAAAATGCTTATCTGTGTAATTGACTGGTTAGTCTCATTAATGAATGTAGATTCAATTCTACTTTCTTGTTCTAGATAAATTATATAATCTAGCTTTTCATTTCACTTATTTACTGATAACAAGAGGAAGAATGACAAGATATCTATTTTGGAAAATTACTCTGGTAGGAGTAAAGATGAAACAATGATAGAATTGCACAGAAAACTAGAAAAAAGTATGGTCTTCTGATATTCTATCACATCACATACTAAAGGCCTCATAAAACTCAGATATTTTATCTAAAAATGTTATTTTCATCATAGGAATGATCAAAGCATGAGACTACAATTGTATTAAAATGTGCTTGTATCACAAGCACTGGTGCTAAAAAGGAGGGGAAAACATCATTACTGATATTTTCAATGTATGTTTTACTTTTCATCAACATGAACCTCAACTTGATATGATGCAAATTGAAGGAAATCACCCATAATTCCATATGAAAAAGGCCTGTGATATTTTATGGGAAAATAAACAGAGAAAATGCTAACAGAAACCCTATTAAGCATGAAGCTTTATGGAGCAAACACAAATCCAGTGGTGAAAGATACACACTCGAGTTCTCTTTGTTGTCTTGGAACAATACGGTTTAGAGGTGACTGGCGGGTGAGGAGAACATATGCGAGTTCACCAAAGAGAAAAGCTGAATGAGGCAATGCCTCTTCCTGACCATATCTCTTACTCAGATAACTATATAATTTATTGTCCAGTAAAGGGAATATTAAAAAATCATATTAAAAGTCATGCAGTGAAGTTGTCCAGGGAAATCAAGACTTAACAGTCTCACTCTGACAATAATGAACAGGGGGATTCCCTCAAGATAGACTAGGACATGACCCCACACTGGCAGATAGTAGTATCAGAAAAGAACCCATGGAAAATCTTTACCTTATGCTTGAGGTAGGGACCAGGCTAAAGTGAAAGCCAGACATAAAATTCTATCTAAAATAAATCCACAATCGAAGAAAATATGTGGTGTACAGGCATAGAATGTCTTTACTGGATCATTGAAATAGTAAGATAAATTCAACTTTTTACATTGTTTTCTTTTCCTCCAGTTAGGGCTTGAGGTTTGTCTCTGGAGAGTGACTGTGAATTGGAGCCCTGCCTTTCTGGGGTTCTGGTCAGGGGGTTGTGGATGCTTAACATGTGCCTTTCACAGGACACTTCCTTACCCCAGCAGTGGCCAGATGTGCATCCCACGACCAAGCCTCCCTCTCACAGAACATCTGTTGAGACTAGGAGATGCCTGGTGACTGTTGCCTGACCTGTGTCCTGTGTATTTCTGACAAGAGCCACTCTCAGAGACCCTGGCCAGGAGGAGAGTTAGGTTCCAGTGTAGGTCAGCTCAGACCCATGGAGGCCACAGAACCAAACATGGGAAATCACAGAAGTAGGTTTATTACTCACAGATCCAGAGAGAAGAGGGTAGCTGAGAAGAGGGCTTAGCTGTGTCCCCAGCCAAATCTCATCTTGAATTCCCACATGTTGTGGGAGGGAACAGGTGGGAGGTAATTGAATCATGGGGGCAGGTCTTTCCCATGCTGTTCTTCTGATAGTGAATAAGTCTCACAAGATCTGATGGTTTTATAAAGGGGAGTTTCCCTGCACAAGCTCTCTTGTCTTGTCTGCTGCCATGTGAGACGTGCCTTTCACCTTGCACCATGATTGTGAGGCCTACCCAGCCATGTGGAACTGTGCGTCTATTAAAACTCTTTCTTCTGGAAATTACACAGTCTTGGGCATGTCTTTACCAGCAGTGTGAAAACGGACTAATACAGTAGCACACCTCATAGGGCTGAACAAAATGGGGAAGATGAGTGGGGAGCAGGAGAGAGAAAAGGGGTCTGTGGGACTCCAGCCTTTATTCGGCCCAGAACATTACCCAAATAAGTTTTCCACGGGGCACTAGTCTGTGGGGTGAGTGCCAGCAGGCACATTTCTTGACTCCCGCTGCAACCGAGCAGGTCACTCTGGCGTGTGGGGGCTGTCCATGTGCGCTGTGAGGTCTGTGGGGTGAGTCAGGTAGGTTGTATCCAACGGTTCCATAGCTGGTAGTCACCAGGAGGAGGCAACTGTGTAGGGTCAATATCTAGGCCAGCCACACTGAGGAACTGTGAGGGTTAGAATTGGAAATTGTCAAGGGAATCTGAACCCAGCTACCATATGAGAGAGTTCAACTTATGTTCAATGTGAATGCCATGGCAATATTAAAAGGTAAGAATTCGCTCCATACGTGCTTGAGGTAAATAGGAGAAACCTAGAATTTATGTAAACAGTGAGAAGATTGGATGCGTTTTCCGTCACATATTTTAATACTAGCAGCATATTATATATGTCAATCCATCAGGCATTCAGAAATACATGCTTATGAAAATTTTTTGCACCATCAGACAAAAGACAAGGGTAGAAGACATTTGTTACCCTATAAACACTAGTAAATTAAAAACAGAAGAACCTTTATGTCCTAACATATCTGTGTTGTGAAAGGCTGCCCTGCGAAATACGGGATATCTTAAACATATTTTAAAAATCATAGGTGTCAATATTTTTTAGAAATCCATTTAAATTTTCTCTTGCTATTTTACAATGCCTATTTATTTATTTAGTGGTTCTGCTGATTTTGATGTATATCCTAAACTTTACATTTTCTTTAAAGGATATTTTATACAACTTTATGTAAAAGTTTCAGTATCTTCACATTCTCTCCCTGTCCTTTTGTTTTGGTCTTATATGGTGGTCTTGAGTCTTTTCTCTGGCTTTTCAAACCTAGTAAGACTAAGAAACTAAAGTAACTTTGCCCGTGGTTTGGTAATGCCTTCCAAAGCACATCCTAAGCTCTCGTGCATACAGGGGTCTCCTTTGAGCTCTGTGCTTTTGAGATCCCATATACCTAAATTCCAGTACTCCAAATCAGTACTGCTCAGTTTTAGTTACTAAGTTTAAAAATGTATTTCAATAGCAAGTTACTTTAGTGCACTCTTGCTTCTTTCTTGACTGCTTGTATACATGTATATTCCTTTAAATGAATCCTGGAATTTATTTAAAAATTTTAAATTATACTAATGAAACTGTATATTGTTGTGAATTCATAAGTGAATTTGGAAATAATTTATCTTTATGATACTAAATCCTTTTTATCCAAGAATAATATGTGTCTTTATATTTATTCCAGTCTATATTTATATCACTGAGTAAATATATAGAAATGTAGATACATACAGCTGTAGTTATAGATACAAATATAGATATAACATGTTAAATCTATATCTATCCCATATAACATATATACATGCTATATATGTGTGTATATATATATATGTTTATGTTATTAAAGAGCTCCCTTAAAATTTTTCTTTTATTTCCTATATAATTTTAGGTCGAGCTTGAATTTTCCTTGTACAAACAAGCAAATATTTATACTAGTTTTAATACTGATGTTTAGACATTGTATCTTATTTTAGCATTGAATATTTTCACAATTATCATAAATATTATCTAATATTAATAATGTACCTGTTAAAAATATTTAAAATTTTACCTTTGAATTATTTTATTGTTGAATTAAAATTCCTTTAATATGATAGTAAATTTCTATTTTATGCTTTCTCTATGCATATGCAAATTAATCTACCCACTTCTCTATCTCTATATAGTAACATATGAAAATCAGGCCTCTCTTCTTCTAATGGACATACACACGTTTGCATATAGAATATCAGACTCTTTACAGCATTTAAAATCTTTACAGACATGAATATTGCCTTTTAACAAATATATTCTAGCATGTACTGAGAATCCCCTATTTATTTTTAATTTGGGCTAATCAATATTATTATTAATATTATTGGATTACCAAATTTGGAAACACACTTTCATCCCCAAGGTGGATATTTGTTTTATTTTTTTTTTGCCAATTTCTTGTCTTACTGTTTCAAACATTGTTGGATATTATTTTTATTTTATTTGGCATTTTAGTATCAACATTTGTAATTGATGTACTCTACATATTTTTTCTTCAATATCTAGTGGGTTTTATAATTACTGCTACATTGGATTTGTAGTAGACATTGACAAAAATTATTCCTGTATGTTTTATAGCTGTATGAAGGAAACTAATATATTTTACCCCTAAATATATTTCCTTGATATATTTCAAAATGGCTATTGAGAAGGGCTGGGAATGCAAACTTAGCTGCAAAGCTGTCTTGGGGAGATTTGCATCGGTAGAGAATCTGCCTTGATGCAGCCAGGCTTTCTCTGAGGTCTGCCCCCTTGTCTGGATCTAGGAAAGGTTAACTGAGCATCGGAGGTCTCCAAAGGTCTGAAAGAAACATTTTCTGTCTATTCTTTCTGAGGACTGCTCCCAGTGAGGTTTCACCTATGTAAAAAGTCCACTGTTGCTAGCCAGGGTCGTTTTCTCACATAACCTTTTTTTTTTTTCCTGTGATCCAAGACCCCATTCTTTCTGTAAACTTCATGTGGTAGATAAGCTTCTGCACGCATCGTGTGTCTGGGTCTTCGTTCTAATGGCTCCAGTGTACACACATTGCAGAAACCTGTATGCCTTTTCTACTATTTATCTGCCTCCTATTAGTGATTTTCAGGGAAACTTCAGAAGGCAAAAGGGACATTCTCCTTTAGCCCATTCTCAGACAAAATCCCCCAACATTTAACTGATTCCTAATAGCTTAAAATCACTCTGACAAATCCATATATTTATAACCTTTTCTTCCCTCTATGATTTCTGGTCAGCTTGGGTTTTGTTTTTCATTCCATTTACTTCATCCTCGAAAAGATCTATTTTACGTCTATTTATTCTCATTTATGGACATTGAGAAAAGAAAATAACTTTCATGTGAGAAATGCAAGTCCTTTTAAATAATCAGGCCCAGAGAGATATTCAAATGAGACAGCAGTTCTGTCCTGCTCCTCTTTGAGCTGTGTGTTCATCTAGGCTGCTTGCTGTTGCCACAGTAGCTATTAATTAACCAATAACGCCACACCAGATAGTATAATCCACACCCAATAATAGTGTAACAGTGTATAGCCAGTCACTAATAAATGCTATTTCCATAAGCCAATGAGAATTTGTGACAAACCTCTTTGCATCATCCCACTTCTGGACCCTTTTTTGCCTTTAAGAAACTGCTTGTTGCAAAGCTCCAAAGGGAGTTCATATCCAAGGATACTTGGGTCTGTTTCTTCCAGGCAGCTGTCCTCATTTTGGCTTAAGTAAACTCTTTGAATTACGTTTTGTGCTTCAGCCCCTTCCACTTAGATTAACAACATGGATTTGTGTCACCATGTACGGCAATTAAAATGTTCACACTTTTCCCCCCGAGGGCACTGATGTGTTTTCCTGAGCACTTGGAATAGCTACGTAGTGTTTACTGTCTAGATTATGGTTTCTCAACCTTGGTGCTACTTACCTTTAGGACCAGAGGATTCTTTGCTGTGGGAGGCTGCCCTAGCAATGCTAGGTGTTTCGTTTGACCTCTAAATTTCACACCTCCACCAGTCTTGACATCCCCACAATAACACTAGACATTGACAAATGTCTCCTGGGGAAAACTCTCCACCAGTTGACAGGCAAAGTTCTGGAAATATTGGAATTGTCAATTGAGATTTTATGTTATCCAAAACAAGTATTTTTCTTTGTTTTCAAACATCTACTTCCATCTACTTATCTATTTATTTTTTACTTTTATTTGTAACTTAATTCCATCAAGGAGAGAGAGTTCATTTTCTGTTATGCTAAATTTTTGAAGAATGTATTGATTTTTTATGACATGATATATGGATGATATGTAGATATTACATGTTTGTATTATCAAATTTCAGGGTGATAATAAAATAAATACTTATAATATTTATATTGTCACTGTATATTAGTTATTTTCTTCCTTCACTACAGGAGTTTTTCAACCTATAGGCTATTTTTCAATTCTAAGTTATCCAATAGATTTTGAAACGTTATGATTAAATATCTACTTCTCAAGCATTCATCTTTGCAAATGAAACAATCCCAAGCTCTTATAATGCACATCATATAAAGGGCAGATTAGTCAATATATGGTTCAGAAATAATTATGTAATATTTATAAGAATATTAAAAATTTAGATCCTTAACTCAGATAAGAATAATCCAAATTAAAATTTGATTTTATTACATAATTTAAAATGACACCAGAATACTAGTAAAAATGTAGATAAGTTTATATAATCTTTTTTAGCTGTAGGACTTTATTAGCATAAATTCAAATACAGGAACCAAAGTAAGATTGAGACCTATAGTCAAAGGTTAAAATGTACACATTATAGGGGCATGATTAAACTAATTTAAAGCATGATAACATGGAGAAATATTGCAAAACATACATTTTACTGAATTAATTGTTAATATCTAATCATTATGTGAGAACAAAATTAAAGAGTAGCTACACACGCACACACCCACACACAAGTGCAATATTGTCAAATAAACGATGTTCAGCTACACTAGAAATCACACCTGTGTTTCCTCCACAAAAAAGATTAAAAATCACAATAATATTTATTGTATATATGGAGGTAAAGATACTGAAAATATTACCCTAAAATACATTGTTTTTTGAGATGGAGTTTTGCTTTTATTGCCCAGGCTAGAGTGCAATGGCACAATCTTGGCCCACTGCAACCTCAGCCTCCCAGGGTCAAGTAATTCTCCTAGCTCAGCCTCCCAAGTAGCTGAGATTACAGGCATGCACCACCACACTCGGCTAATTTTTTGTATTTAGTAGAGACGGGGTTTCACCACGTTGGTCAGGCTGGTCTCCAACTCCTGACTTCAGGTGATCTACCCACTTCAGCCTCCCAAAGTGCTGGGATTACAGGCGTGCGCCTGGGCAGCTTTTTGACATATTTCAAGATGGCTGCTCGGAAGACTGGAGATAGCTTCTTCTACAAGAATAGCTGAAAAGCTGTGTTTGTTGGGGAGATTTGCATTTGTAGAGAAAATCTGCATTGATATAGACAGTCTTTTCCTGAGATACTCCCTTGTGTGGGTTTAGGAAAGATTAACTGAGCCTGGCACGTTTACATTTCTAAAAACCATTTCCTATCTATACTTCCCAAGAGGAGGGCTGCTCCCTGTGAGGTTTCATCCATGGAACAAGACCACCTCTGCTACCAGGCTCCTCTTTCTTCCTTGTCATCACCTGTCTTCCGCAAAGCCTGATTTACCAACCTACAGCTCTGTGTTTTCTGTAACCTCAAGACGGCATAGGCGTGTTGACTACCTTGCCTTTCCTGGAGTTTTTATATATATAGTATATATTTGTATATCTATTTATAATATACAAATATGTGTATAGATATATATATTATGTAAACTCCAAGTGCATACTTGTGCACATATCTGTAAACCTTTTTTTCCTGTTAATTTGTACATTTTTGGTTTGTTTTATAGACTCAAATAATTAAAGTTTCAAGGGAAAAATTTAAACTTTCCTATAGAGAAAAGACAAATATATATGTGACAAATAATATTTAGAGTGTAAGACGCTTTTTAAAGGTATATTTGCAATTTGTGTCAAAACATTTAAATATACATTTGTTATTTTAACTATAAAATTTCAAATAATTTAAGCCAAATACATAGTATATGCAGATAATTTAGCAATATATCTATGTAGCACCTTACTGTGCATTACTGTAACCAGCCGTCTAATATAAAGAATTAATTAAGGTAGCAGCTGCTTTTCAAAGAGCGCATTTTTTCACAGACCTATTAAATAAGACAAATAACATTTAAACTTTATTTTTAAATTTGCAGAATAGTAGTTTTCAGCAGATGGTTTATTTTAGCAAATTCCATCTTCACATAGTGCTATGCTTTTATGAGTTCCAGCTGTTAACTGATAATATTTTACTGCTGAAACTATCATGTGTGATATAATTGCTCATTATGTGCCTTAAAACACAAGCAATATAATTATTTTCAACTTGGAGCAAATTAAAATCTTATCAGCAATTTAAAAACTCTAGAGTCGTCTTCTTCTGGTTAATTATTTTAAACTTGTATTTTTCTCTTTATGTTTTTAGTGAGTTGTCTTATCAAGGAGAAGAACTCAAGCTGATTATTCTTTTTTTTCTCTTCCATCCACCTCGCAGGTGTGTTAATAATTTCATTTATCAGAAAATGTTCTTTCATATCCATCTTACAAGATGAGAGACCTTTTAACATCTTCCATTCGGATGTGATACCAGTAATGGAAAATATTCCAGCTTCATGAATATGGTGATACAAATAGTTATCCGTCTAACCTCTTTCAGTGCCAAATGTTTACTTTACTCAGTGAATTACTCAGTTGACTGGTAATTTCTTCTGAAATCACTAATGAGAGGATCAGAGTTCTGGCTGTTGTCTGTACCTCATATGACTCCCAGTGCAGACAATTGTTTCTATGGAGCACAGACAGTTGAAAGGATTGACTTCCTGCCTAGAATAGTTTCTGCTGTGCGTCTTATCCTTCTTGGGGAGATTTCAGATTATCTGAATTGCTTTTCTATCTTAAGAAAAAACGCAACAATTCTCCCCCGGGAGGAATGTAAACTGTAGTAAGTTAGCAGAACCAATCCGTAAAATTTTTACGTTGTTTGTTGCAAAATGCAGCGTTGGTGTCTCCATCACTAACCTTTTCTATCCCTCATTGCTCTTTCTTTGACTGCAATAGGATACCTGTAGGCAAATCTGTATTCCCGAGACAGAGTGCCCTTTTGGTGAGCTATAAGCACACTCAATGGTAGGCTGAAATACTAGCTTTTATCTATGGCGAAATGGAATCATATAAGTGATTTTTTTAAAAAGGAAATTTAACTCTTGCTATTGTTTGAATGCTTGCCCCTTCCAATCTCATGTTAAAATTTGATCCCCAATGTTGCAGGTGGGGCTTACTGGGAGGTGTTTGTTCATGGGGTTGGACCTTCCTGAATGGATAATACCCTCCCTTACAAATCTAAAGCTATCCTCACTCCTCGGTGCCCTCAGGAATGAGTGTACCATTCTTTATTCATGTATAATTCCCCCACCCATCCTTTTTGAGACATTAATTACATGTATGTTACACTGCTGCATGTTGTCTGACGTATCAGTGAGTTTCTGGCTTTCTTATTTTAGTTTACCCTTGTACTTTAGTTTGTAAAGCTTCTATTTTTTTTCTATAAATTTTCTAATGTTAGGGTAAAATCCATGACATTCTATCTCATGGAATTTTTATTTCAAATATTTATTTTTCATCTATACATGTCACATTTTTCATTTTATAACTTCTATTTTTCTGCTATGTTCAATTTTCATTTAAGTACCTTGACATATACATGTATTTATCTATATGTATTTATAAAATATATTTACTTTAAGGACCTTGAAATTTCCTTCTTTTCTGTCATTTATAAATGACTTATTTTTATCCTGTTAATATATATCTTAATTTTATATATCTTATGGCTTCTTTGCATGTCAGAGTTTTTTTGGGGGGGTATTTTGATGTTATGCTATTGAATATCTAGATTTTTATTGGCTACCTTTGAACAGTGTTGTGGCAGGCAGTTCAGTAACTTCAGGATGCGTATTTGTCTGTTGTTGTTTTAAATCTTCTCTTTAAACTTTGTGGAGTTAGTCTAGAGCCATCTGTAATTTGGAGCTAAATGAGCACTGTCACTAGGGCATGAACCTCCAGTGGTCTTTACTGAATATCCTGGAGGTACAGAGGGGATTCCCTTCTCTGATTAGAATTTGGAATATAAAGAGAAAAGAGAAAAATAGAAAGCTATGCAAAAACACGTGCATTAAAATGAATTTTATGTGGGCTTTTTCATGAAAATGTTCCTAAGGTATTTTATTTTTTTATTGTGGTAAAATACACATAACATAAAATGTACTCTGTTAACCATTTTAAGTGTACAGTTCAGTGGTACTAAATATAGTCATAACATTGTGCAGCCGTCCCTACCATCCATCTCCATAATTCGTTTCATCTTGTAAAACTGAAACTCTATACCCATTAAACAATACTTCCCCATTTCTTCCTCCCCCCAGCTTCTGGCAACCATCATTGTACCATCTCTATAATGCTAATCAAGCATAGTGGCTGTTTTTCTTGCTTCCTCTAGTCCGCAGGTAGCATACAAATGTAATAAACTACTTATTCATGTCACATCTATTTATTTTCTGCCTTATACCAAGCTTGTGGGATTCTCTTAAATACAACATTTTTATACTTACACCTATGCAATACCCATTAGCATCGCCTTCCTAAATCAGGGGAAATTGAGCCTCTGTAAGGTGGAGTAACTTCCTAAGATGTAAAACTCAGCATTGAAGTCCGTATACTTCAATATCCCCCCCTCTTCTCATTTGTCTTTACTGCCTTTTATGTATGTGTTAAATGTTCAATAAATTCTCTTTTTTAAACTGAATTGAAGCCGTGGAGCAGTGTTTTGTTGAACAATAAATATGATATAGGACACTCTTCCTCCCTTTCATTTATGATCCTGTTCATGAAAAAGAGAAATTCTTTCATTGTGCTAGAAGCTTAAAATAATGAAAATGCCACTTTCTACATTAAACAGAAACTGAAGGGAATCAAGGTGAATTGCAAGAGACATAGAAAACAAGTGGGAAAGAAATCTAGTATAATTTGCCCTTTGTGTACCTTTATTACTTAGCGTTTGAGTAAATGATTCCCCCAAATATCTTCCCATCTTAATTCATGTCTCTAAAGTAGACATTTATGTCTCACCTTGTCAAGAAGGGCAAACTCTAACATAAACATTTCCCAAAAATGCTTCCTGCTAAAACATAAGCTCAGTGTGGCTAGAAATGCAGCTCACTTCATAAAGATTAATTGGTAGCTAATTTTGCATGCTGTTCTCTGAACTTCAGTGAAACCTGTCCATCAGGCATACAGGGAATGACGGAAAAGGTGACAACAGAAGATGAATGCTATGTCACTAATCTTCAAAGATGACAATGTGCAAATCGGGACAGCCATAGAAGCCACAACCGAAGGCAAGAAAAGATGACTTGACGCCCTGCGAAGGTTACGTTCAGGTGGTTTTTAGAGGAACGTAATCCAGCTTAGAGGAATGTAATCTTTCTAACCATTTTGCAGCGAACGAACAGAAGTTCGTGTTTGCTCTCCAGCGGGATTCAGATGCACACGCCCAGTATGGGCCGCGCAAGGTGGAGTGAGCAGCTGCGGGTCGCTCCCCACTCCCACCTGGCTCTAGGAGGGCCCTGCGGAGTTGGCCAGGGAACTGGGCGTGGGCGATACTAAAAAAACTGGTGAGGTCCCCTCTCCGCCCAAAGGGGCAGCCAGCGATGTCAGCCTAGAGCCCTCCGCCACTGCCTGATACCTCAGCAGCGCCGACGAGGCCGACAGGTGCCCGCCCAGCACCGCGCCCTTGGTGGGAGCGCAGCCGTTGGCGCAGTCCTCCTGATGCTGCTGCTATTGCTGCAAAATTGTCCGAGCAGCAGCGGCGGCGGACACTTGCAGCAAAGGGGCAGCGGTTTGGGGATGCAACAGGCTTGATGGTCGCTGGAGCAGGTGGCAGTAGCTCCACGCGGTCGGGGACAAACTCTGCGCAGCCCCTGTACCCGCTCCCCTGACCCCTTGCATAATACTCTCAATGCTGAAAGAGAAGCATCCGCCTCCCGGTGGCGACGCCAGACCCTTGCCCTCCTCCCAAGGCTGAGGACCAAGTGAGGGCTGCAGCACGGGAAGGGTGCCGGGGTCGCCAGGTCCGCGCCTTCTGCTTTCTTCGGTGCCCCGGCATAGACGCGGGCCGAGAGCAGTAGGTAGCGAAGAGGATGCGGGTGCAGCAGAGCGTAAGGGCGTCTCCCGGGGGCGGTGTTGGGGTAGGCCCCCGGGACTGGCTGCGGCGGGGCAGGGGCCCCAAGCAGAGGGCCTGGGTGGGGGTTGTGCAGGGCGGCGTGTGCAGCAGGTAGAGGGAAGGGGTGGGGCAGGTGGGCTCCCGGGGTCAGTTGGTGGCGCTTGAAACGCTTCCTACGCCGGAGAAAGCTGCCATTGTCGAACATGTCCTGGGAGGCGGGGTCCAGGCTCCAGTAGTTGCCCTTGCCTGGGTGGCCCGGCTCGCGGGGGATCTTAACGAAGCAGTCGTTCAGCGAGAGGTTGTGGCGGATGCTGTTCTGCCAGGCGGGGAACTTGCGGCGGTAGTATGGGAAGCGGCCACTAATGAAGGCGCAGATGCCGCTGAGCGTGAGGCGCTTGTGCGGGTTTTGCAGGATGGCCATGGTGATGAGCGCGATGTACGAGTAGGGGGGCTTTGCCGGCTGCCGGGCATCTTCAGAGGCCGCCGCAGACCTTGGCGGTGCCCTGAACTTGGTGCCAAACTCTGAAGGGTCACTCGGGCCGCCGCCGCCCTCGATGTGCTCTCGGGGAAGCGCAACCCCGCCCCACCGGGCCACCTGCAGCCCCGGCTGGAGCGACTGCTCTAGGAACTGCTGTCTCGCCTCCTCCTCCTCGTCTTCCACCTCGTCTTCATCTTCCTCCTCTCCCAGGACATCGATTTTACCGTCTTCCCCATCGGAGTCCCGGAGGCTGCGCTGCGGTGTGGAGCGAGGGCGCTCAGCTCTTGGCAGGTTCATGGAGGAGCAGGTGCTTCAGTCGCAGGGGATGTGGCGGCCGATCACCTGGCCTGGGGCGGGCTGAGCTGGAAGCCTGGGATGAATGTTGCAAGAAGCAGGAACGCTAGTGGTTACCCTTTGGGATGTTTTCGTCTGCTTGTTTCTACTCCTTTGCAACAACGTCCGGCAAAGATGCCTTTGCCTTTTATAAAAGCTTCTTCAAGACCATGTGTGGTGGACTCCCCCCTTTATAACCCTTCTTCCCCTACCTCGGAGCGGTGCCACTTCCTCCTAACGTAGTCCAGGGATGATGGTCTTCTGGGCAAACACTGTCCGGAGAAAAGCCCAGGCCCCTCCTCCTCGCACCCACCTGCCACCAAGGAAGATGCTCTACTCATCCGGTGCAGCCAGACAGTTGGCAAGCCTTTGCACGGGTTCTGTTAAGGCGCATTTAAACCCGCGCAAATAAAAGCGAGGTAGGAAAGTATGATACTCAACATTCTATGACCACCTCGACATGCAGCCTTCCCTCCTGGAGAAAAGAAATGGTGGGGCAGGAGGCTGAAATGTACACGGTTGTTTGTAAAGGAATGTGTAACCGTAAAAGTATGTTTTTGTGTTTCACAGCTGGTAATCACCCATTTTCATTGGTAGAGTCTGTCCTTACCCAGAATGGTGAGCTGAATTATATTTAAGGTTCTGACAATATTCCCAGGCTTCAGGGGGGTGTTGCTTTGCTCCTTCTACCTTCCTTCCCACCTCCCCAAGATGCTCTCCCTGACTCAAATTTTCAGAAAAGGTCCAAATGTCCCAGCACTAAATTGTGTAAGTTTATTCAGGGAAGGCAGGAGAGCTCACACGGAGTCCTCTGTCCCCTTGTAGCAATGGTTCTCCAATTTCTTTGAATATTTAACCACAGAAATACATTTTATATAACAATCTTACACATACAGACATAATACATAACTAAGATGGGTTTCACGAAACAATATACTTACACTATAGTGATGACTGATATTTCCTTTTAAAAAAAAATGGCCATAACCAACTAAGTTGATTTCACACGTACCAGTATGGGCCCAGTTTGAAAAATCCTGTTCTTACAAAGTGGCCCCACATACAAGAAATGCACCCACTCTATAAGGGCTTCTCTCTCTCCCTTTCCTCCTTCCTTTCTTCATCCTTTATAACCAATTCATTTTTAGAGACAGGGTCTATGTTGAGCAGGCTGGCTTTGAATTCCTGGGCTCAAGTGATCCTCCCGCCTCAGCCTCCTGAGTAGGTGGGACTACAGGCGTGCCACTATGCCTGGCTCTGGCTCTGGCTCTTCATTCTTTTTCTCCTTTTTTTTTTTTTTGAGACGGAGTCGCTCTGTCGCCCAGGCTGGAGTGCAGTGACACAATCTAGGACCACTGCAAGCTCCGCCTCCCGGGTTCACGCCATTCTCCTGTCTCAGCCTCCTGAGTAGTTGGGACTACAGGCGCCCGCCACCACGCCCAGCTAATTTGGTTGGTTATTTATCTGGGACGGAGTCTCGCTCTGTCGCCCAGGCTGGAGTGCAGTGGGGCGATCTCAGCTCACTGCAAGCTCCGCCTCCTGGGTTCACGCCATTCTCCTGCCTCAGCCTCCCAAGTAGATGGGACTACAGGCGCTCGCCACCACGCCTGGCTAATTTTTTGTATTTTTAGTAGAGACGGGGTTCACCGTGTTAGCCAGGATGGTCTCGATGTCCTGACCTCATGATCCGCTTGCCTCAGCCTCCCAAAGTGCTGGGATTACCGGCGTGAGCCGCCGTGCCCGGCCTCTTCATTCTTTCAGAAATGTCAACATTAAGTGCTTTTACTGTAATAAAACTTGGGACTTCAATGAGGCAAGAAGGGGCTGCAGTGTTGCCTTTAAATCAGTGGGTCCTCATTCACTATCTGCACTGGGGAGGGGCAATATGACAGCACAACTGTTCATCTCACTCGCTCCACATCCTTAGAAGTAACGCGATTTTTAGATTGGCTTCATGAAAATTAGCTCAGAGACTAAAGTAGCACTACAGAGGAATAAAAAAAAATATTTGTTATATAAATAAGGCTCTTATTAAAATACTAAGTAAGATACTATGCCACGGTATATATTCATAATTTAAAACCCACCTACTTGGGAAAACTTTGAGGTGCCATCTAATAAAAAATGCAGCATGAAAGAATATTATGCCCTTGATAGTCACATAGTGTCTATAATTATGACAATGAATGTTCAGTGAGAAATCAAACGCCAACTGCAAGGGCAAAATATAATAAAAAATAGCTTAAAGTAGCTAGTGCCTTCAGGATAAAATCTGGAAAAGAGCTTTCTTGCTGATCTTTTTTTGAAACTTTGCTGCTCCTGAAGTTTTTACCCTTTAGGGCTCCTCAGTTTATATGAAGCTTGGAGGACAAATAACAGACAGGTTTGAGCCTAACAGATTTGTTTGAATCCCAAATTTACCAATGACTGCTTGTGTGACCTACTAAACTAAGCTCCAGGAGGGCCAGGCCAGGTGTCTTATTCAACCACATAATCCCAGACGCCTCCTCCCCAGCGCCCCCCAGCATGTGAGGCAAATTTCCTCCATCAGCATAGGAATCGGATGACCTGGGAAAGGGAGTATTGTTAGTTTTCCTAGCGCCAGCTTCAATAGGGATTGGGGTTATTTAAAAATACAAGAGAAAAATAAGGAGGCGCTCAAAAACAAAACACAAAACCCACATTGATGGGGGTATGTCAAAGGGGGGAACAGGAGATAACTGAAAGAGTTCCCAATGGTCAAAGCTGGGAAAATTTGAGCAACAAAATAAAGTAGTATTAAATTGTAACCCAAAGTATAAAATATTCGTGTCCACACTGATAAACATAAATGATCAAACTAATAAAGCGAAAGGGACAACTGTCCCTTGCAGAAGAATTTCAATTAATTATGTAGACCACTCCCAAGAAAGTACACTACAACTCCCCATTCCTTTAGTGTGGGCTGTGCATAGTGATTTCCTTCCAAAGAGCACAGTATGAAATGGGGGAGAAGAGTAACTTTACAATGCAGAAACCTGACAAACACTCCTTCAGCCAGGTGATCAGGTCGTCAACATCAACATCAATAACAGTCATAACCTTTTATTTCATGTCATAAAATGGTGACACTTACTTGTGTTAAAAAAATTTAATAACAATGTAATCATTATATCTCTGCAATCAGCTGAAGTTCTAAGAAAAAATGACGATGTTGAAAGTTGTATCATCATTATTATAAACTTTCATGTTCAGTATATGTAAACTCCAAAGCCAATTTCAAAAGATATTTTTGTGAAATACCATTCTTTAAAAAAAAGGATATTATATATAATTGTATGAATGTTAAATGTTTTACAGTACTGATTTGCTACATTTTATGTATGCTGTAAAACAAATACCATTTTAAAGTATATTGGAATTCGTAACTAAAGTAATAAATAAATGCTTGAAATATACCCAGTAGAAACTTATTTTTATTATCCAATCCTTTTGATAAGAAATGCCACTAGTGTTATGTACAAACTTGATCTTCTTTGAAATGTGTTGTCCACTGCTTTTCTGTTTCTGTCACAGTAGCTATAAACAGCTGTTTAAGGATATCCTTATCTAAATTTCTGCCTGCAAACAAAACAAAATATGACGTGATTACATTATGCTTATTAAAATGACACAGTTCACCTATCAATTCCAGTTCATTAAATGCTTTATGGTGTTTAGAAATTTACAAAAAGAATAGTAATTGAGTGATTCCATCTTTAACTTTCCAGGTCAGTACATCAAAGTCACATTGGTCCTTGGATTAACCACTTTTCTAAAACTGAAGAAGAACAAAAGTCCTAACAAGCTTTTACGAACGTTGTAACATGATAAAGATGAAACATTGACCACAAGCTTATTTAGTTTTAAAAGAGGACCTGAATGGTTAATCTGTTTAAGTGGCACATGATATCCCTTTCAAATATATTTTTCACTTTGTTTTAAAACTGTGAATCCTTTGAGACTTACCAATGAGGACCAATCGATTTGTTCTCTCAGTGTCATCCTTCCAGCTCACTGGAGTCTCCTCCAGATCATAGAGCTCATGGACACCCTGGACAATCACTTGTTGTGATTTGTCTTTGATTGACACCAATCCCTGCTCAAAGGAGAATTGATTGAACATTGATCAGCCTCAGTTCAAACTTAAAAGCAGAAATAGAGCATCAATGTTAATGGATTAATTACTGATATTCACTTAAAAAATACAAACTCTTAAGCTGAGAAAATTATTTAATTTCAATTATTTGTGAATTACAAGAAGTTTCTTAATGTTTTTAATTTTCAAAAAAGGTTTCTGTGTATTGTTTTTTTTTTGAACAATCCCCTTTTCTAATGATAAAGTTAATACATATATTAGGATGGTTTTTCAGTGTTTTTTATCACAACCAAAACCTGAAACAAAATGATGAAATATGTATCATATCCTATTGATTAAAGATTTTATATAATGTTTCACAGTTTTAGTGGGAAAAGTTGAGAAGTTAAAGGAGTTTGGTTATATTAAATAATTTGTTTTAGAAATGGGTTGCAATCAATGAACAATGTTGAAATAAAGAAAAACTATTATATTTATCTGAATATGAGCTCATTGTGTATTGATTTGCAGAAATGAGAAACGAATTATCTGATAAACTGGCTCCTATGGGGATGAAATTAATTTATTTGAAATAATATTCTTAATTTACCAAAAACTTTGTGTACACTTGTGAACACACAAGAGTAGACACTCAACTGACTGGTTAAGCATACACTTTAGAATCACTGCTTCCTAGAAGAAATACCTTTCATGACTTAAATACCCAAATATCAAGTAATGTGAGTGGGTTTCTAAATACAGAACAAGAATTCTTCTAGTCCTTTGTAACTTTGTTTAGAGTATGACAAATGTTTAGTGTCTGCTAAATGCATCAGGAAGCATAATGTTCAGCAGAAGTGAGATTTGCAACATTATTTCTCTGTACTTGGGAACAGAGAGCAGAAGGTAACATTTCAAAGCGCACAGGTTTGTTCTAGCTGCAACCCTAAAGAAAGTTGTGCAAATAAATCAAGCCTTATGCAGTGATTTCCAAAGCTCCTTTTCAGTCATGAAAATAATAAAGAAAAATGAAAGTAGACAAAGATGATTTGTACTAAAACCAGTGTTTCTGTTTAAAACCAAATATAGTTTTTATAACAGCCAAGAAAAGGACTTTGTCCAAAAGTCTGCAACAGTAAACTGTACCTTCAGCCTTATGACCTCCATGCAGTGATTGTCCTTGTTTCTCACATTCTTTTCCCACAGGAGATTCTGTATCAAGTGACATATTTTAATAAGACCAACCATCGCTAATAGCAACAACTATGTAACAAAACCATTGATAAATCATTAATCAGTTAAAAATTGCATTCACCTGAATAAACATATTAAGATGTTCTTCCTTTGCATTTCCTGGTACTTCAAATGTGATTGTAACAATACTCTGTAAATCAAGGGAAATAATAATAATTCTTTATAGTAATAACAATGTTTTTTAAATCACAAATTTTAAGATGAAAAGGAACATATTCATGGAATTTTACATTGCTTAAACCATATATATTAGGTATTATACTTTCCTCAGCATATGTGCTGTTTTTTTTGGAATTAGCAACTCCATTTCCTACATTCTGCACAGGTACCAATGGATTTAGTATTTACACAAACTACTACCTTGTATTTTAAAAAACTCACTCAAAAACCCTGATGAAAGGGTCCTCATTATTTAATTCATTCTTTCGTGGATTCTCAGCAATAAGAATATATGTAACACATACAATGTACTCACTACACAGGGCCAGGTACTTTTGCCTGAGTCACCTCATTTTATCTTTTGACTTACTCTTCACAACAATCCTGGGGAGTGAAGATAACTATTTCATTTTATAAATTGGGGAAAATAAGGGTCAAAAAAATAAGCTACCCAGAGCCAGGAATAAAACTCAAAACCGAAGTAAATTTGTTCTCTTAAAAAAAAAATACAAAAGAAAGGCTTGGCTTATCTTTAACTGAATAAGCATGTGCCAAGAGGAGAAGAGTTCTTAGCGATGAGAATGATAGGATAATGCCCTCTTTGGCTTTAGTAAGGGTGACATCATCATGTATTGAATATTAACTTTAGGATTTATTTTTCTTCTTTATCTTGATAAATCTCTCACTGTCTACCCCAAAGAAACAGAAGCTTAACATTTCCTGTAACAGGTCACCTAATTAAAACCCAAACCTCCCTTTGCCAATATAACCCCAAATTTCAAACTCAGAGATGAAAATACACAAGGGCTAAGCATAACATTATAAAAACATACACCTCACCTTGGAAAATAGAGGCTCAAAAGCCAAGCTCAAAATGAATTTAAAAAGGTAGAAAATAATATACTAAAGCACATCTTTGAATAACTTCCTAGAACTGCGTATCTGGCCTAGCAATTTTACTCACCATTACATAATCATACAGGCTTACAGCAGAAAATACAAAAAGACCAAAACTATTTTATAGTCCAAACTCAAGAGAATCGCTAAAGTATTAAAGACCAATTTAGGCAGAAACATATGAGACATTTCTTTCTTTCCATAGGTTACTGGGGAACAGGTGGTGTTGGTTAACTTCTTTAGTGGTGATTTGTGAGATTTTGGTACACCCATCACCTGAGCAGTATACACTGCACCCAATTTTTGTCTTTTATTCCTCATCCCCTTCCCACCCTTTCTCCCTGAGTCCCCAAAGTTCATTGTGTCATTCTTATGCCTTTGCATCCTCATAGCTTAGCTCCCACTTATGAGTGAGAACACAGCGATGTTTGGTTTTCCATTCCTGAGTTCTTTCACTTAGAATAATAGTCTCCAATCTTATCCAGGTCACTGCGAATGCCATTAATTCACTCCTTTTTATGGCTGAGGAGTATTCCATTGTATGTATATATATCACAGTTACTTTATCCACGCATTGATTGATGGGCATTTGGGTTGGTTCCACGTTTTTGCAATTGCGAATTGTGCTGCTATAAACATGCGAGTGCACGTATCTTTTTCGTATAATGACTTCTTTTCCTCTGGGTGGATATCTAGTAGTGGGATTGCTGGACCAAATGGTAGTTCTACTTTTAGTTCTTTAAGGAATCTCCACACTGTTTTCCATAGTGGTTGTACTAGTTTACATTCCCACCAGCAGTGTAGAAGTGTTCTGGGTTCACCACATCCATGCCAACATCTACTATTTTTTTGATTTTTTTATTATGGCCATTCTTGCAGAAGTAAGGCGGTATCGCACTGTGGTTTTGATTTGCATTTCCCTGATCATTAGTGATGTTGAGCATTTTTCCATATGTTTATTGGCCATTTGTATATCTCCTTTTAAGAACGGTCTATTCATGTCCTTAGCCCACTTTTTGAGGGGACTGCTTTTCTTGCTGATTTGTTGGAGTTCATTGTAGATTCTGGATATTTGTTCTTTTTCAGATGTATATATTATGAAAGATTTTCTCCTTCTCTGTGGGTTGTCTGTTTACTCTGCTGACTGTTCCTTTTGCTGTGCAAAATTTCTTTAGTTTAATTGAGTCCCAGCTATTTATCTTTGTTTTTATTGCATTTGCTTGAAATCCTTGCCTAAGCCAATGTCTAGAATGATTTTTCCAATGGTATCTTTTAGAATTTTTATAGTTTCAGGTCTTAGATTTAAGTCTTTAATTTATCTTGGGTTGATTTTTGTATACAGTGAGAGATGAGGATCCAGTTTCATTCTCCTACATGTGGCTAGCCAATTATCCCAGCACCATTTGTTGAAAAGGGTATCCTTTTTCCACTTTACGTTTTTGTTTGCTTTGTTGAAGATCAGTTGGCTGTAAGTATTTGGGTTTATTTCTGGGTTCTCTATTCTGTTCCATTGGTCCATGTGCCTATTTTTATAACCGTACCATGCTGTTTTGGTGACTATGGCCTTATAGTATAAGTTTGAAATCAGGTAATGTGATGCCTTCAGATTTGTTCTTTTTGCTTAGTCTTGCTTTGGCTACGCGCATGTGTATGTTAAACCATCCCTGCATCCCTGGTATGAAACCCCTTGATCATGGTGGATTATCTTTTTGATATGTTGTTGGAATCAGTTAGCTAGAATTTTCTTAAGGATTTTAGCATCTATGTTCAAGGATATTGGTCTGTAGTTTTCTTCTTTGGTTATGTCCTTTCCTGGTTTTGGTATTAGGGTGATACTGGCTTCATGATTTAGGGAGGATTCCTTCTTTCTCTCTCTTGTGGAATAGTGTCTTTAAGACTGGTACCAATTCTTCTTTGAATATCTGGTGGAATTCTGTTGTGAATCCGTCTAGTCCTGGACATTTTTTTGTTGGTAATTTTTTAATTACCATTTCAATCTCCCTGCTTGTTACTGGTCTGTTCAGGGTAATTCTTCCTGATTTAAGCTAGGAGGGTTGTATCTGTCCAGGAATTTATCCATCTATTTTAGGTTTTCTAGTTTATGCATGTAAAGGTGTTCATAGTAGCCTTGAATATCTTTTGTATTTCTGTGGTGTCAGTTGTAATATCTCCCGTTTCATTTCTTGAGCTTATTTGGATTTTCTCTCTTTTCTTGGCTAATCTTGCTAACGGTCTATCAATTTTATTTATCTTTTCAAAGAACCAGCTTTTCGTTTCATTTATCTTTTGGATTTTTTTGTTGTTTTGTTTCAATTTCATTTAATTCCGCTCTGATCTTCTTTCTTCTGCTGGGTTTGTTCTTGTTTCTCTAGTTCTTTGAGATGTGACCTTAGATTGTCTGTGCTCTTTCCAACTTTTTGATGGAGGCATTTAGGGCTATGAACTTTCCTCTTAGCACCACCTTTGCTGTATCCCAGAGGTTGATAGGTTGTGTCATTATTGTCATTCAGTTTGAGGAATTTTTACATTTCCATCTTGATTTCATCTTTGACCCAATGATCATTCAGGAGCAGGTTATTCCATGTATCTGCATGGTTTTGAAGGTTCCTTTTGGAGTTGATTTCCAGTTTTATTCCACTGTGGTCTGAGAGAGTGCTTGATATAATTTTAATTTTCTTAAAATTTATTGAGGCTCATTTTGTTGGCTATCATATGGTCTATCTTACAGAAAGTTCATGTGCTGTTGAACAGAACGTATATTCTGTGGTTGTTGGATGGAATATTCTGTATATATCTTTTAACTCCATTTGTTCCAAGGTATAGTTTAAATCCACTGTTTCTTTGTTGACTTTCTGTCTTGATGACCTGTGCAGTGCTGTCAGTGGAGTATTAAAATCCCTCACTATTATTGTGTTGCTGTCTGTCTAATTTTTTAGGTCTATTAGTAATTCTTTTATAAATTTGGGAGCTCCAGTGTTAGGTGCATATGTTTAGGATTGTGATACTTTCCTGTTGGACAAGGCCTTTTTTTCATTATATAATGTCCCTCTTTGTCTTTTTAAACTGCTATTTCTTTAAAGTTTGTTTTGTCTAATATAAGAATGGCAACTCCTGCTCACATTTGGTGTCCGTTTGCATGAAATGTCTTGGTCCATCCCTTTACCTTAAGTTTATGTGAGTCCTTATGTGTTAGGTGAGACTCTTGAAGGCGACAGATAGTTGGTTGGTGAATTCTTACCTATTCTGCAATTCTGTATCTTTTAAGTGGAGCATTTAGGCCATTTATATTCAATGTTAGTATTGAGATGTGAGGTACCACTCTATTCATCATGCTATTTGTTGCCTGTATACCTTGTTTTTTTTGGTTTTTGTTGTTTTTCTAATTGTACTTTTGTTTTATAGGTCCTGTGATATTTATGCTTTAAAGAGGTTCTGTTTTGATATGTTTCCAGGATTTGTTTCAAGATTTAGAGTTCCTTTTAGCATTCTTGCACTGGTGGCTTGGTAGTGGTGAATTCGCTGTTTGTCTGAAAAAGCTGTATCTTGCCTTCATATATGAAGCTTAGTTTTGCTGAATACAAAATTCTCAGCTGATAATTGTTTTGTTTGAGGAGGCTGAAGATAGGGTTCCAATCCCTTCTGGCTTGCAGGGTTTCTGCTGAGAAATGTGCTGTTAATCTGGTAAGTTTTCCTTTATAGGTTACCTGGTGCTTTTGTTTCACAGCTCTTTCTTTCATCTTAACTTCAGATAACCTGACGACAATGTGCCTAGATGACGATCTTTTTGTGATGAATTTCCCAGATGTTCTTTGTGCTTCTTGTATTTGGATCTAGGTCTCTAGCAAAGCTGGGGAAGTTTTCCTCAATTATTCCCCCAAATATGTTTAACAAACGTTTAGATTTCTCTTCTTCCTCAGGAATGCTGGTTATTCTTAGGTTTGGTCATTTAACATAATTCCAGATTTCTTGAAGGCTTTCTTCATATTTTCTTATTCTTTTTTCTTTGTCTTTATTGGATTCGGTTAATTAGAAGACCTTGTCTTCAGGCTCTGAATTTCCTTCTTCTACTTGTTCAATTCTATTGCTAAGACTTTCCAGAGCATTTTATATTTCTATAAGTATGTCCATTATTTCCTAAAGTTTTGATTGTTTTTTATTTATGCTATCTAGTTCATTGAATATTTCTCCCCTTACTTCTTGTATCTTTTTTTTTTTAATATCCTTACATTGGGCTTCACCTTTCTCTGATGCCTTAGCTTAATAACCAACCTAGTGAATTCTTTTTCAAGTAAGTCAGGGATTTCTTCTTAGTTTGGATCCATTGCTGGTGAGCTAGTGTGATTTTTTGGGGGGCGTTAAAGAACCTTGTTTTGTCATATTACCAGGGTCGGTTTTCTGGTTCCTTCTCATTTGGGTAGGCTCTGTCAGAGAGAAGGTCTAGGGCTGAAGGTTGTTGTTCAGATTCTTTCGTCCTACGGGGTGTTCCCTTGATGTAGTACTCTCTCCCTTTTCCTATGGATGTGGCTTCCTGAGAGCTGAGCTGTAGTGATTGCTATCTCTCTTCTGGATCTAGCCACCCAGCAAGTCTACCAGACTCCAGGCTGGTACTGGGGGGTAGTCTGCACAGAGTCGGGAGATGTGAACCATCTGTGGGTCTCTCAGCTGTGGATACCAGCACCTGTTCCAGTGGAGGTGGTAGGAGGGTGAAATGTACTCTTTGACGGTTCTTAGCTTTGCTGGTTTAATGTACTATTTTTGTGCTGGTTGGCCTGCTGCAGGGAGGTGGCACTTTCCAGAGAGTGTCAGTTGTGGTAGTATGGAAAGGAACAGGTGATGTGTTGGGCTCTAGAACGCCCAAAAACATGAGATATTTAATCTCCACTGTTACTAGTAATAGAAAAAGCAGAAAAGTGCTTTCTTGCTTGATAAGAGAAGTGCAAGCAGACTAAAAAAAGGTTCAAATTGAACTTGCAAATGTGAGACTTTTAAAAGTACTTATTTTGTCACAGCAGTCAAGACACTAACAACCACCTAAATGTCCAGGACAGTTGAATGGATAAAATAAATGTGGTAATATACATACAACCAAATATTATGTATCCTTAAAAAAATCCTGTCATATACTACAACATGGATGAATCTTGAGGACATTACACTAAGTGAAATAAGCCAGTCACAGAAGGACAAATATTGCATGAATCCACTAATATCAGGAGTCTAAAACAGTAAAACTCATCAAATCAGAAAGTAAAATGGTGGTTACCAGGGGTCAGAGGGAGACGAAAATTGGGAGGTGCTGTTCAATGGGTATAATTTTAGTCATGCAAGATGAAAAGTTCTAGAGATCTGCTATATAACAATGTACATACAGTTAACAATACTATATTGTACCCTTAAAAATTTGTGGAAGAAGGTAGGTCTCACGTTAAGTGTTTTTTACCACAATAAAAAATATACAGTCATGGATACATAAAGAGAAATGAGCTGTTGGGCAATTTTGTTGTTATACAAACATGATAGTGCACTTACACAAACCTAGATGGTATAACCTACTACACACCTAAGCTATGCTGTATAGCCTGTTGCTCCTAGGCTACAAACCTGTACAGCATATATGTTACTGTACTGAACAGTGTATGGAAATAATAACACAATGGTAAGTATTTGTGTGACAGTAATTTTTCAGCTCCATCGTAATCTTATGCAGTCTGACTAAAACGCTGTTATGCAGTGCATGACTATACTTATTTTTAAATCTTAATAAACATACTCTATTTTAAAACTATTTTTATAGCATAAGGTAATAATAATATGCATTTTTAAATGACAATTATTTTATTTCTTCATTAAAGGAATCACTACAATACCTAAAAGTCCACATAAAATATACAGCAAAAGGTTGTCAAATGAAACATAAATGTCAGTTAAAAAAATTAATTTAGTCTTCAAAAATGTTTAAAATGTATTTTAATGCAAGTTGGAAAACTATATTGAGAATGTCGCAAAATACAACTCAAAATTGCTTTATTGTTAAAGATTTTAACTGAATAAATTTTTTTGAGATGGGGTCTCACTCTGTTGCCCAGGCTGGAGTAGAGTGGCACAATCATGGCTTACTGCAGTTTTGAACTCCCAAGCTAAAGCAATCCTCCCACTTCAGCCTCTCGAGTAGCTGGGATTACAGGTACATGCCACCATACCTGGCTAATTTTTTGTATTTTTTGCAGAAATGGGGTTTCACCATGTTGCCCAGGCTGGTCTACAACTCCTGGGTTTTAAGCAATCCACCCACCTTGGCCTGTCAAAGCGCTAGGATTACAAGCATAAGCCACCACACCCAGCCTAAAGATTTTTATAATGATTTTTGCTTTTATCAGGTTAAATATGTGACTTAATATTTTTAAGGGGTACAATAAACTCCAGTATGAGACACAAAAGGCTTTAAAAATTAAGATAACGCATCATGGGGCTCAAGAAGGATGATCTATATTTTGGAACCAGATGTTTTCCTACACCAATAAACTCTTTTCACGTTAGAAAAACCCTGAAAAAATCTGTAATTCCCAGTGCAGAAGATAAGGGTCACAACTCATAGTTGGTTCTAATAATAAACTAAACATTCTTTGTCACTTGGGTTTTCTCATCTACCTTCCCATTCTCCAAACCCAGGTGTTCCTTATGGGGAATAAACAAAGAATCCATGAAAAATAGATAACTGCATTAAAAATTCAGGGATAGAGCCTTAATAACACATATATACTAGGTCCTAGGTATTACCCATTTCAGACTTTTTTTTTCCAGTTTTTGTTTTGAATCTAAAATTAACTCCTTTTTCCATGTATGCTGACAGAGAAAGAAACAGAAAAGTGAGGCAATAATTGAGAAAACTAAAGCAAAATGAGGAATTGCCTCTAAAATAAAATTTAGGAACAACTTACTCAGGTTTGTTTATTTAGTCTGTTTCTTCTTTAACCCACTGGGTTATTTCTCCATTTTCTACTCTTTTGCAAACAATACCTAACATACAATAACTTTTATATGTTTTCTTCATCCAGAACACTAAGCCCCCTAATGTGCTTAAACTCAAAATCTGTACCTTCACACTCTATCCCTCTGTTCTTCTTTGCCTGTATAATATCTATACTATAATATCTGGCCACCAGGGACAACTGAATATATGGCATTATCATCCAAATCACTTTGCCTTCCCGATTTTTCTATTTCTAGGTTTCTCTAGTCAATCTAGGCTTGTTTCCCATCACCCCTTCTTTTCTTTCTGATCCATAATCAGTCAGACAGGATATTCAGGCAAGTCTACTGGTGAAACAGCTCTGGATTTATCCCATTTCTAGTCTCACTGTAACCAACATGTTTCAGGCCCTTATCACACAGTATCTTCCCGCATGGTCTCCTGACTCTAAAGTCCAATCTAGCTTACATAACACTCCTAGACAGCACTGCTTGAGTTCTCTTTGTCTAGCAAATTAAAACCTAATACCTTAGACCAGGATTCCAGTACCAACTCTCCACTAAGACTTCTGTACCAGAGACCTACTCATCTATAAGATTCTCACCTTCTCATTTTTAAACATCCGTATTGCTCTTTTCCTTACTTCTTCCCGTCAAAAAAAATCCTACCGTCAAAAAAAATCCTACCAGTTCAAGGTTATTTTTTGTTAAGTAAGTCAGAATAGCACTTACCCCTTCTTTGACTAGGAAGGGGCAAAAAGGAACTCTTTACAATTTTGGATATCTTTTGTATCTTGACCTGAGTGGGAGTTAGAAGGATATGTGTTTGAATGTGCATATAGACAGATATATAGGTACAAATATATGTAAAAATACATTGAGGCCGGGCACAGTGGCTCACGCCTGTAATCCCAGCACTTTGGGAGGCCGAAGCAGGTGGATCACCTGAAGTCAGGAGTTTGAGACCAGCTTGGCCAACATGGTGAAACCCCATCTCTACTAAAAAAAAAAAAAAAAAAAAAAAAAAAAAAAAAAAATTAGCTAGGCATGGTGGTACATGCCTGTAATCCCAGCTACTCAGGAGGCTGAGGCATGAGAATCACTTGAATCTAGAAGGAGGAAGTTGCAGTGAGCCAAGGTCACACCACTGCACTCCAGCCTGGGTGAGACTCTAGCCGGAGTGAGACTCCGTCTCAAAAAAAACCAAAAAAACAAAAACAAAAACAAAACCCAAACATTGAATTGTACACTAAAATTACACATTTGCATGCTTTACTGTATGCAAATAAATAAACCAAAACCAAAAGAAACAAATGAAAAACTATCCTCATGAAGCATTTGATGGGGTTCAGGACATGCTATCCCAAAATATGGCAACTCAATATTTGAGAAAATGGCAGAATCAGGAAGGTCACTCTCACCTTCTCTCCTGAAGCAGGTCATAAAACCTAGGAAAGATTTTCTGACCTTCCGCTGATGCAGGTCATAAGACCCTCATTTAAGAGGTGCCCTCTCTATACACAGAGGAAAAGAACATCCTTAAGTCTGAATATGAAGGGTCACAGAGAAAAATCTGAGCAAACAGGCCTTGCTAAGTTCTTCCCAGTTTATTATTAGATCATACTGTTTTATCTAATTATGCTTCTCCATTACTATCCTCTTCCATATCATAACTAACAGAAAACATACACAGGTATGTTTTATGAAGGCTCCTGTGTCAAGTAAAACTTACTAAATAAATTTCTATGTTGAAATTTCTCTTGATAGTTGGTCTTCTGTTAGAGAGACCTCAGCCATGAATCTAGTGATAGGCGAGGAAAAGATAAATTTCCTCCCTTACACCTCAGATCCACTAAACCAAATGAAATTGTTCATGCCTCTGAATCCCATAGCCCTTTGGCTGTGATACTATTTTTCCCTATGTTTATATTATCTAAAGCAGGACAGTGCATCAGAATCTCCTACAGAGGCTACAAAAATATAGATATGCCCTATTTAGTAGTAAAGTGACATAATGTCTGGAATTTGCTTTAATACACTACACCAAGGGCAATAGGTACATAAAGGCTCATTATACTATTCTACTCTTATGTACGTTTGAAATTTCCTATTAAAATACATTTGTTTTTTTTAAATACTCCAGGCAAAAGAAATGTTGGGAGGATAGGTGAAATAAAATCAGCTAAATGTTGATGCCATTTAAACTGGGTGATGCATACAAGGAGTTTACTTTACTATTCTGTTTATTCTTTTATATCTTTGAAATCTTCCATAATAAAATGTTAAAAATATACATTAATATACACATACCCAAGTCCCAATCCTGGAGACTGAGGGGTGAGAACTACTGAGTTATCGAATTTTTTTTAAAAAAGCTCCACATGTGATTCTGATTTATACCCCATTTGAGAAACACAGCTTTTCATTCTTTTAACAAATATTCACTGAGTATCCACCAAGCCCTGTACTGAGCAATAAAGATTTTATATTTAAGGAATTTATAGACTAATGCAAGGCAAAAGCATTTCAACCAAACTACAAGGCATCATAACTGCCACAATAGGGGTTCATTCGAGATTCTATGGATGGAGACACTGGCTGCTCCAAATGTTCATGGTAAGTGAGTACTGCGTTTTCTTCATCTTTTCATCCCTATGATTCTTGGCATCACGTTCTTTACCCAGAAGCTCAAATGTGCTTCATGTTCAACTATATGACAGATACCGACTATCATAAAGAACTGGGTTTTTTTTTTTTTTTTTACCATAAATTCTATCTCCAAGGACTTGTATTTCTCTCATTTATTCATTTTAAAGATAAGTGAAGAGGAATATCCTATTAACAAAAGTTTCACAGGGAAAGGTGCCACAAACATAGTAGCAAACCTGCTCATAAATATGAACCAAAATGAATACAAATGCAAGTAGCTGTTATCTTGGCCCTATTACAACCAATAGCAATTCAAAAATTGAGTGATCACTTGAGAGAGAGGAAGGAAGATTAGGCACACTGCTCACTTACACATCCCCCACTCCACCCCTCAGGGTTTTAAGAGGAACAAAGAAGTTATCCTAAAGCTCTACGATCTATGATCTGCTTAACAGAAACGCAGGTACAGTAAAATTATATTTAAATTGTTCCTAGCATCTTAGATATTTACCTTAGGGATTAGAATTTTAGAGCATGAAAAACATCTTAAGGAGTTCAAATTTATAGTGCTACCTGAAGGTGAAACTCCAAGTCAATTTTTATTTAAATAAGCCATGCTTATATCAGACCTTTCCTTAAACAATTCAACATACTTAAAAACAGACTGCCTATAGAACCCCCAGGCTGCTTTTAAGGAGTAATCCCTATCAGAACTAACCAATATGCTAAGCAAGCTACAGAATGGAAAGGCTAGAAAGCATGATTTCCTCAGATTCTAAAACAAATCTGGTTTGATGAATTCCTATTATGTGTTAAGAAATAGAATTAGACTATGTCAAAAGCATTTAAGATTCCAAAAATTATCAACACAGTTCAAAAATACCATTTTAGAAAAAGTTTATAATAAAATAGTCCTAAACATAGCCTATCTAGTTAAAGAGGTCCTTTAAAAACATTGATTAGGAATTTTAGATTTAGATTTTTTTTCTTTACCTGATCAAGGTGAGGTTGTGTTCCTGGCACATGCTGAAGTTTTTTCTGCAAACTAAAAACAACTGATTAGAAATTCAGAGATTAATACACTTCTGATTTAACTTTATACGTTTAGTGACACAAGGATAATGAAGTGACTTTCCATAACTGACTATTCTAATATTCTGTAATTCCAATTTTACAAGTTGTTTGCAAATTCCAATAGAGAAAAGCTGGCAGATTAAGTTTTTTTAAAATTTCTTAAAAAAAACACACATTCATATATATACATATGCACAGAATAAAGAGAAAAACTAGTCTTTTAGCAACACTATTTTGTATGGTTAAATATGTCAGTAAATTTCTTTACCATTCCAACAGGTTTAATACAAACTTAAATATATATATAACCATTCTAGTATTGCTTAGAGTTCCTTAACTTTCTCCTGCTTCCTAATATGAAAATAATGCTGGCACCTAAAGAAAGTTGAAAGGATAAATTTTCCTTTATCAATGTTTTCCCTTGAACTTATTAAAAAAGAAATAGTATCCATAAATATAAATTTTCTATATAGTCAGTTACCAATTGAGAGAAAAAGAAAGTCAGAATGTTAAAAATGCATTGTTCTGATATGAAAAGCACAAGAAGATCAACATGGCATAACAAATTACAACCATAATAACTGTAGCATACATTTCAACACTGATGGGGACAGGACGGGAGGGGGAAAGGACTTAAAACCTTGCAGAGGCTTTGCCTTGAAAACAGTGAGGGGTAAATTAGTAACAGCAAGTTTAGGAAAGAGAAAGAACTTGTAGGAACTATTGGAGGGAATGAGTCTCTTTGGGGGGGTCCTAGTAGGGAGAATGTCAAATTAAATCCTTCCCAACTGGTTGCTCAGGAAAAGATTCTCCTGTTTAGCAGTTAAGCACACACAAAAAAGTCATGCAACGGCCTTCCCTATAGTGGTGAGATCACATTAAAAAGCTACTTCAAGTGTCACTAAAGCATTATAACTGCTCTTAAGTGTATGTAGAATGAGATTACTTTAGAAAAACATTTTGAAAAATCATATGCTTTTCCCATATGTTCAGTATTTAATGTTGTTGGACAATGACTGCCTAAAACTTCATATGCAGCAAAAAAAAAAAAAAAAAAAAATCTAACAACGAACATTTAAGTTTAGTTCCCATAAGTCTCAGAATTTCATGCCCTCGATTTTTTCCCTATCATACACATTTTTAAAAGACTAATCTAGTGGATAAGGATATGCTATCAAAACCTGAAACTCATGAATCGGAAATCATCTTGCACATTAACTTGTAATCTTATAACAATTTTTGTCTCTGCACACATAAAATGTAAATTCTGCACACATAAAATGTAAAAAATCTCAAACAGTTTAGTGTTTTGTATATTTAAATCATTATGTTCTATAACAAACAATAATTTAGGTATTGTCAGTAAGATGGAATTAGCAACATTTCTATTTCTCCCAAGTAAAAATATAGAATGATATAAAGAACTGGATGCCTTGATGAAAGTACCTGTATTACAGCAAATTATAGCAAAAGACAGAAGTAGAAAGGAAAAACAAAAATTGATATACTGAATATAGAGGTGGGAAATGATTGCATACTATAATTCTTATTAGTGAAATAAAGCACTAAAGGATACAATATGTAAAGGGAAAAAATAAAATTTCAACTAAAAAATATTCTAGTGTTTAACATATTAAATGACAACCAACTTGTAAGCTCTTGGACCCAACAGAGATAAATTAGTTTAAGAAAGGCAAATTTTGCTGGGTTCAGTGGCTCAGGCTTATAATCCCAGCACTTTGAGAGGCCAAGTAGGAGAATCACTTGAGGCCAGGAGTTCAAGATGAGCCTGAGCAACGTAGCGAGAGCCTGTCACTACAAAAAAGTAAAAATAAAAAAATTAGCCAGGCATGGGCGCAAGCCTGTAGTCCCAGCTACTCAGGAGGCTGAGATGGGAGGATCACTTGAGTCCAGGAGTTCACGACTGCAGAGAGCCATGATAGCCACTGCATTCCAGCCCAGGTGTCAGAGTGAGACTCTGTCTCAATAAAATAAAATAATTAAATAAATATAAAAAAAAGAAAAGGCCAAGTGTGGTGGCTCATGCCTATAATCCCATTACTTTGGGAGGCTGAGGTGGGCAGATCACTTAAGCCCAGGAGTTTAAGATCAGCTTCAGCAACATGGCAAAACCTCATCTTCTACCAAAATAAAAAATTAGCCAGGCATGGTAGTGCGTGCCTATAGTCCCAGCTACTCATGAGTCTGAGGTGGGAAGATGGCTTAAGCCCAGGACACAGAGGCTATAGGGAGCTGACATCGCACCACTGCACTCTAGCCTGGGCAATAGACCCAGACCCTGTCTCCAAGGGGAAGAAAAAAAAAATGAAAGGCAAATTTCATGCAGCATTGTTTCATTTGTTCCCCTTGTAAACACATTTAAATGTATCACAGGATCTGTAACTATCAAAACTGCCCACAGCATCAAATTAAAAATACAGTTCTAATCCAGACACGGAGGATGAAAGGGATCATGGCTAACTAGTGAACAGCACTGATAGTCAAATGAAGGGCTGGAACCTTGAAGTAAAAAGAAGAAAAGGATCATCGAGAGGAAAGTTAGGATGGGCTAGACTTCTGGTTATTTCAGAAATGGGTAGCAAAAGACAAAGGCTCTTAACCTCCCAGAATTAGGTGACAACCTCAGCCAATCTATCTCCCTAGTAAAGCCAGAAATAAGATGGGAAAAAAAGACCATTTTTAAATGAACAAACCAAATTTATGCTTAGGGCTGTATTCGCTTAATGGAGGAACAGTTATTTCAAAATTAGTAAAACAAAAGCTTTATATGAAAAAACATAGTATAATTCTGAATGATTTTCATACAATCATTATCAAGCATAAGTGATACTGGATACCTGAAGCTGACATGAGGGAAAAAGGCTCAGGGAGATTTCACAACTTTGTACAGCAGTGGCTTGAAAGGATATAACTATATTTACCATAAAACAAGAAGTAGTCATTTTTACCTTACACAATTTATAAGAATTTTTAGAAAAATAGAAATAACTCACATGTAATTCAGGTATACCAAACTTTCCTGCCTTCCTACTAAATGGAACTAGAAAAGCAAAATGCTGATTTTTTCCAGGTACTCCAAAAATACCTTTATAATTTTAACTGTAATTTGTTTAGTCTAAAAAGGTACTGCTCCAATACCAGAAGCTACAGGTGAAAAACATATCTCTCAACTGAAGACAACTTCTTGAATAACTGTGTCACTGACAAGTTTACTCTCTGAGCTTCAGTTTCCAAACTGAGAAGGAGGAATAACTGCCCTGCCTGTCCCACACTTCTGGCTGCTGAAATAATCTCAATCAATTTCTTTTTTCTTTATTTTTTTTTTTACAAACTACATGCAAATTTAATTTTTCCAATTCATAAAGTAAAAGGGGTCCAATAAAACACTATCATGTCCTACCTCACAGGTTACTGTAGGTATTGTTTTCAAAATGTGAACAATACCACAGACTGAAGGTGGAAAAAAAAACTAGTTGAAAGTATAATTAGTTTTTAAGGGCATGGCTAAGGCAAAATTAGAAATACATATATAAGGCTGGGTGTGGTGGCCTACACATGTAATCCCAGCACTTTGGGAGGCTGAGGCATGAGGATCACTTGAGCCCAGGAGTTTGAGACCAGCCTAGGCAACATAGCAAGACCCCATGCTTACAGAAAATTAAAAAAAAATTAGTCAGGCATGGTGACACATGCCTGTGGTCCCAGCTTCTTGGGAGGCTGAGATGGGAGTATCACTTGAGCCCAGGAGGTTGAGACTGCAGTAAGCCATGTTTGTGCCACTGCACTCCAGCCTGAGTGACAGAGAACCCCATCTCAAAAAAATAAATAAATAAAAAGAAAAGAAATATATATAGGAATGGGAATTAGAACTCTCAAATGTAGAGCCACCCACTATGCCTACCCTTAAGCAAAATTGTCCCACCAATTCAAAATACCCAGAGACATGTCCATTTTCATGATCTTGTATGGACATATACGAGACTTATGAGATATTCATTGCAGCATTATTTGCAATAGCCAAGCTGTGAGAACAAGTTAAATGTCCACTAACAGAAAAAGGGATAAAGTAAATGTGGTATATGTAGAAAATGGAATATTATTCAGACTTAAAAAGGAAACCTTGCCATATGCAAAAACATGGATGAACCTTGATGACTTTATGCTACATGAAATAAACCAGTCACAGAAAGACAAATAATGCATGATTCCACTTGTGTCAGGTAATTAAAATAGTCAACCCCATAGAAAGAGTGTAGAATGGTGGATGCCAGGGGCTATGAAGACTGGGAAATGGGAAACTGCGATTCAAGGGGTATAAAGCTTCAGTTATAAAGAGTGAAACGTTCCAGAGATCTGCTGCACATCCTCATGCCTATAGTTAGCAATACTGTATTGTACACTTAAAAAATTGTTAAGAGGGTAGATCTCATGTTAGATGTTCTTACTACAATAAAAAAAGAAAAAGATACCGATGCACAAGAATAACTAATCTTTCTTCTCTCCCTTACCAAAAAGATTCCCCACAGCAGAAGGCAGAAAACTAATCCATTATTAAAGTGAAGAGAGGAGAGAGGAGCCAAGATGGCCGAATAGGAACAGCTCCGGTCTACAGCTCCCAGCGTGAGAGACGCAGAAGACAGGCGATTTCTCCATTTCCATCTGAGGTACCGGGTTCATCTCACTAGGGAGTGCCAGACAGTGGGCGCAGGTCAGTGGGTGCATGCTCCATCCGCGAGCCGAAGCAGGGCGAGGCATTGTCTCACTTGGGAAGCACGGGGGTCAGGGAGTTCCCTTTCCTAGTCAAAGAAAGGGGTGACAGACGGCACCTGGAAGATTGGGTCACTCCCACCAGAATACTGCGCTTTTCCGACGGGCTTGAAAAACGGCGCACCAGGAGATTGTGTCCCACACCTGGCTCGGAGAGTCCCACGCCCACGGAGTCTCGCTGATTGCTAGCACAGCAGTCTGAGATCAAACTGCAAGGCGGCAGCGAGGCTGGGGGAGGGGCGCCCGCCATTGCCCAGGCTTGCTTAGGTAAACAAAGCAGCCAGGAAGCTCCAACTGGGTGGAGCCCACCACAGCTCAAGGAAGCCTGCCTGCCTCTGTAGGCTCCACCTCTGGGGGCAGGGCACAGACACACAAAAAGACAGCAGTAACCTCCGCAGACTTAAGTGTCCCTGTCTGACAGCTTTGAAGAGAGCAGTGGTTCTCCCAGCACACAGCTGGAGATCTGAGAACGGGCAGACTGCCTCCTCAAGTGGGTCCCTGACCCCTGACCCCCTGGGAGGTCACCCCCTGGGAGGTAACTGGGAGGCACCCCCTAGCAGAGGCAGGCTGACACCTCACACGGCCGGGTACTCCAACAGACCTGCAGCTGAAGGTCCTGTCTGTTAGAAGGAAAACTAACAAACAGAAAGGACATCCACACCAAAAACCCATCTGTACATCACCATCATCAAAGACCAAAAGTAGATGAAAACTGCAAAGATGGGGAAAAAACAGAGCAGAAAACCTGGAAACTCTAAAAAGCAGAGCGCCTCTCCTCCTCCAAAGGAACGCAGCGCCTCTCCTCCTCCAAAGAAACGCAGTTCCTCACCAACAACAGAACAAAGCTGGACGGAGAATGACTTTGACGAGCTGAGAAAAGAAGGCTTCAGACGATCAAATTACTCCAAGCTACGGGAGGACATTCAAACCAAAGGCAAAGAAGTTGAAAACTTTGGAAAAAATTTTGAAGAATGTATAACTAGAATAACCAATACAGAGAAGTGCTTAAAGGAGCTGATGGAGCTGAAAACCAAGGCTCGAGAACTACGTGAAGAATGCAGAAGCCTCAGGAGCCGATGCGATCAACTGGAAGAAAGGGTATCAGCGATGGAAGATGAAATGAATGAAATGAAGCAAGAAGGGAAGTTTAGAGAAAAAAGAATAAAAAGAAACAAACAAAGCCTCCAAGAAATATGGGACTATGTGAAAAGACCAAATCTACGTCTGATTGGTGTACCTGAAAGTGACGGGGAGAATGGAACCAAGTTGGAAAACACTCTGCAGGATATCATCCAGGAGAACTTCCCCAATCTAGCAAGGCAGGCCAACATTCAGATTCAGGAAATACAGAGAATGCCACAAAGATACTCCTCGAGAAGAGCAACTCCAAGACACATAATTGTCAGATTCACCAAAGTTGAAATGAAGGGAAAAATGTTAAGGGCAGCCAGAGAGAAAGGTCGGGTTACCCTCAAAGGGAAGCCCATCAGACTAACAGCGGATCTCTTGGCAGAAACTCTACAAGCCAGAAGAGAGTGGGGGCCAATATTCAACATTCTTAAAGAAAAGAATTTTCAACCCAGAATTTCATATCCAGCCAAACTAAGCTTCATAAGTGAAGGAGAAATAAAATACTTTACAGACAAGCAAATGCTGAGAGATTTTGTCACCACCAGGCTTGCCCTAAAAGAGCTCCTGAAGGAAGCGCTAAACATGGAAAGGAATAACTGGTACCAGCCGCTGCAAAATCATGCCAAAATGTAAAGACCATCGAGACTAGGAAGAAACTGCATCAACTAACGAGCAAAATAACCAGCTAACATCATAATGACAGGATCAAATTCACACATAACGATATTAACTTTAAATGTAAATGGACTAAATGCTCCAATTAAAAGACACAGACTGGCAAATTGGATAAAGAGTCAAGACCCATCAGTGTGCTGTATTCAGGAAACCCATCTCACGTGCAGAGACACACATAGGCTCAAAATAAAGGGATGGAGGAAAATCTACCAAGCAAATGGAAAACAAAAAAAGGCAGGGGTTGCAATCCTAGTCTCTGATAAAACAGACTTTCAACCAACAAAGATCAAAAGAGACAAAGAAGGCCATTACATAATGGTAAAGGGATCAATTCAACAAGAAGAGCTAACTATCCTAAATATATATGCACCCAATACAGGAGCACCCAGATTCATAAAGCAAGTCCTGAGTGACCTACAAAGAGACTTAGACTCCCACACAATAATAATGGGAGACTTTAACACCCCACTGTCAACATTAGACAGATCAATGAGACAGAAAGTCAACAAGGATACCCAGGAATTGAACTCAGCTCTGCACCAAGCAGACCTAATAGACATCTACAGAACTCTCCACCCCAAATCAACAGAATATACATTTTTTTCAGCACCACACCACACCTATTCCAAAATTGACCACATACTTGGAAGTAAAGCTCTCCTCAGCAAATGTAAAAGAACAGAAATTATAACAAACTATCTCTCAGACCACAGTACAATCAAACTAGAACTCAGGATTAAGAATCTCACTCAAAACCGCTCAACTACATGGAAACTGAACAACCTGCTCCTGAATGACTACTGGGTACATAACGAAATGAAGGCAGAAATAAAGATGTTCTTTGAAACCAACGAGAACAAAGACACAACATACCAGAATCTCTGGGACACATTCAAAGCAGTGTGTAGAGGGAAATTTATAGCACTAAATGCCCACAAGAGAAAGCAGGAAAGATCCAAAATTGACACCCTAACATCACAATTAAAAGAACTAGAAAAGCAAGAGCAAACACATTCAAAAGCTAGCAGAAGGCAAGAAATAACTAAAATCAGAGCAGAACTGAAGGAAATAGAGACACAAAAAACCCTTCAAAAAATTAATGAATCCAGGAGCTGGTTTTTTGAAAGGATCAACAAAATTGATAGACCGCTAGCAAGACTAATAAAGAAAAAAAGAGAGAAGAATCAAATAGACGCAATAAAAAATGATAAAGGGGATATCACCACCGATCCCACAGAAATACAAACTACCATCAGAGAATACTAAAAACACCTCTACGCAAATAAACTAGAAAATCTAGAAGAAATGGATAAATTCCTTGACACATACACCCTCCAAAGACTAAACCAGGAAGAAGTTGAATCTCTGAATAGACCAATAACAGGATCTGAAATTGTGGCAATAATCAATAGCTTACCAACCAAAAAGAGTCCAGGACCAGATAGATTCACAGCCGAATTCTACCAGAGGTACAAGGAGGAACTGGTACCATTCCTTCTGAAACTATTCCAATCAATAGAAAAAGAGGGAGTCCTCCCTAACTCATTTGATGAGGCCAGCATCATCCTGATACCAAAGCCGGGCAGAGACACAACCAAAAAAGAGAATTTTAGACCAATATCCTTGATGAACATTGATGCAAAAATCCTCAATAAAATACTGGCAAACCGAATCCAGCAGCACATCAAAAAGCTTATCCACCATGATCAAGTGGGCTTCATCCCTGGGATGCAAGGCTGGTTCAATATATGCAAATCAATACATGTAATCCAGCATATAAACAGAACCAAAGACAAAAACCACATGATTATCTCAATAGATGCAGAAAAGGCCTTTGACAAAATTCAACAACCCGTCATGCTAAAAACTCTCAATAAATTAGGTATTGATGGGACGTATTTCAAAATAATAAGAGCTATCTATGACAAACCCACAGCCAATATCATACTAAATGGGCAAAAACTGGAAGCATTCCCTTTGAAAACTGGCACAAGACAGGGATGTCCTCTCTCACCACTCCTATTCAACATAGTGTTGGAAGTTCTGGCCAGGGCAATTAGGCAGGAGAAGGAAATAAAGGGTATTCAATTAGGAAAAGAGGAAGTCAAATTGTCCCTGTTTGCAGATGACATGATTGTATATCTAGAAAACCCCATCATCTCATCCCAAAATCTCCTTAAGCTGATAAGCAACTTCAGCAAAGTCTCAGGATACAAAATCAATGTACAAAAATCACAAGCATTCTTATACACCAACAACAGACAAAGAGAGCCAAATCATGAGTGAACTCCCATTCACAATTGCTTCAAAGAGAATAAAATACCTAGGAATCCAACTTACTAGGGATGTGAAGTACCTCTTCAAGGAGAACTACAAACCACTTCTCAAGGAAATAAAAGAGGATACAAACAAATGGAAGAACATTCCATGCTCATGGGTAGGAAGAATCAATATCGTGAAAATGGCCATACTACCCAAGGTAATTTACAGATTCAATGCCATCCCCATCAAGCTACCAATGACTTTCTTCACACAATTGGAAAAAACTACTTTAAAGTTCATATGGAACCAAAAAAGAGCCCGCATCGCCAAGTCAATCCTAAGCCAAAAGAACAAAGCTGGAGGCATCACACTACCTGACTTCAAACTATACTACAAGGCTACAGTAACCAAAACAGCATGGTACTGGTACCAAAACAGAGATATAGATCAATGGAACAGAACAGAGCCCTCAGAAATAACGCCGCATATCTACAACTATCTGATCTTTGACAAACCTGAGAAAAACAAGCAGTGGGGAAAGGATTCCGTATTTAATAAATGGTTCTGGGAAAACTGGCTAGCCGTATGTAGAAAGCTGAAACCGGATCCCTTCCTTACACCTTATACAAAAATCAATTCAAGATGGATTAAAGACTTAAACGTTTGACCTAAAACCATAAAAACCCTAGAAGAAAACCTAGGCATTACCATTCAGGACATAGGCATGGGCAAGGACTTCATGTCTAAAACACCAAAAGCAATGGCAACAAAAGCCAAAATTGACAGATGGGATCTAATTAAACTAAACAGCTTCTGCACAGCAAAAGAAACTACCATCAGAGTGAACAGGCAACCTACAAAATGGGAGAAAATTTTTGCAACCTACTCATCTGACAAAGGGCTAATATCCAGAATCTACAATGAACTCAAACAAATTTACAAGAAAAAACCAAACAACCCCATCAAAAAGTGGGTGAAGGACATGAACAGACACTTCTCAAAAGAAGACATTTATGCAGCCAAAAAACACATGAAAAAATGCTCACCATCACTGGCCATCAGAGAAATGCACATCAAAACCACAATGAGATACTATCTCACACCAGTTAGAATGGCAATCATTAAAAAGTCAGGAAACAACACGTGCTGGAGAGGATGTGGAGAAATAGGAACACTTTTACACTGTTGGCGGGACTGTAAACTAGTTCAACCATTGTGGAAGTCAGTGTGGTGATTCCTCAGGGATCTAGAACTAGAAATACCATTTGACCCAGCCATCCCATTACTGGGTATATAACCTAAAGGACTATAAATCATGCTGCTATAAAGACACATGCACACGTATGTTTATTGCGGCATTATTCACAATAGCAAAGACTTGGAACCAACCCAAATGTCCAACAATGATAGACTGGATTAAGAAAATGTGGCACATATACACCATGGAATACTATGCAGCCATAAAAAAGGATGAGTTCATGTCCTTTGTAGGGACATGGATGAAATTGGAAATCATCATTCTCAGTAAACTATCGCAAGAACAAAAAACCAAACACCGCATATTCTCACTCATAGGTGGGAATTGAACAATGAGAACACATGGACACAGGAAGGGGAACATCACACTCTGGGGACTGTTGTGGGTTGGGGGGAGGGGGGAGGGATAGCATTGGGAGATATAACTAATGCTAGATGACGAGTTAGTGGGTGCAGCCCACCAGCATGGCACATGTATACATATGTAACTAACCTGCACATTGTGCACATGTACCCTAAACCTTAAAGTATAATAATAATAAATAAATAAATTTAAAAAAAAACTCAAGAAAAAATAAAAAATAAAAAAATAAAGTGAAGAGAGTTATTTGTGTGAAAACGCTAAGCTAAAATTTTCCATGTATTTCATGCATTTTCTCATAGAAAGAGTATTAGACATAGTGTTTGGTGTAGAAGTGTTAACGATTAGCCTCTAAAGTTAACTATCATTTACACTATAATTTCTACAGGAAAATGCAATATGATTTCCAAACAACCAATTAGTAAAACTTCCAAGAATATACCTCATTAAGAATGGTCTTGTAAGCCAAAGGAATGGCAGGAAGCTTAAATCATGGATGCAATTGTGCAAATCATTCCTGTTAACTATGGGGAAAAAAGGTACATAACAATAAAAGTAACCAAATTATACAAAACATACCTTATTCCAGAGAGACTATCAAAGGCATGAAGATCTAATACATTAGAGAGATCAACTCTAAAAGGAAGAAAACTAACGTGAGCAGTTGGAAATTCTGTGAAATACATCCAATTAATCAAGAAAAAAAAACTCTGACTCTTAAAAAATTTTATACATAAAATTCATAGAAGTGGGCAAATGGTGTAAGATTTGAATCACAGTTGAATCAAGATTGAAAATTATTTGGTTATTACTTCAATGAATTAGGTTTTTTTTAAACTTCCAATTATCTTTTCAATCCTGAAATTTATGAGCTTTTCAAATACATTTTTATAGCTAAAAAATCAGCTAAAGAACAGAAACTTTTCCAAGCAGCTTATTACTCAAAAGATGAAACAAAAGAAATGACAAATAGAATTAACAAATAGGTACATTCCAGATACCTCTGCAATTTTTGTATTTCTTTTATACCCCCTCCCTTGATATAACATTTAATATAAAAATGAGGAGTCAAATAACCAATGTACAAAATATTAGGTTACTCTAGGACCCTGATCTTCACATGATTTGATTTCATTCATTCAGAATGGGGCTGCATGTAGAAAGAAAATTCCCACCATCCGAATAGACATTATTTCTCTTAGAATTATTTAATGATAATTAAACTCATTTAATTGAATCCAATGATTCAAATCAGGTGAGAATAAATAACATATCACAATTAGCATTAGGTTTGGTTTAAATATAAAAAAGCAAATTTATAAAGACTGGTGATTGAGTTATAATTTTAACATAAGCCCAGAAAACCACAGAGGACAGGCCGGGCACGGTGGCTCATGCCTGCAATCCCAGCACTTTGGGAGGCCGAGGCGGGCGGATCACAAGGTCAAGATCAAGACCATCCTGGCCATGGACAACGTGGTGAAACCCTGTCTCTACCAAAAATACAAAAATTAGCTGGGTGTGGTGGCATGCACCTGTAGTCCCAGCTACTCGGGAGGCTGCGGCAGGAGAATCATTTGAACCCAGGAAGTGGAGGTTGCAGTGAGCCGAGATTGCACCACTGCACTCCAGCCTGGCACAGAGTGAGACTCCGCCTCAAAAGAAAAAAAAAAAAAAAGAACAGCAGAGGACAGTGATTTCTCATAATCAAAGCTAAGGTGAAGAAATATTTAAAGAAAATGACAAATGTATAATTTCAAATTTAGATTCCAGAAGCTTGCCAAACATTTGTTAAATTTTCTTACAAGGAAAAAAAACATCATTGGTCAGATTCAAGATTTTTTTTTCTTTAATGCACAAACATATAAGAAAAAACATCTCCTTTATCTTAGGACTGACCAACTGTGCCTGCTTTCTTTATTCTCAACAGTCTATCACATACTCGTACTCGTGGCAACAATACTGTGTTAGATTACGAATACTTGTCTTGGCAAAAGAGAGACAAATTCCCATCTTATTACTCCAAAGTTCTATGTTAGTAGACTATAACAGCAACTCAAATTCTGGGCATTTTAGATGTACAGAATTAGAAAAATGATCAAGCAAAGAAGCAAATGTTCTATGAAGAAATTTTTGAATATCAGTTTACACTAAAAGGCCAAAGTCTTAATATTAAACATATTTCCTTTTTCACCCCCCACCCCTCCCCCCGCTACTGAGCATATTTATATTGACAGGTCACAAACAAGGGGCACGGGGGCTCCACTTTGGGAGGCCAAGGTGGGCGGATCACTTTGAGGCCAGGAGTTTGACACCAACCTAGCCAATGTGGCGAAACCGTCTCTACTAAAAATACAAAAATTAGCTGGGTGTGGTGGTGCACACCTGTAATCCCAGCTACTCGGAGGGTGAAGCAGGAGAATCGCTTGAACCCAGGAGGCAGTGGTTTCAGTGAGCCGAGATCGCACCACCGCACTCCAACTTGGGGGACACAGTGAGATTCTGTCTCAAACCAGAGTGAGATTCTGTCTCAAAAAGATAAATAAAAATAAAAATAAAAATAAACCAAATGAATGAAGTTTCCCTCCAAGTTTGTCATCTTCATCTTAGGAAATAGCTTAAAGTTTAATAAAGTTTACACATGCCAATTTTGTGAATATCAAATTCAACAGTTTGGAAACACAAGCTTCTAAATAAACTGTTTCACTATGACAGTGTCCTTGAGAATACATGCCATCCAGAGGTAATTCTGCTTTATACTCAGATTCTTTCCATACTTCCAAAAAAGGATCAATATTAGACCTGTACAACAAATTACACTCTTTTACAGAAAATAATAAAATATCCAAGTCTCTCACCAAATTTTCAAAAAAGAGGAAAAGTGTAAGCTTCCAGATGAAAGTTTCTATAGCTTTCCCCAAATTTAGTACCACCATGAAAAAGAAATTCTTCACTCATTCAAGGCATACGACTAGAAAACTAATTTCCATGGCATCAAATTAATTTCCTCCTTTGGAGATAAAAGCATGAGATCTTTTCCAAAGCATTAAAATCGCCAAGAAAAAAAAAAAAAAGAAAAAAAAGACCATTACCAGCATTTTAAAACTGAGTAAGAGAATGAAGTAAACAAAAAAGGGAAAGAAAAAGCTTCAAAAGTTCATTTTTCTCCTAATTTCTTGAACTCTCTATTCCAGAAGTACCTAATGTTTTTCTTAAAAGAGAGGCTTTCAATTTTTCCCTATGTCTAAAGGCTGCTTTAAGTAGCTTAAGACCAAGGACAGGAGAGTGAAAACGAAGAGGGTTTTGGCTCTCCAAGGTGGGGGTGGAATTGCAGCTACTGCTTAGGGATATTTTCCAGTGGTCATCTCTTCAAACTCCAGTGAGTCTCACAAACAGGGTGCACCAGCCAATCCAAGTATCCAGTATCTACAATGCAAACTGTAGATACTATCCAAATTGACAGTAGATAGCTCAGTAAATAGCTGAGCAAACTGCAATGATAGCTCAGTCTTCAACTCTGGAAATAAATTTCCAAAAGCCTTCCCCAGTGGCAATTCAAACTCAAAAACGTTTACAAAACTAATCACATTTTCCAAACCTGCTTCCACCACTACCCGACCTGTTGCTCCTCCTTCCTGTATTTCCTGTACCTCGGAGATTAGCCTCACATTGAATCTACCTCCCAAGAGTCATTTTGCTTTTAAAATCCTTCACTAACTCCTTGCTCCCTACAGAAGAAAATCCAAACTATGTATCATGGCATTCAAGACCCTTTGTGGTAAGTTCTCTATCTCTTCAGTCATACCACTTTTTCTGTGCTACATAATACCAAGTTTTCTAGCCATTCTAAAATATTCAAAGGTCCCTGGAATACAAAATCTTCCTTATACCTGGAAAGTTATCCCTACCCTACTCCATCTGTAAAAACCTTATTCATTCTTTAAGACTCAGGTCAATGACTGCCTTCTCGGTCAATATTTTCCTGACTCTTTTTCAAGAAAAGTTGAGCAATCATTCCCTCTATTTTCCTATTATTATAGAACTCTGTGCTTTTAAAATTCTTGTATTAATATTAATATCTATTATGTTGCCTTTTTGTTTGTTTGCTTCTGTTTCCCCCCAATGACTGATCTCCTTAAAGGCAGAGTTTTCGCCTTATCCATTGCTTATATAGTCCTTAAAATGCTATGAAATGCATAGCAGGCAGTTTGTCAAATTAATTTAACTTATTATTGACCAGCTGTGTTTTGGTTTTCCTCTGTTCAGTCCACTTACATTTCTAAAAATTAAGAAAAAGTCTAGAGAAGATTAAAATGACACATCTTCTAACCTTTTACTCCTACTTCTGAAATCTATGTGGTTCACTAGTACTTCCATTTGCTACTAAATCAACTTAAGTCTTACCACTAAGACGATGCTACACACTATTCCTTTTCCTTAATCTTAACTACTCAAGGTGAGCCTTTTTCTACACATGCTTATAGCAGTTTATTGTCAGTACTTGTCAGCTACAAAATGGTAAAAAAATTTAAAAAAACAAAAAATAAAACAAAACTTCTATAAGAGTGACTTTGACTATTTTGTTAACCAAATCTCCGGTTTTTTTGTTTGTTTTTTTTTTTTTTTTGAGACAGAGTCTCGCTCTGTCACCCAGGCTGGAGTGCAGTGGTGCGATCTCAGCTCACTGCAAGCTCCGCCTCCCGGGTTCACGCCATTCTCCTGCCTCAGCCTCCTGAGTAGCTGGGACTACAGGCGCCCACCACCAGGCTCAGCTAATTTTTTGTATTTTTAGTAGAGATGGGTTTCACAGTGTTAGCCAGGATGGTCTCCATCTCCTGACCTCGTGATCCGCCCACCTTGGCCTCCCAAAGTGCTGGGATTACAGGCATGAGCCACCGCACCCAGCCCAAATCTCCAGTTTCTAAACTGGTAAGCTCAAGTTGCTATGCCTCAAGGAATTTGAGAGAATATTTAATGTAAGATTCAGGACCCAATAGTAAGAATTCTACTCAGGACATCTGATCTTCATTGAAACGGATTCTAATCCAACTTCAGTCCTCATAGCAAGGAAGTACTATTTCAGAAAGTCCCTAGATTCTCAGATGCATTGGCAAGAACCATACACTGAAGAATTCACAGAAGATTTTAGTCACTTGCTCACTCATCCACTTGAAGTAAGAAAAATCAATCACTGCATGTTTATTGTTCTATAATAAAGCAAATGTTAGAAATAAAAGTTAGAAATGTCAAACACACTAAATTGTTACATAATAAACTAATCAAGACACAACTTTTATTCAGGACATGGATATTTCTGAAATGAAAACAAAAGAAGAGAATTGACTTAAAATGTTTATAAATACGAATATTATGACAGAACCAAAGCTATTTATGAGCATTATTTTTAAAAGCTTGTTTAAGTATTATGCACTTGTCTGTGTGACATTTTGTAAAGCGGAGAAAAATTAAGGAGAAAGGAATTGTAGAACACTAACAGGAAGAGGACAGATACTGAGGAATGGCTCATGGTATAAGTGAGATTATCAGAGACTTTCTACAATGGAATTTGAAATGCAGGGAGCACATTTGGTGTATGGTTGTAGAGGACTTACACTAAAGGGCATTCTTCGGCTACCTCTGCCAGCAGATGAGCGGCTCCTGAGAATGCATACCAAATTAATTCCCCAGCTGTTCACATGCATATAAGCAGCTGCTGCTGTTACTGCCTAACACTTAATGGCAGTCTGGCAGCACCTCTAATCTCTGCCATAGCAGACAAGCCACTCATCTAAGGCCTCTGCTGTACTTCCAAAGAAAGAATTTCTCAAGTAGAGACTGAGTAGAACTAGACTGCCAGCTGTGAGCCTCAGAGCTCCTGGCTGCCTGTTGCTGAGTCTATCAGCTGCTGAGCCTTTCTCACCACAAAAAAAAAAAAAAAAAAAAAAAAAAAAATGAGCTTAATAAAATATCCCTGCACAGAAATTTTCTGAAATTAAGATAACATTCAATGGAAAACAGAATTTAATCTACAGAAATACACTTCACAGATGTTTTAGGAACAGAACCTAGAGAAAATGAAAGTCAAAATTTAATAAAAGAATTTGTCAGGAACTTCAAGGTAAAGACTCCATGTATTTTTTGGCAACTATAAAACACTAAGAAGGCTTTTTAAATATTAAAATGCCATTTAAACACTTCAAATTAAGATTCCTCAATATACTTCAGATTTCTGTACTGAGTTACCCTCTCGAGTGTTTGGAAGTCTTTTCTTCCTCATTAAGCAAACACTTACACAGTGTTACCATGGCTTTGTAATCTTAGTTTTGAAGACAGGCAAATGTACTAGCCAAATATGCCAAACTAACTTATTAAGAGCATTCCAAACAACATTTTGGATCCAATTCTTTTTAAATGAACTTAGATCTTTCTTATATCAGAATCAAGCATATTTGTCAATTACTTAATGTTTATTATTAATAACTAAAATGATTTGTTATTAATAGGAATAGCTTTTTTAAAGTACCTTGATCTTTGTGTTTCTAAGATTTGTCCTAGTCCATTTATGGATCTGAAATAAATAATAAATGAGGAAGACAAAGTTTAAAAGTAAAAATTAACTTTTTAAAAAAGTATACAAAGTATATTGTTTCTAAAACAGGAAATAAGCATACCCAAATACATCTGGAACCAGAAAAAAATTAAAAACAGAAAAACAAAACTTGCTTTAAAAAATAATTATGATTTTCCTTCAAACAATAAATCACATATATTCCACTCATACATCAATAAAACATATATGCAAAAATTCGCACAACTGTCAGATTAAGGGCTACTTTGTGGTTAATAAAAAGACGCTTCACTTTAGAAAAAATCATTCATAAATAGTCAGTTATCCTAGTGATCTTAAAAATGAGTAGATACTCAAAATTTTTACGGTGGTCACTTTTTTCCTCAGGCATACATGGTAGAAATGGCTATATACACACTAAAAATAAAAACCTAGTTGTAAGTTGCTTTGCCCCCAGTCTGTCCTTAGTATTCACAGTAATTCTAAGTCACACATCCCAGGTTCCTTTATAGAATAACCTCGTCAGTTCCCTAATTAGGCTCTCTACCCGTTATGCCTATTCTCCCTCTTTTGATACTATAGAATATGGCTTTGTATGGCACCAAAAAGTACCTGTTAAATTCTTTTCAGCACACTGTACACCTCATCTATTTATCTTTTCCATTGCCTATCATCAATCATCAATTCTCTATCATGAATTCAATTGTCTTTAGGGTTACTTACCCAAGATTCTTGCTACTTGTTCAAGGTTGTTCTCATGGGTAAGGCTTCCCACATATAATGATTCTGAGGCAAGTCTCTCCACTATTTTACAAAATTCTTAAATCTTCTTTTTTGAATACACTCTAGTCTGATGGCTAATTCCTCTCAAACATGTTTACCTTTTTTCACCTCCCCAAATATCATTCTGAGTCAGTCACAAGTCTGATATAAAGGGAGGGTAAAAGCCAAAAGGGTGTGTAATTTATCAAATTGCTTCTTCCAAATTCATTTCTAGTACTGTTAACAAGCTGGCTAATAGTCAATATTGTCAGTGTCAGAGATTTAGCTTAGGTCTCTATAAGGATATAAAAGTCAAGTAATAATTATCATTCCTTTTATGCCAAAAACGTTTGCTAAATAGATTGTGTTCTTCTTAGCAATCACAATGGTGCACAAGATTTATGAAGGAAACAAGATTAGAAGACCAGTGTCAAAAAATGTAAAAGCAATCTTCATTCATCACTTTCTCCTTTTCAAAATCAGCCATCTTTTTCTTTCTTCCCTTTTTTACTATACCTTGAACTTACTATGTAAGCTAAGAAAAAAATTACATAATAATAGCTAACAGAGCACTTACTATGTGTCAGCACTGTGCAAAGTTTACCAACATTGTCTCATGTAATACTCAAAGCAAACTTATGATAGGCATTATGCCTTTTACAGAGGAGGCTTTAAAAGGGTAAATAAGCTCCCTAAGAAGACAATGAGAAACAGACCAAGGATTAGAACCCAAGCAGATTCCAAGGTCTGTGATCTTCAACACTAGGCAACAATACCTACCCTCCACATGGAGACATTATATTTTTTTATAGTAAAGTTTAAGGACATTACTATTAAAATAAGATGAAATATGTGGAAAAAATGTGAATTTCTTTCTTCCACAATCATTAATCATGGCAAATAATCTCCTAATGAGCCTTACCTTTATTGATTCAATTTATAATATATACTATATGAACTGAGATGACAGATTCAAAATCTAATGTCAGTAGAACTTATAAATACTAAGAATAGTAATTTTGAGCCACCATCACGCTCAAAGCATTGTACACATTAAAGATAACCAATAATAATAGCTACCGAATGTCTCTCTGTATAGGGCTTTTATTAGTTCAGGTCTTACAAAATAATTCAAAACAAAGTCCCTGAACTATAACTTCATTTGAAAAGTCCATCTTTGTTTTCAAAAGGAATGGGAGTCTCCAGAACAGTCAGCAAAATGACTGTTAGCACATATTTGAGCATCATTCATATTGTCCTGATTGTCCTATGCTGATCAGCCTTGGCTATGGACAAAGAAGATATACAAGCAAGCTGGAAGACAAGGCATGGTTGACAGTTAAGGAAGATGAAGTCAACAAGAGTTCAGGGAAAACTGAGACCACTTGAGTCAGGGAAGACTTCACATAGGAAGCGGGGAGAGACAGAATAGGCTCTATAGAATAAATTTAAAAAAAAAAAAACAGAACAAGAAAGAACTCAGGGATTGGCAGAGTGAGAATACATTATGAGTAAAGACAGGAACTGAGAGGATGCATCCATGGGAAAGTGAATTAACCATCCTGGGTAAAGTTAGGGAAGACTGACATTAGGAAAGAGTCAAAGAGAAGACAGGAAAAGAAAGATGGAGTGCGAAGACCCTGAATATCAGTCTATTAACTGTGAACTATATTCTGCAAGCACTGAGGACTAATTTTATGTATTACCATTTATATAACAATTAGCCATCAACAATATATGTGATTCCCTAACGTTCTTGAAGCAGGTCAACCTTATACCTTAAGTTTCTACAGGGCAACAATCAGAGTAAAAAATATTCTGTGTATACAATATGGATCTGTAGGCACTTAACACACTTATCATTTTGTACCTAATTGTCGTTCTTAATTTCTTTACATCTTCTTCTGGAACCAAGTCTGTTTTATTAATGAGAATGATATCTGCCAAAGCAACTTGCCTAAAATAGCAAACAAAAAGAAATGTTAAGAAATTTTAAATAATATACACGCATGCAGATTAATACATCAAAAGAGAAATGTTAACAAATTAAAAATAAATAAAAACACCTCATGTAGATCAATATATCAGTTAAGAATTATATAGTGCTCTATAGGAGTGATTCAGTTTACTCCTAATCCGCTAACTTTTCAATGTGAATGAATTGTATTCATTACTATGCAAGTTCAGATTTCACATTACCCATTTGCAAAGTATTTACTAAGTTCTGTTACTTGCTACTCTTGCGCTACAAAGATAAGTCTCAAAAAGTTTACAATCAAAAGGATGATTTTAAACTCATAATTTTCTTTGTGAAGAAAAGCATAAAATTCAGATATCCAATATGGTAAAAAGAAGAAGAGTTTACCTACTAAAATACTGTAATATTTACCAAAATTTTCAAAGAAATAGAATAACTTCACTTAATACTAAAAACTGTATTAAACAGGTTTTTTAAAACTATACTTCAGAGCTGGGCATGGTAGAGCACACCTGTAGTCCTGGCTACTTAGGAGGCTGAGGAGGGAGGATCCCTTAAGCCCAGGAGTTCAAGTCCAACCTGGGCAACATAGCAAGACTCCATTTCTTAAAAAAAATAAGCTATACTTCAGAAGATATATCAGGATATTGCACAAATGTCTTCTTTATCACTATAAATATACTGTATATTATCTCTGTAAAGAATCCAGTTGACTGAATGCTAGATAACAAAGTAGATGATAATAATCAGAAGCTCTATTTTCTATTAACAGGATAGTAAAACTGGAAATTCTTTCAATTTTCCTCAATTATTCAGGGTCTTATGCTTTATCTCAAAGAATACAACTAAATTCTCAAAACTAAATTAACTTTAGTTCACTGAAAGAGCAGGTTTCAACAGTATGTACATCACAAATCCAATTTGGCTATTTTCTATTTGGCTTATTTATATTTTCTATAATAACCATATTTTCATAAGGAAAAAAGTTACAAAAATACTTAAGTTCAGCCAGGCGCAGTGGATTCATGCCTGTAATCCCAGCACTTTGGGAGGCCGAGGCGGGTGGATCACCTGAGGTCAGGAGCTCGAGACCAGCCTGGCCAACATGGTGAAACCCCATCTCTACTAAAAAAAAATAAAATAAAATAAAATAAATAAAATAAAAAAATGCAAAAATTAGCTGGGCATGGTGGCGGGTGCCTGTAATCCCAGCTACTTGGGAGGCTGAGGCAGGAGAATCGCTTGAACCTGGGAGGCAGAGGTTGCAGTGAGCCTGCACTTCAGCCTGGGTGACAGAGTGAGATTCTGTCTCAAAAAATAATAATAATAATTATTATTACACATATATATATATATAAAAAATCTTCAATCCCAAAGAAATTGTATAACAAGAAAATATTTCTAAATGTTAATATTTCCCGAGTTCCTCAAAATTACAGAACTCCTGTGTTCAGCATTCACTTTATGCTACGACAAAAATGACTTCAAGTAAAAGTTTAGTTATGAGATCATTATAAATAGATAGCAATAATTCAACTAAGGGAAAAAAAGAAAACAAATTTTCCTTGACTATGTTTTAAAATTTCTTAGTTTGTTTTTGGTTTTCATCTTAGTGATTTTTCTCTTTACAATTAGCCAGCAATCAATATATACTTTAAATATGAATACCTAGTAGCTTCATTGATAAGGCCATCAGGTTTCTCTTCTGTTAAATGCTAAACAAAAAAAAGTTTGAATAAAGTTACTATAATACAATAAAAAATCTAATGTCAACACAAAGGATTTTACTTTAGAGACATTTTCTTGCATTTAATAAAAACTTCAACATGTTCTGTTACTGAATACACAAATCCAAAACTAACTTTTCTAGCTGAAAGCATTTTTCTTCCTCATTTGCAATTTTTTTCTACAAGTGAACCTGTGGGGTTTTATAGGGGGAGGAAGAGGGCTTAGGATTTCATACTCCTGACCTTTTCTTTTACTTAAAAGGAAAACCCCTTTGATTCACATAATGTCATAAAAACATAGAAGATTACAGTTCAGATTTTAGGTATTTTCCTTCTTACAAAACTGTTCTGGTTCTAAATATTCATTATTACTTATTTTAAAAAAAGGATAACCACTGAAATATAGTTTCTTAGAATCTAATATACTTCCCTTCACACCAAACCCCCATATTAGAATCTAAAATACTTCCCTGCACCCCAGCCCACAATCATGCACCACGTGAACTCAGTACTAGGCCTTTCAAACACCCTAGAAACAAATAAGTGGTGGGAAGGCTGATTCAGCCCTGATTCTAGCCTAAAAGCAGTTTATCATTTAGAAACCCATACTTGCTAATCTGGCCTCTCAGTGCAACTGTTTATTTTACTGACCTCTCCAGAGTCAGGCTAACTCCAAAAAATATTTTGACACTGACTTAGAGCCCAAGTGGTAGTTTCCATCTCTCTGGAGGCAAGTTTTGTTGTCTGTTTTTTTTTTTCCCCCTCATAATCCTGTTTACATCCCTAACGTCATCAACATCACAAGCTTCTTCTCTGGGAAATTACACTTTTACCCTCATTACCTCAAACCTCAATAGAGGTTCCCTGTCACAATAAAAAGCTGGCTACTGAGGTTTAGAGGCAACTAGATTATAGTAATACTCTATATTTGAAGCCAACTTTACAAATGAATTAAATCCTTGAATCTAACTTTATAAATTATATACATTTTTCTCATTTAGCTTTCATAATAATTATGGGAGATGGCTATTTTCATTTATAAAGGAAGAAACTAAATCTAACACCCTCATCATCACAGGATACTATATTTTATATACAATCACAGGGACTTTTTTTTTAATTGAACACACACCCATCAAGTAAAATGAACATAATTTTAAAGCCTTTGTGAAATCTTTTATGCCACATAAAATCAGTCTGTGTACAATGCTACACAAATGTCAATAACCATATATCAGAGCCAAACCAGTTTCATAATTCATGGGGAGATGATCATTAGGGGTATCTGAATAGTTTGGAACCTCAGAGCAAGCAGGTAATAATTTTATTTAACACGCTTGATTAGTTCTATAGAAGAAACATTTTTTCCTTCTAAAAGTTCAGCAAATTCTATTTTGAGGAAAACAAAACTGAAATAAAATCATGGCAATGATACTTCTACTTCAGGCAAAATCTTGTTCAATTCAACTGCAGACCCACTCTGCAATTATGGAAGTCACAGAACTTGACAAGTATTGTATCAAAAATCATTCCATGCCAAAAGATCAAGTTTAATATTTTTTTCATAATTCATCTTGGCCTGAGGCTACAACAAGTCCTATTGTTATATACTCTGCCTCTAGAGAATGAGGCTGCTAACAGACCTTGGAATGGTGCCTGGCACAAAGGCTCAAGAAATATTTGTTGAATGAATTGTAATTAACACCTCCTGTTGTGGGGATACATAAAAGATGTTACATGAAAAATGCCATCTAACATGCAGCAACAAATCTCTTCCCATTAAGCAGTAAATCTACTTAACAATGATATATTTTTGGCAAGGCATCTGCCTCTGAATGATCCTATAGTACTGAAAATTCTTTTTAAACTGAAATATTTTTCAAGATATTATATTATTGACCTTATGAAAGCTTTTTTAACATATGAAATTGGGGTTATTTGGCTATGAGTTTGTGAGGCATAAAAATGATATGACAGAAGAATTACAGATTTGTTTTTGCATTTCCATGCCTAAATGTAACTAATACAATGTTAGTTTCACAAGGTAATGTGCAATGTTTTAAATGCATTTACCTCTCCAAAATATTAGAATTCTTCACTCAAAGCTAACAGTGGTAGACTAACGTTTTACTACTTCCAGGCAGTCAGAAAGTATCAAATATAAAAATAAATGAAAATCACCCCAAATGAGAGCCTGCCAATATTTACAGCTGTATTAAAATTATATGTAATCATATACAATTATAGCAGAAGAGATAAATGTCCTCTTCTATGCCCATAGGAAAGCTATACAAACATTTAAAAAAATAAGTGCATATTAACATTTATTTTCTTTAGACATCAGCCCTGCATTTCCCTCATGTGACTTCCTACCTTCCCAAGTCAAACTCTGCAAAAAGTATAAAATCAATGTCTTCTATTCAAAAGAACATTCTCCAATAATACATTATATACCATTTGGTCGTTAAGTCAGATGACTTTCATTTATAAAATAAAACAAAATGGAAAGTTTGGCATTCTATTCCACCTGTATAAGTAAATGAAGAAAAAAATTTTGCAAAATATTTTTTAAATATTTTATATTACATAGATGTCCAAAGTATTCCTTATCTCTGCTTAACAACTATGGCTTTTGCTTATATATCAAAAAAGACAAAAATAATTTTGATACTAATTAATCCAACATATTCAAAAGGCTAAGGATCAAAACCCCAATTTAACTTATCACAAGAAACAAAGGAAATTAAAGGGGAGTGGTGTGAGATGTTGGTCAAAGAATACAAAGTTTGTTATACAAGATGCATAAGTCATGGAGAGCTAATTACAGCATGATGACTGTAGTTAATTCTATTGTATACTTGAATCTGCTAAAACATAGATCTTAATTGTTCTTACCACCCCCTCTCAAAAAAATAGCAATGTGAGGTGATGGATAGGTTAACTAGCTCGATTGTTTGATAATGTAATTCACACACTGTATACCTTAAATATATATAGTTTTTACTTGTCAATTATACCTCAATAAAGCTGGGGGGTTAGGGAGAGAAACAAAGGAACTCTCTGAAATAACACCACTGTAGACCTAACTTCATGAAGGGCTATAGGGTGTCCTTTTCTGCAGAAATAAAGAAAGAAGCCGGACCGAAAAAAGAGAAAGAAAGAAAAGAAAAAACTGTCTTAAAACCCACTGGCTATGAAAGAACACTGCTGTTGACCAGAGTGGAAATAAATCTAGTGTCAAAGATGTCTGGTGTCATTTTTAAAAAGCAGCAGCAGGAACTATTTCTTTCAAATGGATTGGTTACAGATGTAACACTATTTTAGTTTTTAAAAAATTATTGCATAATGTCAGTCTATTTATTGTTCTGGCCTTTTCCAAGCTAACTGTTTTCTGACTGAATTGTTTCAACAGATTGTGCAATATAACAGAGGAACCAAGAAGAAACCTCTCACTTGACCTTCTCTGGGTAACTTCATTCATTGCTTCTATTGCATTAAATGCTGTCACATTTGTAGAACTGAAAAGAACAATGTCAGTAGCCCGGGTGTCAAGTCCTCAGAATAGAGAGCTGTCATTTTAAGTTGTCCAATTCTTTGCCTATGATTAAAAAATGAATATTTCAGATCAATGGGTGACAATCCCATTAGAGTGATACCCCATGATATCAATTACCACTTCAGTTTCAATTTGGCTGGCTGGCCACAGGGTACCATTTCTCAGCTTTACTTGTCATGGGCTGGCTCTGTGAAGCATGACATTCTTAAATTGCTGCCCATTATCCAAGTGTCATTACTTGTACTGCCTCAGAATTCTCTGAATCACAAGCAGCTACTGAGGTCAAGCTTTGCAACCAGAGGAATTGGACAAGTTGGAAAATTCTTTATATCAAGGCAAAGTTATTTATCTGGCATCCGACTTAGAAAATTTAAAGTTTCCATTATCCTGACAGTGTGTCAGTTTCGTGTAGGTATATTGATTTAATAATTTAAGAGGTTTTATCAAGGTAGCAGAAGGTTAAACGTTTACTGTGTTTGCATTATTCAGAATGTTGCTTTGTTTTTTTGGCCTCCATCATGCTGATAATAGATTCTATTTAACTCTTCTCCATACCCAACTATACATATAAAATTTTTCCTATAATCATAAAATACATAAACAGTTTGACTTTTAGCATGGCATTTTCAGTCTATCAAAATAAAAAAAAAACAAAATGTCTTAGCAGTTATCTGTCACATAGGTATATCAAATTTTGTAATAAATTTATGGAAGAGGTAGATTCAAACATGCCTATAATAAACATTCAAAATGAATAATTTGGGGCTTTTTTGCTACCTCCATAAGCATTTTTCAAGAAATATGATTTCCAACAGTCATTGGAATTTTTCTGCGTGAAACTGTAATACTGTATTTGGGATCATTCTTTGATTCTTAAATTATATTCATAAATTCATAAATTGAGATTTTAAACTCTAAAAAAGGAGTTTTCTTCCAAACTTTTCAAATTAGGGCACTCTATCAACGAGGGAGAGAAGGCCCAGTGAAGAGGTATTGGTAGCTATTTGACAAACCTGACATATCCCCTTAGAGCATAATTTCAGCAAAGATTTGGGAAAAAAAAAAGCAAACTTAAACATTAACAAGTTCAGGCCGGGCGTGGTGGCTCATGCCTGTAATCCCAGCACTTTGGGAGGCTGAGGCAAGTGGATCACTTGAGGTCAGGAGTTCATGACCAGGCTGGTCAACATGGTAAAATCCTGTCTCTACTAAAAATACAAAATTAGCTGGGCATGGTGGTGTGCACCTGTAATCCCAGATACTCAGGAGGCTGAGACAAGGGAATCGCTTGAACCTGGGAGGTGGAGGTTGCAGTGAGCCAAGATGGTGCCACTGCACTCCAGCCTGGGCAACAGAGTGAGACTCTGTCTCAAAAAAAAAAAAAAAAAAAAAAATTAACATGTTCAGATATGAGGTTGGATACAAAACAGTCACTAATTTTTAAACACTGAATTTAAACTTCTAAGAACTTACTGCTTTGGGCCCTATCCATATGCTCAGATTGGGAACGGGTCAGTGGGTGGGATGATTTCATTCTCTTCTGCCTTTAGTGGTATTTCACCTGGGAAGTTGAGAAACGTCATTTTACTGTATGTAACAACATACTTTTAAAGATCTTACTAAATGCATTTTATAAATTAAACCTCATTTAAATGCATTCTAGGACCTTAGAAGTTAACAAAAACATTCATAGCAGGATGTCTTTTACACTTGATCTTAGCCAAAAGACCAAGAAGCGATGCAAGATGCCTTTTAATGGAGAGAGTCTTCTTACTAATCCTATGTGTATATCCTGATTTTCTTCAATATGTACTTTTTAAATTTTAAGTTCCAGGGTACATGCTCACGATGTGCAGGTTTGTTACATAGGTAAACGCGTGCCATGGTGGTTTCCTGCACCTATTAACCCATCACCTAGGTCTTCAATATTTTTTAAAAACTCATTTCCAGTGTGTGTTTAATAGTAATTTAACAAGAAAAATAAGATCTCAGATGCTTTATCAAGCTCAGCTTCTTCTATGGAACAGAAAAACTTACCAATATTGGGGTTGAATCCTTGTGAAGAGCTATACATACCAAACTCTATCCTAACCCCATATGCTTATTACAAATTATAATTCCAAATTTTATCACCAAATCAAACTCAGAGTAATAGAAAAGAAATATTTAACACAAACTAATAATTAAAACACAAATTTCACCTATTGTTCAGGATATCTTTTTGAGAAAGGTTTTTGTTAAAGAAAATTTCAGATACAAACATAAAGAAAATTAAACAATCAATCCCCATATTCCCAGCTCTCAATAATGAGCCACTCATAGCAATCTTTCAACTTACTTTTAATCCATATTTTGAATCCACAATAGTTATGATACCTACAAAGGAAAAAACATTTTAATCACTTTTTAAAAAGAATGCTTATTAATACTTGTGCAACCATACTTCAGAATGAAAATTAAAACTAACCTATTTCAGTTCACAAATACTACTCAATAAAACAATGTACTGTTTTTTTCTCTTGCCAGTGCTGCCATTTAATTAAATTCCAGTAATAAGTCAATGCATTTCCTGAGTGGCTAGCACTATTTTAAGGCACTAGAGAAGATATAAAACAAATAAAAATTTTAAATTAAATAAATAAGAAAATAAGATTTCCTTGGCACTGAAAAAGCTTACAATCCAAAATATAAGTCAAATTTCATAACATAGTCAAATGTGATAAGTACATAAGACAGGTTATTTCTAGTTTATTTTCACATAATCAAAAAAAAGACTTTTCTTAAGATTTAAATTATTGCCTAAAGAATGAGACATCTTAAGGTATCATTCCTAACATCTCTCACCAAATCCAAATCCAACTCATAAATGTTTTACATAACATATGCCTAAGTTTCCAAACTACCAATTCATTTTGCAGTCTCTGAATATATGCTGATAACAAAAGAATGAGTTTAATTATGCCTAAGGAATTCAACCAGTTACCCGCCACATATATTAGAGCTCAATGATGGGGCCCAGCTTAATAATTCTTAAATTTCTTAATGATTATTACTTTTGAAAAAGTAAGAAAATTTCGACTGGTTTTTAAAAAGGTGAAAAAGGGAAAGAGAAAGGGAGAAAACATAGTCGCTTAACTAAGAAAGTTTCTAATATATTTTAAATGAAGGCATATCATTGCCCAAAAGTGTTCAGGTAAATAAAGTAAGGGAGGAGTGTTTAATTCTTATCTTCAAGAGAAAATAAAAGCAAAAATATGATCCTCATATTGCCTGGAGGATAAAAATAAAAGGCTCTAACATTACATTAAGGACATAAATCAAACAACAGAGGATACAGAAAACCTACAAAGCATTGTTTTTTTTAAAGAAAACCTTAGTGGAAGCACTAAATTGGAAGTTGAGTGACATCGAGTTCCACCACTGTCTGGGGTTTTTTAATCTATATGAACAAAGATTTCATCATTAAACTAAAGTGTGAAAAGAACCACAATGCAAGGAATTAAAGTTATAACATGAATGAACAACAATAAGCTTAACCATAAAGATTTTACTAAAAAACAAAAGAGGCAGGGTGTGGTGGCTCAGCCTGTAATCCCAGCACTTTGGGAGGCCGAGGCTGGCGGATCACCTGAAGTCAGGGGTTCAAGACCAGTCAGGCCAACATGGCGAAACCCCGTCTCTACTAAAAATCCAAAAATTAACCAGGTACGATGGTGCACGCCTGTAGTCCCAGCTACTCGGGAGGCTGAGGCAGGAGAATCACTTGAACCCAGGAGGTAAAGGTTGCAGTGAGCCGAGATCATGCCACTGCACTCCATGCACTCCAGTCTGGGCAACAAAGTGAGACTCTGTCTCAGAAAAAAAAAAACAAAAACAAAAAAAAAACAAGAAAGATAAAAGAAAACTGTTTTTTAACTTACCATCAAGGTAAATATCACTCCCTAATTCAGCATCAACCCAAAACATAGAAGTCACTGCACCTGAAAATATATAATATTCATCAAATAAAAATATTTCTTCACACTGAGAAACATGATTCTATCCATGTTTTAATTTGCCCTGATAAAATTAACAGGTAAACACATATATCTTCTTATGGAAATTATAGTGATAGAAGCTTTAACTATTTAGAGCAAAAGGGAATTATAGTGATAGAACCTTTTACTATTTATACCCATTCCATTTCCATCTCTCTTGTTATTTCCTTTAAAAAAGACCAATTCTAACCACATATAAACAAAACATCATTCTTCTACCGATGCCATAATAATTTAATTAACAGATATTATCAAACAATTTGAGCAGTATGGCTTTGTGCACATCAGACTTATTTTTATTTTCTCACCTCTTTAATATGATAATCATTCAATCATAAATAGTGAATTATCACTCTAAAGGAAAAGGAAAACAAAACATAGATAATTCCAAAATCACTTGCCCAAAAAAAATTTACTTGTAATCTGTGTAGAACTAGAAGTAAAATTATATACTCTATGGCATTACTAATTATTCCTCACACTATTTATTTAGGACTGTATAAAACCTGGGTCTTAGGAAAAATTTTTCCTAAATAATAAATTAAAACTTGCTTTTGACAGAAATTGGTTCAGTACCAAACCACATACCCTGATTAGTATGCCACAACGCAAGAAAAAGAAAACTGACAGCAAGGAAAGTATTTGATTTTTGAAAGCATCACAGGCCCAGTTAGTGACAGGGCTGTCTAAAAGAATGAGTGTAGGAGAAAAACAAGGATAATCAAACTCATTCCAACGTCTAAAGCTGTCCACCTGCTCTGAAAAGATGTGGTCCCCCAAGCATCACTCTGTGTCAACAATGAAATACCTGTCAGCTGTTTACAGTGATTACTCATGCAAGATATAGCAAGGGCCACAAGATCTAATGGTTTCCTGATACCTATTGATTTTTTTCCCAAAAACTTAATAGTTTTCCAATTTGACTCAAATAGCATTTGTGAGTAACAGGGGCTGAATCAATGTCCGTTCTTTTCAAGGAAATTACTTTACCATGACAATTATTTAACTTAGAACTGGAGAGTGTCAGTCTCCAAAACGGGAAACAACTGAATTGCCAATAAGAATTTTGTTCACTTTCTTGGCTAAAACATAATTTTAATTAATGAGGGGGAAAATTAAATCTACTGTATCACTACTCCAAACAATAAGTCATTTAAAAAAGCATGAATTTTTTCACTCAGTAAAATATCTAACATACATAAATCATTTTGTAATTTTTAAAAATTCATTGATTTTTAGTCTAATAAATAGTTTACAAATCCTACTGTTAATATTTGCCTCTTAAGTTGAAATGTAAGAGTATATTAATGCTTTATTCTAAAACTGGTATTTATCTTTGATATAATACTTGCCAGACTACATGAGAAAGATCTATTTAAAATTTGGATGTAGGTATTTAGGAGGAGTAAAGATGAATGGACAAAATTGATCAGTGGCTCTCAAACCAGGGTGCTTTTCTCCCCAGGGAATATTTGGCAATGTCTGAAGATGTTTTTGGTTGTCTTAACTAGGGGAATGCTACTGGCAACTAGTGGGTAGAAGCCAGGGATGTTGTTAAATATCCTACTCTGCACAGGGCAACCCCCTCACAACAAATAATTATCCAACCCAAAATGTTATTTGTGCTGACACTGAGAAAACCTGAACTACATTTTAGAATCTCCCTTCTTCAAAATCTAATAAAACAAAAAATAAAAATAAAAAATAAAACAAAAAGGCCAACATTTTATTAGCAGCAACCAAATATAAAAGGGCCTGCCATAAATTTTGAAGACTGATAGTCAAAATAAGAAACAAAGTTATATGTGATTGATGGTCATTCCCAACTCTACCCCTACCTCCAATAAGAGGTTGTAGGGAAATAGTTTACAAAATCCTAAACACTTACCAGAAATACACTCCAAAATGGCAAAAAGTAGAGCCGAGGAATGAATAAGCAACACAGGGAAAAGTCAACAAAAAAATTTCAAGAGTGAGTTTTAACCATCTCCATGCTTTGGGAAGGAGAAGGTCAGGTCACATTCTAGGGCTCAGAACAAAGAGAAATGAGAGGTCTGAGGTCGAATGATGTCCCCATACAAGGCAAAGGAATTTTATTCATAAGCACTTGGGCAGACCCAAGAGTGAAATACTTGGTACTTCAAGAGAGCAGAGCCTAAAAGCCACATTGCCCCATTTGGCTCTCTGAATCACCACTTTTCCCTTCTCTTTCCCTCCACTCCAACAATATACAGCTTTCAAACTAGGGCTCAGGAGAAAAACAAACTTGGGTAAGGAGAGTGGAGTATTAAAAATATTTCCCATCAGCACCACATAGAAGTTCTCCCATATCAAGAAGAAACATGTATGCATATGTATTACAGCCTGACAAAAAGAAACACACACATACAGGGAATAAAAAGCAAGAAAGAACACAAAATGAAGAAATGAATAGGGCATACAAATGGCAAAGAACCAACCCATTCTGGAAGGATACATAACCCAATAAAAACTAAAGAAAATTCTCAACAACTTCATCATAATGAAGAACTTGAAAACAATACAACCTTATAATAAACAAGCTCAAAAGCAAGAAGAAGCAGAATAAGATGAAAATGCAGTTTGTAGTGCTAAAGAAACTTAGAGCCTATATGACTTAACCAATTAATTATTTTTAATTATTGACTTAACCAATTAATTAATAATTATTAATAATTTAATTATTGACTTAACCAATTAATTAATAATTAATGACTTAACCAATTAATTCATTTAAAATATCAAAAACAGGACAGACACTGGAGAAAACAGAATTACTGACAAAAAGAAAGGCTTCAGATGATCACAGTAAATGCAAAGGTAAAAGACACATCAAAGCAATTAGAATACATACGAAGAACAAAAGAAAATTCAGTATTAAAAAAACTGGTGTCATGAAGTAGAGGATCTAATAATTTGACCAAAAAAAAAGTATTCATGGTAATAAACAAGGAAAATGTTCTTAGAAGAACTAAGGGCATATTATAATTTAGGGAAAAATGATTATAAGTGACACTTAGATATACCTTGTTTATATTACTGAATTTCAAAAATAAAGAAGAAAACTCTCAGGCATTTTAGATTAAAAAAAAAAAAAGTGCCTTCAAGGAGGGAGGGAGAAAAATCAGACTTTTCTACAGTAACACTAGATGTCCCAAAATAATAAAACAGTGACCACAAAGTTCTAATGAAAGTGTTCCCAAACAAGTTATTTTTCAGGAACGAAAGCAATAGACAGACATTCTCAAGCATTAAAGAAAACAGCAAGCATTGAAACTCAGAGACTATAATACTCACAAATTCTTCCTAATAAAAGGAGAAAACATTGGACAAAGAAATCCAGCCAATCAAACACTAGGAGATTATGGAACAACATTTACAAAGTTTGGGGGAAAAAAGTGTGACTGATAAATTTTATACCTAGCCAAGTAATCCTTCAAGTAATATAAAAACAAAAGACAAATATTTTGAATCAATGAAGTGTATAAGAACCCAAAGAATGCATGCAGTACCTGTAACTTGAAAAGACTGCCTGACAATGAAATTCAATCAGGAGATGGACTAACTCGGGAATGGAGAAGCAACAGTACTGGTAATGAGCACCAAAACTATTAAAACATAGAACTAAAAGAATTATGACAGAACCATGACAACATAAAGAATATGATCAACACGAAACTAGGCCAATTAATATCCTACAATGGCCTCTAAGTGTTCAAGTGAAAGGAACAGTCACCTGTTTCTCACTTTAAATCAAGAGCTAGAAATGATTATGCTTAGTGAGGAAGTTATGTTGAAAGCCAAGATACGCCAAAAGCTAGGTCTCTTGAGCCAGTTAGCTAAGTTGTGAATGCAAAGGAAAAGTTCTTGAAGGAAATTAAAAGTGCTACTCCAGTAAACACACAAATGATAATAAAACAGCCTTATTGCTGATATGAAGTGGTCTGGATAGATGATCAAACAAGCCACAATGTTCCCTTAAGCCAAAGCCTAATTCAGAGCAACCCTAACTCTCTTCAGTTCTGTGAAGGCTGAGAGAGGTGAGGAAGCTAGAGAAGAAAAGTTGGAAGGTAGCAGAGGTTGGTTCACAAGATTTAAAGAAAGAAGCCATCTCCATAACATAAAAGTGCAAGGGGAAGCAGCAAATGCTGATATAGAAGCTGTAGTAAACTACCTAGAAGATGTAGCTAACATCATTCGTGAAAGTAGCTACACTAAGTAACAGACTTATTTTTTATTTATTTATTTATTTATTTTGAGATGGAGTCTCGCTCTGTCACCCAGGCTGGAGTGCAATGTGCAATCTCAGCTCACTGCCACCTCCGCCTCCCGGGTTCAAGCCATTCTCCTGCCTCAGCCTCCCAAGTAACTGGGATTACAGGCTCCCACCACCAAGCCAGGCTAATTTTTGGTATTTTTAGTCGAGATGGGGTTTCACTATGTTGGCCAGGCTGGTCTTGAACTCCTGAACTCGTGATCTGCCCATCTCGGCCTCCCAAAGTGCTGAGATTACAGGCATGAGCCACCGAGCCCGGCCAGCAACAGATTTTTAATGGAGATGAAATGGCCTCCTTTTGGAAGAAGATGCCATTTAGGACTTTCATAGCTATAGAGAAGTCAATGCCTGGCTTCAAAGATTCAAAGGACAGGCTGACTCTCTTGTTAGAGGCTAAAGCAGCTGGTGACTTCAAGTTGAAGCCAATAATCATTTACCATCCTGAAAATTCTAGGGCCATTAAGAATTATGCTAAATCTCCTCTGCCTGTTTTCTATAAATAATAAAGCCTAGATGACAGCACATCTGTTTACAGCATGGTTTATTTTAAGCCCACCATTGAGATCTACTGCTTAGAAAAAAAAAGATTCCTTCAAAATATTATTGCTCATTGACAACGCACCTGATCACCCAAGAGCTGTGATGGAGATGTACAAGGAGATTAATGTTGTTTTCATGCCTGCTAACACAACATCCATTCTGCAGCCCACTGATCAAGGAGTAACTTTGACTTTTAAGTCTTATTTAAGAAATATATTTCATAAGGCTATAGCTACCATAGATAGTGATTCCTCTGATGGATCTAGGCAAAGTAAATTCATCATTCTAGATGCCATTAAGAACATTCGTGATTCATGGGAGATCAAAGTATCAACATGAATAGGAGTTTGAAAGATGATTCCAGCCCTCACAGATGACTTTGAGGGATTTCAGACTTCAATGGAGGAAATAACTGCAGATATGGTGGAAACAGTAAGAGAACTAGAATTAGAAGGGGAGTCTGAAGATGTGACTCAATTCCTGCAATCTCATAAGAAAACTTTAACTAATGAGAAGTTGTTTCTTATGGACGGGAAAAGAACGTGGTTTCTTGAGATGGAATCTACTCCTGGTGAAGATGCTATGAACACTGTCAAAATGACAACAAAGGATTTAAAATATGACAGAAGCTTAATTGATAAAGCAGGGTTTGAGAGGACTGACTCCAATTTTGAAAGAAGTCATACTGTGGGTAAAATGCTATCAAATAGCATCATGTGCTATAGAGACATCTTTTATGAAAGGGAGAGTCAACTAATGCAGCAAACTTCATTATTATCTTATGAAATTGCCATAGCCACCCCAACCTTCAGTAACTACTACCCTGATTGGTCAGCACCCATCAACATTGTGACAAGACCCTCTACCAGCAAAAAGATTATGACTTGCTGAAAGCTGAGATGATTGTTAGCATTTTTTAGCCATAAATATTTTTAATTAAGGTATGTATGTTTTTTAGACAATTCTATTACACATTTTATAGACTACAGTATAGTATAAACACAGCTTTTTTTTTTTTTTTTTTTTTTTTTTAAGAAATGGGGTCTCATGCTGTCATCCAGGCTGGAGTGCAGTGGTGCAATCATGACTCACTGCAGCCTCAAACTCCTGAGCTCAAGTGATCCTCCCAAGTAGCTGGGACTACAGGCCTGTCACATCACACCCGGCCAAAACGCATAACTTTTATATGCAATGGGAAACAAAAAAATGTGTGTGACTCACTCTATTGTGATATTCAGTTTACTGCAGTGATATGGAACTAAGCCCACAATATCCCTGCAGTATGGCTGTACAGTATAAGAATCACCTGAAGGGCTTATTAAAAACAGCTTGCTTGACCCCCTCCCTTAGAGATTCCGATTCAGTAGATCTGGGTTGGTCAAGAATTTGCATTTCTAACAAGCTCCCAGCTGAGGCTGAGGCTGCCATTCAACATACTACCAAGTAGCACTGGCATAGAGAGATCCCTGGAATAAAATTTACCTACTTGTGTGTGTGTGTATGAATGTGTGTGTGTGTGTGTGTGCGTGCGTGTGTGTGTGTATACAGTCTTGCTCTGTTGCCTGGGCTGGAGTGCAGTGGCGTGATCTCGGCTCACCGCAACCTCCGCCTCCCAGCTTTCAAGCGATTCTCATGCCTTAGCCTCCTGAGTAGCTGGGATTATGGGGTGCGCCACAACGCCTGGCTAGTTTTTGAATTTTCAGTAGAGACTGGATTTCACCATGTTGGCTAGGCTGGTCTTGAACTCCTGGCCTCAAGGGATCCACCTGCCTCAGCCTCCCAAAGTGCTGGGATTACAGGCATGAGCCACCATGCCCAGCCCTTACTTGTATATCACAATAGTGAGATGATTACTTTTCAACTTTCTTCTTTGTATTTTTTAGGTATTTAAATTTTTTTACAATGAATGTTCCATCTTTACCCAAACAATAAAATCTTTATTGTAAAGAAAGTTAGAAGCAAGAAACATTAACATTTTTTATAACTACAATTTGTATAAAAGCTTTCTCTGTGATCTTTAGTTTTTCTTTCTTCCTCTGAAAAGCTGAATCGTGTTTAATTAAACTCTCAAAAGTGTCAAGTTTTTGTCTATAAAATGGCAAAACTGGCTATGATGAAATAAACTGATATTTGCTATTTCTAATAAAAGCATACAATATATTTTTCTTTCTTACCAGATTCAAATAATATTTAACGCCAACATATTAGTCCAAGTCCTATCATCAGTCAGATTTATCAGAAAGGTATGAAAACCCATGCTTACTATAAGGACCAAAATAGCCTAATTCAATACTACTTTGAAAACATGGGGATGATGTTACTACGTAATTGTTTTAAGTACAATAACCACTGATCACATTTGAACTCTCAGGATACTTCAATATTTCTTTTGGACAACTATGACCTGTTTAGTAAATTACCCCCAAATACTTTAATATAGTTTTACAAATCGCCCCAATGCCAGAGACCCAGATCAAAAAGAAAATAATGGTATGGGTCAGATTCACAGAATAAGCACTAACTTTTATGCAAACTGAAAATAAAGATTTTATCTAAAAGTTATTTGGGGAAAATAAGCAGACTTTATCAAGAATTAGAGCTTGGTAAGAAGGTAACAGAAACCCATTGTGAGAAACAGGTTGACTCTGTGTAGCTTTCCATAGTAGAGTTTAGAGTTTCTTGTCATGATTACCTTATCAATGCAGTATAATAACTACTTACACAGCACTTACATTGCATTAGGTATTATAAGTAATCTACAGATGATTTAAAGTATATGGGAGGATGTGCATAGGTTATAGGCAAATACTACACCATTTTATGTAAGGGACTTGAACATTAATAGATTTTGGTATCCTCAGAGGTTCTGGAACTAATACGCCATGGATGCCAAGGGACAACTGTACTTAGAGGTAGAACGTCTCTGCTCTTCCTACATGTCCTTATTTTTAACAACTTCTGTTCTTACAAATAATCCTAAGTCAATCAATAAAACTTCAAATTCTATTAACAGCTTAAAAGCACCAAGAAATACTCTGATCATTCATTCAACTGCCAAAGAAAATGACAACCAAGTACTTTTCCTCTTTTAAACCAAAAAAAGTTTTTGGTTTAATACTAACAAAAGCTTTAATACTCATTTTAGATATTCCTCTAATACATCTATTTACAATATATCACAGAACTATATTCTGGTTATTAATAATCTCACTTCTTACCAGGGTCTGCTAATCCAGTGGTCTCTAACAGTATGTCATCAAATTTCCCCTTCTTTTGCATCAAATTCTCAATAGCTCTAAGGCCATTGTCCCTGGAGAATACCAAAACATAATTTACAGTTAATTACCTAAATATTTTGAAGTGATTATTATAAACACTTTAAAATGTATTCAACAACCCGAGACAAAAGTATCCTTAGGAATGTGAAAATTTAACTCACTTCTAACCTTCTAACAAAATGTCTGTCCCATATTTACCAGGGAGAAAACAATAGATGCATATATATAATAGGTAAAAAGAAATCATATACATAATAATACTTTATTAAAATTAAAAGCAGAGGAAACTTTATCTGACCAAGTATCTTTTTATAGCTTTATGAAATTGTTAAAAACCAACATACAAAATAATGATAAAATTTATTAACTATAGTAGTTTAATATAATAGCTAAAGGGACACTGATATTAAACACCATATAATTCTATTTTACATTAGGATGCAAGGTTTTAAATTCCTTTTTTCTTATTTTATCAAAAGTGAAGGAAAATCCTTAATAGATTACATTTTGGTTGTTCAAGAAAGTCTGTTATAATTTTATCCTTGCCAAAACATTTGACACAAAGTCAAATACCTAAGGGAGTAAATGATGCCGAAGAGATTTAATTCACTAGAATACACAAAATTAACAATACAAGTAGTCATTTTTATAATTCATTCAACAAATATTTGAGTGCTACTATGTGTTGGGTAACTCTTCTAGGGTCTATGGTAGACTAGTGAACACTGTCCTTGGAAACTTAACTACTAGAACATAATGTAAGGTTTTTCTTTTTTGATAGTCATTTATTTTTTATAAGGTTGAACACTTAGAAGTATGACCAATGACAGATTAAATTCAGAATAATCATTTTTTACATATGAGACTTTCATGCACTAGAGATTAAATAAGCCCTGACATCAAAAGCAATAAAAACTCAATAAAAGGACCAAAACATTAGAGCAGATAGAAAAGACAGCAAAAACACTTTAAGAAAATGCTTCCTAATAAGTTTATTTTCTATTTGTTTGAAAATACAATGAAGCAAACTGTGTAAATTCAGTTAAATTACTCAAGAAAATTAAAGCTGGAAATATAATCAATAAACATTTCTAGTAAACCATGTACACAGTAAACACATTCCTCACTTCACTGAACAGCAGAGGCAACCGTTTCTAAGTTCCAGCCACTCTTCATAGAGCTCTCCACCTTGGCTGACAGCTAAGGATTTCTCCAGCGCACTTCCTAGAATAAATAACAAACAGCACTCTTTAGCTTATGTCCATTAGCCAACAAAAAACAAAGATGAGGATAACTCAATAATGGAGATCTTAAAGCAGAAACTGCATTTTATAACTTATATTCTTTCATTTTATTCATGCAGCCTTGATATCTAAATTACAGTACACTACATTATTTTAGCTTTTATTTAAGATGACTTAAGCCCTGAAAAAAGACACATCCTAAACTGATAAACATACCTACTTCCTCCTTAGGCCTCTTACTTGGCCACCCCCATTTCTTAATGAAGGCATTTTTTTCTTGTCCAGGGTAAACTTTCTAAATCGACTAGTATGTTTTATATACTGGATTCTGTATGCCCTTCAACCTCTTAAGAGACTGCCTTATCTATCTTTTTCTTTTCATTCTTCTTCTAAATTGTTTCTGTTAGACAAACTGCTGAATATTCCCAATGAGTAAAAACCCTAGTTCATCCTAAGGAAGGTTTTTGGCCAGTGTACCGTGTGCTCATTTAAAAATTAAACTTATAGGGAGGCCAAGGCGGGCGGATCACGAGGTCAGGAGATCGAGACCACCCTCGCTAACACAATGAAACCTCATCTCTACTAAAATTACAAAAAATTAGCCAGGTGTGGTAGCGGGCACCTGTAGTCCCAGCTACTCAGGCGGCTGAGGCAGGAGAATGGCGTGAACCCGGGAGGCGGAGGTTGCAGTGACCCGAGACTGTGCCACTGCACTCCAGCCTGGGCAACACAGTGAGACTCCATCTCAAAAAAAAAAAAACCTAAACTTTTAGTCAAATTCACATATTTTCCTAGCAATACTTACTTAAGAAAGAATAAACTATATTTGAAATGCTTGTTATCTATAAGAATTACTTTAAATGTTTTACTTTTCCTCTAATACAGAAATATACCAAACGGTGAAGTTCTAAAAGTCCACTAAGCAAATGAGCTCCCATAAAATCGAGTAGTTTTACACTTACATATTTTTTATATTTCAGCTAGGTATTAATAAAGAGCTTCTAAAGAGGTTGCTACAGAATTCGGACTATATACAGAACATTAATGAAACATGAAGAAAAGTATTGAGAATGCTGTGAAAAATAAAATTGTGAAAATGATCCAGGAAAAAATAAAGAAAATAGTAAGAATAAATGTAATCAGTGTGCAATAGGTTATTTAATAAGATGATGAAAAAAACAGTCTGTTATTAGAAATCTCAGGATTTTTGCCTAAAAAGCACTTTTCTCTTTAGTTTATTAAAACCAGAAATCGAATATAACTGGAATATAACTGGCTTCCCATCCTGTTCATAAAACCTAGCTCTTTTACTTTTTACAACTGAAAAAAATAGTACATTTTAAAAGAAATCGTCTAATAGATATTGTTTTTTGGCTAGAAGTGAGCTTTGATTACAATTCATACTTATGAAGAAAAACTCCTATAAAGATAACAGAAGTATTGTGTCTAGAGCTATTTTTTTTTACTACAGTTTAATATTTGAGTTGAGAAGTTAAGCACACTTATTTTCACAGATAAAATACATGAGGATAAAGACCATATGTTTACCTTCTTTTTAAAATATTGAGTTTTAACTGCATTGCAGATAATAAACATTAAACAAAGTTAACTAATAACAGAAGCATTTTCAAATATTTTTCATGAGTTGCAATAGAGTCCATACAAAACTGCCTTTCTAATTCCTAAAAAAGACATTTTTTGGCCAGGCATGGTGCCTCACGCCTGTAATCCCAGCAACTTTGGGAGGCCGAGGCGGGTGGATCATAAGGCCAGGAGCTCAAGACCATCCTGGCCAACATGGTGAAACCCTGTCTCTACTAAAAATACAAAAATTATCTGGGCATGGTGGCGCATGCCTGTAGTCCCAGCTACTCGAGAGGCTGAGGCAGGAGAATCACTTTAACCCGGGAGACAGAGGTGGCAGTGAGCTGAGATTGCACCACTGCACTCCAGCCTGGCGACAGAGAGAGACTCCATCTCAAAAAAAATAAAATAAAATAAAAAATAAACGTTTTTTCATATGTCCAGATTTTTACTTCTGGAGTCATTTATTTCATGTAAAAATGTAGTTTAATTCTGTTAATAAGAATTCCAAAGTTATACAAAATAAAATTTTATTAAAACTAATTTCAGTATCTCAACCCATATAAATCTTAACAGAAATTAATCTAATTTTTCTAAAGCTATCCACATCAATACAATACCTTGCATTTTCATTTTTAAATATGGAATATCAATTCACCAGAGGAATAAACAGTCACACAAAATCTTGCAACATGACATTTATTGAACTTTACTTACCTTCCCCAGATTCATTTAAAATGACCGCTACTCTTTTACTATGTTGCTCTGTCAAAATATAGTTCAGAAGTGTTGTCTTCCCAGCACCTATAAAACATATTTTTTGTAAATAAAAAAATTCAAAATAATTTTAAAGATACAAAAAACATATAAAGAATCCTAACGTTTTTGAGAATTTGCATGCTATTTTTCATATATTATTTTAGTATAGAATATCCTAGAGGATAAGATTAAAGCATCCTTTGAAACCTGTTGCAAAATACTTTATGTAGACATAAAATTTTATAAATATTTACAAACACTCCTACAAGTTGAAACAGTTTCTTCAACCTAGCCTAACCTTCCCTAAAATTGACACACAATCTTTTATTTACAGTGACCTTTTATTTCAACATTAACGAGACGCAACTTCAGGCTGACTATATGGCTACTTATAGTATGCTTTAAACAATCTATAAAAGTTTTTATGAAATGGGGAATAGAACCAGGTAGTGTCAACAATGAACAGAATGTTCAGTTAAGATAAATTCATAAAGCTATACCAACTTTATCCAGCAGGTGGCATATGAAACCCAATATGTCAATCTCCAGTAGAAAAAAAAGTCTTGTGAACCGTACACACTAAAATTCATAGAGGAAAAAAAGAAAATCCTAACTGCATAGTATTGTAGTTCAACTGTATGACTATATCATTTCTTTATCTTTTTTTTTTTTGTTGGACATTTGGTTTGTTTCCAGTGTTTTACTATTACAGTGCTGCTAAAAACTTTTACATGTAGGCTATACATGTCTTCTGAAATAAAGTTTTCTAGTATATAACTAGATCTTCCTACAACTAGGAAGATTTTACGGAGTATTAGGGTATTAATATCTTTTAGGTCATATTCCTTTCAAAGCTTTTTAAGAGATGAAGGCTTATATTTAGAGTACTTTAGGAAGCTCAACATCACAAAAATATGAAGTATAGTATGGAAGAGAGAGACTTAGGGCAATGAGGAAGATCTTAAAACCAGTCCAAGCCTGAGACAGAGGCCCTGAACATGAGTGTTTCACAGGGCAGTGATGTGAAAACTGAAAGGAAAGGGTGAATGTAAGAAATCTTCTAAGAGAAGATTTACTAGGGCTTTTTAACCATATTATGAAAAAAAAAAAAAAAACACTTTAAGACATAGTTCATTCATTCAAAGGTTTCTAATACGTTACAGATTTATGCTGGGCCTTGGTGAAAAAGTGAACAAGATAGTCTCTGCCTTCATAGAGCTTAGAAATATTAAGGGAAGGGGGGAATGGAGGGGAATTCAGTGAATAAGGAGGCAATTATGTCTCAGGGTGACATATTCAATAGGAGATGCACAAAATGCTATGGAGAACCTAAGAGGGACATCTAGCCAGAGGAGTCACAGTAAAAAAGTACCTATTCCAAGGGGCTAAAACACTTGGCACCTTTGAAGTAACCTTAGTTTATTGTGCGGGGCCAATTTGGCAGGCTGGAAAGGTTGGCAAGATCCAGATCCTACAGGTCCTTGTAATTCATGTTAAGGAATTTGAATTTTAACCCATAGGGACGCCACTGAAAGGTGTGACGCAGTCGGATTGACATTTATAAAGATCATTAAGGCTAACATGCAACGAATAAATTAAAGGGCAGCAAGACTCCAGATTAGTCAGGAGGCTTTTGGAGTATTCCAAATGGTTGGGATCACAGAAGCAGGATTTGGGGGAATGGTAACAGACGAAGTTTCAGACATGTTAAGTTTTAAGTTGTAGGACATCAAAATAGAAATTACACAGGTGTGTAGCTAAAGATGGACAAAGGGGGAAGGAGGAGGGAGCCTTAAAAAGAAGCCAGAGAAGCAGGTGGAAAAATCAGAAGAAAAATGTAATAGAAGCCAAAGGAACAGTGTTTCAAAAAGGGAAAATGGTCAGGGATAGGAGTGAAACTATCCCTAGATTCAGCAACAAGGTTGCTGGTATTAATTCTCACTCCTGAGCTTCAGATCATTTTCTCCAATGATCTACTGACCTACCAGTGAGCAACACGGGAAAGGCCCGAGGGGCACGTTTGAAATACATTGTTTTGGACAAGAAATTTGTTCATCTTCTCAGTAGAGCAGCCTTTGAATAACTGTGGGGAAACGCCAAAAATAAATTCCTTTATAAAATTACTTCCGAGCAAAAAACGAGAATAAACTTACAGTCTACAAAGTTTTTTAAAAAAAAAAGCAGTTATTTCTTATTTTTACATAAAAGGTCACGAAGTGGCCCAAGTCTGTACCTGTCTCTAGCACACAACTAGGAATATTATTTCCCGGAAACAGTATTATTTTATTTACATTTCTTAACTTTTTCCAAACTTCTAATACAGTCATATATTTGTTCTAGCCCTTCTATTTAACTGTAAGGTTTAAAAATATATTTCTCAAACTTTTCCAGTAAGAAACTTCTAGTGTAAGTGCATAAACCGCCCTTCACGAAACTACCAAGTTCACAAACTTGTGGTTTCGAGTATCCCTGTACACTCTAAACGTTCTTAGTTTGAGAAATAGTCTTGGAGGACAGAGATTTTATTCTTACTTCCTACGCAGTGGTTTACAAACAGACCTCAAAAAAAAAGTGTTTAAGATAGGAGCACTTCCTGCCAACTGGCTGGAGGACTTTGGCTCCTGGGGAAGGGGAATCTGCTGACGAAAGCCCCACGTGTCGGACATTTTACAGACGGGACATCCTTTAATGGCAATAGGTAGGTTGTTCCGGCCCTATTTCACAGGTGACAGGTATTTTTCCATTTTCAGGTGAGGTAGATGAGCGTCAGGAAGGTAAGATAACTTGGTAAGAGGTCACAGAGACAATTAGGGGGGCGTGTCTTAGCTTCAAAGCCTTGTTTCAAAGGCTAACTTTCCATCTCACTTGAGAAATGGGAATCTAACGCAGAGGGGACCGGGCATCATTAACTCCCAAGATGAGAGGTAACCCATACGAGAAGCAAGTGACCCAGCCCCTACCTCAAAGACATTTGCTCTTGATCATGAGGCCCCAATGCCTCAGGAGAAGAGGCACCGGCAGCCCGCAAAATCCCATGACACCAGAGTTCACGGCATTTTGTGACTGGGATGGTTAGTTACCTAAATACCCGGTGATAATTGTGACTGGGATCTTGGCGCCGAGGCCAGACTTTTCCTCCTCCTCGCTTTGCGTCGTCTCAATGGGAACCAATTCAGGACAATCCTCCTCCGCAGGATCCTCTTCCTCATCCACAGATCCAACAGCCGGTAACATTCCGGCCTACGGCACGTCCCTACCTCAGCTGAACCGCTGGGACCAACACGCCGTACCGCAGCCGCGCACGCCCAGCACGCCACTCCCGGCCTGGCCGGGGCCTGACGTCATCACATCGCGACGCTAGCTGATCCCGCCCGGATTACCTGGGCTCTGGACGAGAACTGCCTCGTCCCTTAGCCACACCCCCCGGGGAGGTGGGCTCTCCCCGACGACAGCTGGACACGCCCCTGGGCGTGTTCTGTGAACCTGAGCGACGCTGCGGAGAGCCCTTAGGGCGCACTAACCACCTGTCTGAAGGTGTCACTGGCGCCTAGAGCCTTAATAAGCTACTGGCTGTAGGTAGAGCTGAGGCTAGCCTGCTGGAAATCTGGAGTGGGTAACCTGACCTAACCAGTTCCCACAGGGCATAGATTTTATCAACTTGATTTTTTAGTCTCGTTAAAAAAAAAAGTTTTAATTCATAGGGGAAAGAATGGAAGGTTATAACATTACAATTTTAATTGTAATTTTTATACCTGAAGGATAACCAGTGACAATTTTTTCTTTTTTTATTATTACATATTATATATGTAATTCCAAATTTTTAGTATTCATGCATCACTTTTATTTACTTTTTCCTCATTATTTATTTGGACCTCAGGTAATCTAAGTTCATTAATCATATTTGCTGGTGCATGACACTCTCATCACTAATCCATAGATAGCCCTTCTTTCTAATATAAATTTATAGTGAACTCCTTTGACCTCATTCCTGACGTAAAAGCATTACCAGTAAGTTACACGTACCTATGTGCACCGCCCCCGCTTCCAATCCACAGCCTGCCCCATAAGATAGTAACAACAGTCATGAATTGGTTCTGGATTGCTGATCATTCCCTGTTTTCTTTTTAGTTTTATCACATATCCCACGTATGTACTTAGAGAATATGTTGTTTAATTTTGGGTGTTTTTGAGCTTCATAAAATTATCCATATAATATATAAACTCCTGAGGCTTGCTATATTTTTCAGCATCACTGCTGTCTTGTATTCTATTGTGTGGCTACACGGCAATTTATTCATTTCCTCTCAATTGTTCCAGGTTTTGCTCTTATGAACAGGGCTGCTATGAACATTTTTCCTGACATATGTGTGTGCAACTTCCTCTTGAGTGTCTGTGTAAGAGTTGAATTGCTGGGTCCTAGATTATTCAAATGTTTTACTTCACAAGAAAATGCACAATTATTTTTCAAAATGTTTGTACAAATTGATACATTTTCCCAGCAAATTATAAGAGATCTCATTGGTCTGTATGTCAATATTATCAGGCATGCATTTTTCACCAATCAATTGAGTACAAAAGAAGACTTCATTGTGATCTTCATTTGCATTTCCTTGATTACTAACAAGGTTGAGAATCTTTTCATGTGTTTTGGCAATATTTAATTCTTAGAATGACCCTGTAGAGTGTTATCCCTCTTTCAAACATGAGGCACCAAGAGTTAAGTTACTTGTCCAGGTTAGGTCATAAAAATCTATCTGATGCACAAGTAGAATGTTTTACTACTATCCTGATGCCAGATAAAAGGTTGACTTTTCCTTCCTTCTCTGAAATTCCCCATAAAATATACTGTGTGTATTCCATTAGTTCTACTGATAAGTACATATAACTTGAAAGTATTTATCACGCCTTTTGCAGAACACAGTTAAGACAGAGGGTTTATATTTGTGCAAATGAGTATATTATATTCACACATACACTCGGTCTGAGAAATCAGGTCTTGAATGCTTTGCCAGCTTTGACAATGTAACCATGAACCAGCTGAGGAAGAAATAAGGCAAATACCTTAGGCGTGATGGTTCAGTTCACTTTATTCTACCAAAGGAGAGAAGCTGTGATGGGTAGCCCAAAATAGATAGCTTACACCCTAAACACAATGGTTCATAAGCTTTTTCGTTTCAGGAATGCTATGAAGTATTGATTTTTTTGGCAACCTAAGGGAAGGAGTAACATTGCACCCACAGTCATCACACTATTTGCTTGATGTCCCTTCAGCACTGCATTACTGCCTGAATAGCAGCTATTACAGCCCTCACCACCTTCTTTGACATATTTTTAAAAGTACATTCTTGTGGGTTCCCAATATGGCACTGGCTGAATGTTATACTAAAATCCCTCTTTCTGTTTTTTGAGACAGGGTCTCACTCTGTCGCCCAGCAGGGATTGCATTGGCACGATCACAGCTCACTGCAGTCCTAAACTCCTGGGCTCAAGTGATCCTCCCATCTCAGCCTCCCAAGTAGCTGGGACTCCAGTCATATGCCATTACATCTGGCTAATTTTTCTTTTTCTTTTTGGTAGAGACAGGGTCTCACTATGTTGTCCAGTCTGGTCTAAAGTCTCATCTCTAACAATGAGCAACCTGTAACCTATGAGGCCAGCTCAGTCAGGTTGACCAAATAGCATTGTTGTAACAGTATGTAGCCTCAATGAGAGCAAAATAAGTTTTACACATTGGCCAAAAATTAAATGCACCACAAATATCTATCAACTGATAGACAACCAAAATGTGACAAATGGATAAACAAAATATGATCTATCCGTACAATGGAAAATTATTTGGCAATAAACAGGAAAAAGGACTGATACCTGCTACAAAATGAATCAATCTTGAAAACATTATGGTAAGTGAAAAAAGCTATTCACAAAAGACCACATGTTGTATGATTCCATTTATATAAAATAACCAAAATAGGCAAATCTATAGAGACAGAAAGTACATTAATGGTTCCCAGGAGTGGAGGACTGGGGAGAGACTACAGTGGTTTTTGGGCGGTGATGAAAATGTTCTAAAATTGATTATGGTGATGGTAGTACAACTCTGATTATACTGAAAACCATTGACTTGTACACTTTAAATTGGTGAATTGTATCATATGTGAAATTTATCTCAATAAAGCTGCTATTCTTAAAAGAAATAAACACCTATCTGTGCATCAAAATGGGGTGCCTGTGTGCATTTGTAGAGAAACACTGTCTTCAGCAGTTTCAAGTTCTGGCCTTAGGCACAAGTATAAAGATTACAGCTTGATAAAATTTTTCCTTTAGTCTGTTCCATATTCCTCTTCAGTTAAGTTTTTATCTATGGATTCTGTGGAGTCCTGTCATTTTATTTTCTCAGATAGAGTTGTAATTTCAGTTCTCCCAAAATAGCTGGGCATGACTTTTTATTTTTATTTCTTTTTTCTTTTTGAGATGGAGTCTTACTCTGTTGCCGAGGCTGGAGTGCAGTGGCACGATCTTGGCTCACTGCAACCTCTGCCTCTGGGTTCAAGCGATTCTCCTGCCTCAGCTTCCTGAGTAGCTGGGATTACAGGTATGCACCACCACGCCCAGCTAATTTTTGTATTTTTAGTAGAGACGAGGTTTCACCACGTTAGCCAGGCTGGTCTTGAACTCCTGACCTCCTGATCCATCCACCTTAGCCTCCTAAAGAGCTGGGATTACAGGCGTGAGCCACTGTGCCGGGCTTTTTTTTTTTTTTTAACTTATAAGAAGGTTAAATTGTTAAATTGTTAAATTGAAAATGCCTTTTTAAATAAGTATGAAATTTCTTAATTATAATATTTTAGAATCTATTACAGTTTCTGATGTAACTTAAAAATTCCTCCTCATTTAGCTTTGCTATTTTGTCTCATTTACTTTAGGGTAAAACAACAACAACAACAATAGTAATGTTTTGAGCCCCTAAGCATCTGATAGGCACTGTGTTAAGCACATTAAATGCATTATCCCATTTAACTCTCCAAGGTAAATACTATTTGTGTGCCCATTTTATAGATGAGGAAATTGAGGCTTAGAAAAGATAAATACCTTGCTCAAAGTCATACAATCAGTAAATGGCAGCCCTTGGGCTCAATCCAAACCTGCCTGACACTAAATCTCCTGCTCTTTTAAACCAGAAGATCTGCAAACTCTTCTGTAAAACTAGATGATAAATATCTTAGTCTTTACAGATCAAAAAGCAAATTTGAGGACATTGTGTAGGTACTTATATAATAAGAGAGAGAGCAAATGTCTACAAGTTTGAAATTTGAATTTCATGTATTAAACAAAATTATGAGAGGCCATTGTTTTGGACTGAGCTCCTGCACTAATCCCAAGCAGACCAGACCAAACCAAAATGGAGTCGCTCATGCTAAGCACCACAAAATCAAACTAAAACTTTAAAAAACAGGTCCCAAAATAGACGAGTTTTTTTTTTTCTTCTCCTGAAGACAGAAGATTCCAGTATAATAAGGAAGTCCCCTCTGCTCTATCCCTTACAGAAAAGTAACCCAAAGTAACAACAGATTACTTAGAAAAAAGCAATCTCAGCCAGACACAGTGGCTCATGCCTGTAATCCCAGCACTTTGGAAAGCCAGGGCGGGTGGATCACCTGAGGTCAGGAGCTTGAGATCAGCTTGGCCAACGTGGCAAAACCCCATCTATACTAAAAATACAAAAATTAGCTGGGTGTGGTGGCACACGCCTGTAGTCCCAGCTACTCGGGAGGTTGAGGCAAAAGAATTGCTTGAACCCGAAAGGTGAGGTTGAAGTGAGCCAAGATTGTGCCACTGCACTCCATCCTGGGTGACAAAAAAATAAAAAAGTAATCTGATGTTAACCAATCAGTTTTTTTTTTCTATACTGTTTCCTTGTTCCCACCTTACAAAATCCAGTGTTCTGCTATTTTCCAATGGGATTAGAGACCAAATAACTCTATTTATGATGATAAAAAGTGATGTCAATGCCTAAAGTTTTGGGCAACCTCAAAATTAATCATCCTCTCAAAATTGACAGGTTGACCAAAAGGAGGAATTGTTAAATTCATTGTGGCCTAAAGCTGCCTCCTTACATATTTTAAGTTTACCCTAAAGGTTTCCCAGTACATAAAAAACTATATTTCAACTTGATATGTAAAACTTGATATGTAACCTACTCTTGTAACAAGTAGTGAGTCTCAGCCAATCACAGCAGCTGAACTTCAGCCAACCACAGGCAGGCAACTCTTCAAACCAGGTTCAAATAAGGCAAATGCTCAGCTGTAACCAACCCTACTCTGGTTCTGGGGGCTGCCTAATTCACAGATCATTCTTTACTCAATTAAACTCTAAAGTTTTCCTTTCAACATGTATAATTTTCACATCACGAAATAATAATCTTCTTTAATTTTTTTTCCAATGTATTAAAAATGTAAAAACCATTTGCAGGCTACACAATAAATGGTAGCAGGCTATAGATTCCCAACTCCTGATCTAAGCTAATATAATATACTGTTTTCTTAAGCAGAGTTAATGAAATTTTGCAAAATTGGATCCTCCTTGCTCTTTTAAACTCAGTTTGTAAATCACTCACCATTAAAACAATCCTGGACCCTCAAAGGGTTAGGTACCACTGTGCCAATTACCACAGTGCTAATATTCAGAGGAAGATCTGAAGCTGAGAAGCTTAAACTTTTTTCCCAAGGTCACTAATACCTGGCCTGGGAAAGACCTAATTAAGGTGAAACTTGAGTCTTTGCATTGTAGTAGGAGTCCTCCTAGGTGGGAGCAGAGCAGAGCAGATAAGCTCTTAAACTGTCTGGATTTCAGCAGCTCAGCTTTCTGACAATAACCTTGCCATATGTCCTTTGGCACAATTCCCTACTAATTCCCTACTACTCCCCTTTGCTTGGTTCTTCTCTCTTGAATAGTTATGTTAATCACCATAAGAAAAAGAACTGTAGCTATATCCAAATAAGAAGAAAGCTAAAAATAATACCAACTTGGTTTTGTTTTTCGTTTTTTTCTTTCTCATTTTTGCAACTTCCTGCAAAGGAAACAACATACTAGTGGCCAGCAATAGCTACTGGTTTAGAGGAAAGGAAACTGAGAGTTTCAAAATTAACCCAGTTCCTCTTATCTAGCTGTGGCAAGTAAATAAATAAAATATTTTTAAATGTTTAAAGTTTATCAGTTTATTTAACATTTTTCATTGGGTACACATGAACTTGTTGGGAACATATCTAAAAGGCCAGAGGCCAATGGCTTGTATTCTTGTGACTGCTTTGGTTAAGGTTGAATATCAATATTCAAGTGTCATATAGTCGTCTTTTAAGATATACAACCACTGTAAGGACAGGAAAGAATATTTCCTCTCCAGAATACTGAAGATGACTAGCAGGTGAAAAATGTACATTTCAATGTTTTTAGGGGCTGTGACATTAAAGGCTGTAAGTAACATTGTTTGAATTCATTATCTTTGGTGGTTAAACCATGCTATTAATAAGTCTTAGCTTACAGTTGAGTCACTTGTAAGTCAGCTTGCCATGAAATTTAAAAAAAAAAGAAAACACCATTCAAAGCCCTCAAGCTGACAAGTTGAGTGGTGCACCAATCTCTCTAAAAGAAACTATATTTTAGATACTATAGGAGTGGTGGAATGACAGGAGTGGAGGTTGGGCAAAATGAAAAAAAATGTTTTGCAATGATGTATGGTGTAATAGTATAGGAGAGAGTCTAAATAATTTCTTCCATTGTCATTAGAAATTTTAAATGGACATTTGTGGCTATAAGTTTCACTTTCTAATTTTTATAGTGTTAGAGAAGCATATTCCAAAATCCATAGGCACCTGCTCATAATTCCTTACACGTAAGTAAAAGGCATGAAACAAATGATCCATCTCCATTCTTCCTTCCCCTTTCTATTCCCTCGAAGAGTGTTTAATCATACTTAATTGAAATACCATGCTACTGGCAAAGCCAGGTCTTTCTGGCTTCAAGACCAGGGTCTTTTGAGTCCTATAGCTCCGTCTTTCAGTCATTGTCTTAGACCTTTTGTGCTGCTATAACAAAATATCCAATACAGGGTAATTTATAAATAATAAAAATTTATTTCTCACAGTTCTAGAGGCTATGAAGTCCAAAATCAACGTGCCAGGAAGTTTGTGTCTAGTGAGGGCTGGTCTCTGCTTCCAAGATGGTACCTCAAAAGCTGTGTCCTCCTGAGGGGATGAACACTGTGTGTTCACCTGGCAGAAGGAGACAGAAATAAGCTTTCACATTGTTTAAGTTTCTGTTTATGCCACTGAAACTAATCCTAACCAACTTATTTGATTAATTGTTTTTTAAATAATATAAGTAGGCTGTGCACAGTGGCTCATGCCTGTAATACAAGCACTTTGGGAGGCTGAGGGGAAAGGATCTCTTGAGGCCAGGAGTTCAAGGTCAACCTGGGCAACATAGCAAGACCCTGTTTCTACAAAAATTTTAAAACTTAGCTGGGCATGGTGGCATGCACCAGTAGTCCCAGCTACTCAGGAGGCTGAGGTGGGAGGATCACGCAAGCCTAGGAGTTTGAGGTTACAGTGAGCTATGATCACTGCACTGCACTCCAGCCTGGGTGAGAGAGAAAGACCTTGTTTCTTATTAAAATATATATACACACACATATATATATATGTGTGTGTATGTATATATATATAGTATTTATATATAAATTATGTATTATACCTGAATGTATTATAACTATAAAAAATTCAAACAGTAGAAAAGTATTAGGATAAAACGTGGAGTATCTTTCACTAACCTCAATTTTACTTCCCTTCACCGATATTACATAAACACTGTGAGCAATTTAATAGACATAGGTCCAGATTTTTTTGGTCCAATATTACCTTTGCCCCTGCCATGTTAGGTATTTTTCTGTAGGAGAAGCAAGATTCCCTCCTGAAAGAATATTCCTGTTTAGACTAAGTCTCATGTATATGAATATATGTATTTGCATACATGTGCATTCATAAAATTATAACAGAAAGATAGAGTACATTTGTATACATATGTGGCTTTTGTTTTTAATAAATAGGAACATACATAGGCTTTGTTCTGGAGCTTGCTTTCTTCACTTGACAATATGCACTGATACTCTTTCCTTCTCACTAGAATTAGAAATACATCATTCATCATTTTTTTTTTTTTGAGACGAAGTTTTGCTCATGGTGTCCAGGCTGGAGTACAATGGTGCAGTCTTGGCTCACTGCAACCTCTGCCTCCAAGGTTCAGGCAATTCTCTTGCCTCAGCCTCCCAAGTAGCTGGGATTACAGGCACCCGCCACAACGCCTGGCTAATTTTTGTATTTTTAGTACAGATGGGGTTTCACCACATTGGCCAGGCTGGTCTTGAACTCCTGACATCAGATAATCCACCTGCCTCGGCCTCCCAAAGTGCTGGGATTACAGGTGTGAGCCACCATGCCAGACCATACATCACTCATTTTTTAAACCACTTCATGTTATTCCATAATAGAGATGTAACTATTTCATCATATCTTCAAAAGGGACATAAAGATTGACTAACTACCTCTTCAAAACATGCTCGAAAGTAAATTCAACATATTATCAAGAAATATAAGAAAGTATGTTGATTAGCCATAGCTTGTATGTTTAATAATAAACTTTATTCTTATTCTCCTTTGATATTTTAGACTGGTTAGCTTCGCTTATTAAACTAGTTTACTTCAGTTATGGAAATATCAAATTCAATATATTTTAATATTAATTTCTTATTAACAGTTCTGGTTACTTATAATTAATATGATTCTACCCATATACTTTATTTTTATAGCAAACTCATATTTTGGATTGTGTATTGCTATCCATAAATTTACACATGTACTTTCATAATTTAATTGTGGTTAATGAGTTTTTGGCAGCAGTATACAATACACAGATTAAAATTAATTCTGAACTGATGCTAGAAGAAAGATGAGTTCACATATTGCATCTTGATAATAGTGCTGGTTTGTGCCTAAAGTATAGCTTAGCTATTCATATCCCTGGGTAATACCACTGGTGGGCCGGGTACGGTGGCTCACATGTGTAATCCCAGCACTTTGGGAGACCAAGACAGGTGGATCACCTGAGGTCAGGAGTTTGAGAACAGCCTGACCGACATGGTGAAACCGTGTCCCTACTAATAATACAAAAATCTGCCGAGTGTGATAGCACACTCCTGTAATCCCAGCTACTCGGGAGGCTGAGGCAGGAGAATCGCTTGAACCTAGGAGATGGAGGTTGCAGTGAGCCAAGATCGTGCCATTGCATTCCAGCCTGGGCGATAACAGAGAAACTCCATCTCCAAAGGAAAAAAAAAAGAAAAAAGAAACTGTTAGTAAGCAGAATATTATTAATCTATATGCTTTTACATCATAATGGTTCCTTTTACTTCATGTATTTTTGTTCATGAAATTCTGTAAATCATACAAGCTACAGATGGTGACAGCAGTAGAAATATAAATTTTAGCACACTTGTGTATGCATTAATATGTTCAAAATATATAAAGAAATGGTATTTATATAAATAAATACATATAATTATTTGATCATAATCAGAGGTTAACATGGGTTACCTTTTGGGGAGAGGAAACAGCAGAGGTGATATGGTTGGCAGACAAAGAGGGTATGGAGAAGTAATCTCCCACTGTATTAGTCTGTTTTCACATTGCTGGGCAATTTGCAAAAGAAAGAGGTTTATTGGACTTACAGTTCCACATGGCTGGAGAGGCCTCACAATCATGGCAGAAGGTGAAAGGCATGTCTCACCTGGAAGCAGACAAGAGAAGAGAGCTTGTGCAGGGAAACTCCCCTTTTCAAAACCATCAGATCTCATGAGACTTATTCACTATCACAAAAACAGCATGAGAAAGGCCTGCCCCCATGATTCAGTTACCTCCCACCGGGTCCCTCCCACAATACATGGGAATCCAAGATAAGATTTGGGTGGGGACACAGCCAAACCATACCATTCCACCCCAGCCCCTCCCAAATCTCATGTTCTCACATTTTAAAATGAGTCATGGCTTCTCAACCGTCTCCCAAAGTCTTAATTCATTTCAGCATTAATTCATTTCAGTGTTAACTCAAAAGTCCACAGTCCAAAGTCCAAAGTCTCATCTGAGACAAGGCAAGTCCCTTCCACCTATGGGCCTGTAAAATCAAAAGCGAGTTAGTTACTTCCTAGATATAATGGGGGTACAGCATTGGTAAATACAGCCATCCCAAATGGGAGAAATTGGCCAAAACAAAGGGGATACAGGCCCCATGAAAGTCTGAAATCCAGTGGGACAGTCAAATCTTAAAGCTCCAAAATGATCTCCTTTGCCTCCATGTCTCACATCCAGGTCATGCTGATGCAAGGGGTTGGTTCCTATGGTCTTGGGCAGCTCTGCCCCTGAGGTTTTGCAGGGTACAGCCTCTCTCCAGGTTGCTTTCACAGGCTGGCATTGAGTGTCTGTGGCTTTTCTAGGTGCACAGTGCAAGCCGTCCATGGATCTACCATTCCAGGGTCTAAAGAACAGTGGCCCTCTTCTCACTGCTCCACTAGATGGTGCCCCAGTAGGGACTCTGTTTGGGGGCTCCAATCTCACATTTCCCTTTCACACTGCCCTAGCAGAGGTTCTCCATGAGGGACCCACCCCTACAGCAAACTTCTACATCTTCTGATATCTAGGCGGAGTTTCCCAAACCTCAATTCTTGACTTCTGTGCACCCGCAGGCTCAAAGCCATGTGGAAGCTGCCAAGGCTTGGGGCTTGCACCCTCTGAAGCAACAGACAGAGCTGTACTTTGGCTCCTTTCATTCATGGCTGGGATGCAGGGTATGAAGTCCCTAGACTGCATACAGCAGAGGGACCCTGGGCCCAGCCCACGAAACCACTTTTTCCTCCTAAACCTCTGGGCCTGTGATGGGAGGGGCTGCCATGAAGAACTCTGACATGCCCTGGAGACACTTTCCCCATTGTCTTGGGGATTAACATTCAGCTCCTTGTTACTTATGCAAATTTCTGCAGCCAGCTTGAATTTCTCCTCAGAAAATGGGATTTTCTTTTCTAGCACATTGTCAGGCTGCAAATTTTCCAAACTTTTGTGCTCTGCTTCCCTTATAAAACTGAATACCTTTAACAGCACCCAAGTCACCTCTTGAATGCTTTGCTGCTTAGAAATTTCTTCTGCCAGGTACCCTAAATCATCTCTCTCAAGTTAAAAGTTTCACATATATCTATGGCAGGGGCAAAATGCCCCTAGTATCTTTACTAAAACATAAGAAGAGTCACCATTGCTCCAGTTCCCAACAAGTTTCTTGTTTCCATCTAAGACCACCTCAGCCTGGACTTTATTGTCCATATCACTATCAGCATTTTGGGCAAAGTCGTTCAACAGGTCTCTAGGAAGCTCCAAACTTTCCCACATATTCCTGTCTTCTGAGCCCTCAAAACTGTTCCAACCTCTGCTTGTTGCCCAGTTCCAAAGTTTCTTCCACATTTTCAGGTATCTTTTCAGCAGCGCCCCACTCTACTTGTACCAATTTACTGTATTGTTTCATTTTTATGCTGCTGATAAAGACATACCTGAGACTGGGCAATTTGCAAAAGAAAGAGGTTTATTGGACTTACAGTTCCACATGGCTGGGGAGGCCTCACAATCATGGCGGAAGGCAAAAGGCACATCTCACATGGAACCAGACAGGAGAAGAGAGATTATGCAGGGAAACTCATCTTTTTAAAACCATCAGATCTTGTGAGACTTTTTCACTATCCCGAGAACAGCACAGGAAAGACCTGCCCCCATAATTCAATTACCTCCCACCGGGTCCCCCCACAACACATGGGAATTCAAGATGAGATTTGGGTGGGGACACAGCCAAACCATATCACCCCCCCCAAAAAAAATCCCGTTTAGATTAAGTTTTATGTTTATGAATATATGTATATGCATACATGTGCATGCAGAAAATTATAACAGAAAGATAGAGTATTACATATGTAAATATGTATTTTTTATATGTACTGATTTGTAGAATAACAATTATAAGTGATATAAGGTGAAAGAAGCAATTTGTTCATAAGTATGCAGTATGATTCCATTTCAGTAAAAATTAACAAAAACATGCTTGTATGTGCATGGGCATATATTAATATGTGCTCATATATATATATGCTATACATATATATATATGTATGCTGATATATGTATGTGGAAGCAATATGTTTGTGATGATACACACCCTTGCAATAACATGAACTACCTCAGGGAGTACTATAGATGACAGAGACAATGGGGGAAGAGGAGCAATGTTACCTTAAAAAAAACTTTGCATCCTATTACTGGTTACAAGAGGCATATAAAATTATTTTTAAAATTTTAAATAAATATGTTAGCAACCTTTGTATGGATGGAAAATTTTAAATATGTATGAAAATACTGATTGCGTATACCTTTTGAAATTCTACTGATAGGGATTTATCCTACATATTTACATATACAAACATTTATGACATTCATAGCACTATTGTTTTAAAGGTGAGATGTTGGAAACATCCTAGCTATTTAACTATAGGGGAATGGCTAAATAAGTTTGGCTCACTCAAAGGATACCATGGAAGAGCAAGGCTTTGCATCGTATTTCGATATGAAACTGTTAGAAGCACCTTTATTTTGAATAGCCTCTAAGAAAAAGTTGGATAGAAAGAGTCTAAATGAAATATTCTGATTAATAACAGAACCTATACTATAAGATGGTGAATTTCTGATCAGAAAGGTGAAAAGTTCATCTACAGCTTAAGTGGACAAATTTAATTTTCTATAACATTCATATCTGATAGATTAAATAAACAGGTACAATTTCCTTAAGAAACATGCTTTATAAGTTTTATGGTCACTACATTCTTTAAAGTTAAGGGTTACATTCCTGGGAGATTAAATAAAAACTGCAAAGTTAACAGTTGACTTGCCTGAGGAGCTACTTGTTCTTCCTCAGTAAACATTGGAGAGAAAAGCAATATAATATAACAGAAACAGAGCACTCATCTGATAAACATTTAACAGCAAAAGGGGGTTCACAGGCCTTTGCCCTACCTGGCTGGTGTCCTTTGTTCGTTGTACTTCTGAGGTTGCCAGAATGTAAATGTTCATTTCACTATCTTAAATGAGCAGAGTAATAACCAGAATCAGACTTTGAATTCTAAAAGCTCTTGGATCAAGAAGATTCTGTCTTTCCAACGTTTGCATCAAATAACATCGTGACCTATACTATCTTTTTTAATATTAAGTGAAGCTTAATCAAAATTTTAGGTTTAAAATACAAGAGTCATTAAAAAGATACATTGTTAGGTAGAAAAACATGCAGAATAGTATGCTGTTTCATTTGGAGGGGAGGAAAAGAAAATAGAAAATGCTTAACATAACAATTTTTATTTTTATTACTTCATGTAAGAACTTCTCTACAACCACTGATTTTCTTACTTGCTTTCTAAGCAATGTAGAATTTTCGTCACCACTTCACCATTAATTTCTTGTTATTAATCCATTGCCGTTTTCCCAGCTGAAAGAGAAAACTTCCTTTTAATTTTCTAACTCATTTTGAAACAATTTCAACTTACAAAAGCTACAAAAATAGTAGAGGTTCCCATATACCCTTCACTGTGCTTTCCTGAATGTTAATATCTTACTATCACTACCATGATCAAAAGCAGGTAATGAGCGTCGATACGCTACCATTCACAAAACCAGAGACCTTATTCACATTTTGCCAGTTGTCCCACCGAAGACCTGTTTCTGGGCCAAGACCTAATCCAGAATCCCACATTGCATTCAGTTGTCACCTCTCAGTCTACTTTAATCAGAAGCATTGCTCAGTCTTTGTCTTCCAGGACCTTGACACTCTTGAGGAGTACTGGTCAGTTGTTTTGTAGAATGTTCCTTCACTTGGATTTGTCTTATGTTTCAGCATGGTTAAATTCAGGTTTTATATTTTTGGCAGGGATACTACAAGTTGATGTTGCATCCTTCTCTGTGCATCACTTCAGGAGGCACATGACATCCACCTGTGCTTTTACTAGAATGTTAACTTTGTCAGCAGGGTTCTGCCACAAGAAAATTACTGTTTCCCTGATGCAGTTAATAAGTACCTGATGGGGAGATACTTTGAAACTATGTAAATGTCTTGTGTTTTCATCATACTCTAGCCCACAGTTGATCATCCATTATTCTTTTTCAAAATTACAGCTTTATTAAAGCACAACTTAGCCACTCATTTAAGTGTACAACTCAATGAGTTTTAATAACATTTATACAGTTGTGCCACAATCATCCCAATCCAGTTTTAGAACACTTTCACCATCCCAAAAAATTCCTTTGTGTCTGTGTACAATTAATCTCTTTAGCTTAGGCCCCAGGTAACCATTGGTCTGCCTTCTGTCTTTGTTTATACAATACACTGAATTTTTTCTCATTATTTACTTGCTTGACTTTTTACTCTGAACAAATATTAGTTTATGAGTGAGAAGACAATTTCTAACACATTGTTTGGTATATGACACAGGAAAGACACTGACCAGCCTGGAAGTCAAGAGAAATAATGGATTCTTTAGTGTCAGACTAAACATAAACTTTGAATATTCTAGATATTAGCAGAACCTAAATTATCCAGTTGCCTTAGATCTTCAGTTAATTCATAAAAATAATTCCAATTAAATTCTTTCTCTGAATTTATAAAGTCAAAAGCATAACCTTTGATCCTTATAAGCACAAAGCAATTTTGATTTTATCATGTCAACATGCCTTAGAAAAATGGTAAGGTCCAGGGGTTTTGTTTCTTTGTTTTTTTCTTGTTGTCATTTTGTTTTGTTTTCCTTTGGTTTGTTAGTTTTGAAGGCCTTCACTTTTTGGTTTGCTGTTTAAAATTATTTTCTTCCGGAGCCAATTTTATTAACCTAGTGAAATATAATTTCAAGGACATTGTGTCTTACCCACACCCTCCAAGGTATGTTTTATATAATAAGGCAATGTTGTTAAAATCAGGATAATTTTATTTTTAAAAAACGTATATATCTAGCATCTCTCAAAAGAAAATCCTTAGATCTAGCAGTACATGGCCCAAGTTTCCACAGCTGGAGCAAGTTGTGGCCATCCACTTTAGATAGAATATGTTTTTTGGTTTGCCAAGGCCCCACCTATTCCCTATTGAATCACATCACAACTGCTTCATTCTTGTAAGCTCCTTATCTAGCCCTGTTGGACACTTGAGTTTGTTTATGTATTTATTTATATATAAATTTTTATTTTATATATATATATATATATATATATATCTGTATAACCACAACCACAGATGTGTGCATATTAAAATTTAACTATTTTCCATAGTTAAATTTTGGCAGGGATACTACAAATTGATGTTGTAGTATCAATTGGCAGGGATACTACAAATTGATGTTGCCAAGGCCCCACCTATTCCCTATTGAATCACACCACAATAGCTTCATTCTTGTAAGCTTCTTCTCTAGCCTTTCTGGACACTTGAGTTTGTTTATTTAGCCTTAGTAAAGTAAAGCTCACTAATGTTAAAGTTACAGGTATCCTCCCCAACACATAAATACCGAATACACTCTACCATTTCTATCTCCCCACACTTCCAACGTTTAATTTTGGTTAGATTATTTCTTTTTCATTATCATGACTATGTAAACAATATCCACAGATGAGCTTTATAGTATCCTCTGATTCTTTTTTCATTCCTACTCAACTTTTTATTTTCCCTGAAATTAATAATTTTATGAGTTATAATTTTTAATGAGTTTTTATTGTAGTTTTGGTTGCATAATACCATATATATTATCATTAATTCATTCCCAAGCTCTTAAAAAGTTGCTTAAATCTCCTTTTCATATGTTCAGATGAATCCAGTATTCTTTTAATTTCATTTTCTTCAAGAAATCTATCCTAGGGTCTTGTGATCTGCTCTGTGTTGGAAATTGTTGCCCTTTATGTTACATGCACAGCTCAGGGATCTTGCTGCAGATTCCCTTTTCTTCTGTCTTGTGCTGAATTCCCTTGATTCCTAAATCCTATGTTTTCCTCTTTCACAATTTATACCTTTATTTTTTGTGGAGCACATCCTCTAGTAGCTTCCTGAGAAAAAGTGTGCATCGAGTGAACTCTTTGAGACCTTGCATATCTTAAAATGTTTTTAGTATATACATAGATTCAGTTGATGGGGTGGCTCGTTCAGTAATCAGGCTACATTAGGCTATGCTACAGCAACATATCCCTAAAGTCTTAGTGGCTTAATATGAGAGGAGTTTATTTCTACTTGCATCCCAGACCAAAGCAGGCCAGCTAACACTCACACAAGGCTACTTTCATTGGGCAGTTCCAGAAGTTGGGAGTCCTTCACTTCAGCTGTCAGAATGAGGGGGTGAGAGTGCAGAGAAGGCACTACTACTCTTAATTGTCTCAGACTAGAAGTGGCTTCTTATCCCATTCATACTCCTTTTGTGACTATTATTTATACTATCTGGCCTAAGTCCACAGGGACTGGCAAATGTAGAGATGAATATTTGTTTACTTCATATCCTCTGACACAGTGAAGTTGAGAATTCTGGGTTGGAATTCTTTTCTCTCTCTTTTTTTTTTTTTTTTTTTTGAGACGGAGTCTCATTCTGTCACCCAGGATGGAGTGCAGTGGCATGATCTCGGCTCACTGCAACCTCCACCTCCTGGGTTCAAGTGATTCTTCTGTCTCAGCCTTCTGAGTAGCTGGGATTACAGGCATGCGCCACCACGCCTGGCTAATTTTTGTATTTTTAGTAGAGACAGCGTTTCACCATGTTGGTCAGGCTGGTCTTGAACACCTGACCTGGTGATCCATCCTCCTCGCCTCCTAAAGTTCTGGGATTACAGGCGTGAGCCACCATGCCTGGCCTCTTTTCTCTTTTGAATGTGGTAGGCACTGCTCTGTGTCTTCCAACTTCCAGTCTCCCAAATTGCTGGTGAGAAACCAGTTTAATTATTGACTCTTGGGTATGAGTACTTCCTGTCTTCTGAGCACGGAAACACATAGGATTTTCACTTTGTTTCCAGTTTTTGTAGGCTGAATTGTGTCCCCTGCCCCACTTTCCACCAAAATTCACTCAGTGAAGCCCTAACCCCCAGTAGTTTAGAATATGACTGTATTTAGACGTGGGGCCTTTAAAGAGGTAATTAAGGTAAAATGAGGTCTAATGGGCAATTCTTAACCTAATATGACTGGTGTCCCTTTAAGAAGAGGAGACGAGGACACAGACAACACTGACCAAGGGAAGACAGTATGAGGACACAACTAGAAGGCAGCCATCTGTGAGCTAAGGAGAGAAGCGTCAGGAAAAACGAAACTGCTGTCACCTCGATCTTAGACTTCTAGCATCCAGAACCATGAGAAAACAAATTTCTGCTGTTCAAGCCACCCAGTCTGTGGTGTTTTGTTACTGCAGCTCTAGCAAACTAATATATCGGTATTTTAAAATCGCACAAATAATGTGCCTTGGGATGGGTCTAACTCCATTCTTTTTTTTTTTTTTTCACTCAAGTAGTCTCTTACAATCTGAGAACTCATGTCCTTGGATTTTCTTGAATTATTTTATTGATTATTTCCTTTCTTCTCTTATCTCTGTTGCTCTTTGTGGATCTCCTCTTATTTAGATGTTGGACTTCTTATTTTAGTCCTTTAATTTTTTTCTTTTTCTTTTCTAACTCTCATTTTCTATATTTTTGCTCTGCTTACTGGGAGATTGGCTCAAATTTATCATCCAAACTTTCTCTGAATTTTTTATTCTACTATTATTTATTGTTCAAATTTCCAAGAGCTCCCTTTTTGTTTCTTGAATGTCCCTTTCTGAAATAGCATAAGACTGGTTCGTGGGTGCAATACAATATCTCCTCTTACGCCTCTGTGGATATTTTTTAAAGTTGTGAATCAATTGAAACTTTTTACTTTTTACTTTTATTGGTACATAATAGGTATTTATATTTATGGGGAACATAAGTTTTTTTTTTTTTTTTTGAGACGGAGTTTTGCTCTTGTTGCCCAGGCTGGAGTGCAATGGTGCGGTCTCGGCTCACTGCAACCTCCGCCTCCCAGGTTCAAGTGATTCTCCTGCCTCAGCCTCCCGAGTAGCTTGGATTACAGGAATGAGCCGCCATGCCCAGCTAACTTTGTATTTTTAGTAGAGATGGGTTTCTCCATGTTAGTCAGGCTGGTCTCAAACTCCCGACCTCAGGTGATCTGCCCGCCTCAGCCTCCCAAAGTGCTGGGATTACAGGCATGAGCCATGTGCCCGGCAGGCATTTTAATGCAAGTATACAATGTGTGATAACCAAATTCAGGTAAATGGTATATCCGTTGCCTCAAGCATTTATCCTTTTTTTGTGTAACTAACATGCCAATTATACTCTTTTAGTTATTTTAAATGTATGGTAAATTATTGTTGACTGTAGTCACCCTGTTGTGCTAGCAACTATTAGATTTATTCATTCTATCTAACTATATTTTTGTACTCATTAACCACCCACCTCCCACCACAACTACCCTTCCAGCCTCTGGTAACCATCATCCTACTCTATCTCCCTGAGTTCAACTGTTTTCATTTTTAGGTCCCACAAATGAGTGAGAACATGTGAAATTTGTTTTTTTGGGCCTGGCTTATTTCACTTAACATAAGGTCCTCCAGTTCCAACCATGTTGTTGCAAATGACATTTCTCATTCTTTTTTATGGCTGAATAGTACTCCATTGTGTATATGTACCACATTTTAAAAAAATCTATTCATCTGTTGATGGACACTTAAGTTGCTTCCAAATCTTGGCTATTATGAATAGTGCTACAGTAAACATGAGAGTGCAGATATCTTTTCAATATACTGATTTCCTTTCTTTGGGGTATATATCTAGCAGTGGGATTGTTGAATTATATGATGGTTCTATTTTTAGTCTTTACAGGAACCTCCATACTGTTCTCCATAGTGGCTGTACTACGCTCTGTGGATATTAATAATAGTTTTCTTCTCCCAGCATAGTCTTGGTTAGTTCCAAATTATTTTCTTTGTTTGTTTGTTTGCTTTGGTCTCTACCTTTCATGCTGGTAGTTCCCCTTAGATGTCTGATAATCTTTGGTAGTCTATTCAAATTTAGGAGTGAGGTACTAAAAGACCTTATTGGAAGTTCTGATTCCATGAATGAAACTTCTTGTCCACCAGCTTCAACTGGGTCATCTGGCTGGGCCATTTAGTTGGGTCATTCTCGACATCAGCATCTTTATGTCTTTCCTCTGGAAGTGGTCAGATACCCCAGAGAATAATTTTCTAATCTCTAGTGGTCTGGAATTAGAATGGGGTAAAAGACATGGGGTTCTGTTAGCTTATAAATGTTCCCATAAATTTTCACTACCCCTTCATTTATATTACTGAACTCCATCCCCAAATGTGCCAAATGTTCTCCAGGAAGTAAGTTTCTCTATTTACCTTTTCCAGCCTCTGCCAGGCTGGGAGAGGGACCATTATCTGGCTATACAGGTTTGAAGAGAGGATGTAGGGATCTAACAACTTCTTATACAGACTTATAACCCAATCCTCCTATTTTTGACCCTACCTTTATCCCCATTTTCAGTGGTATCTGACATTTGGAAGCTGTTTGGGAGGTCTATGATGTAGTCAGGTACTTCTGAGTTTTCTCCAAGACAAATTTAGGGATCATCTTTCTCAGGTGTGTTACCTCTTGTCTATATGGCTTCTGAATTCCACAACCTTGTTGTTCTTGTCTTCCTTTCTAATTTCATCATCATTGTGGGTTTCTGCCTTAAAAAAATAATCCCTTTACTGTCATTTTATTAGGTTTCAGAAGAAAGCCAAAGTAAGTGCATTTCTGTAATTGATCACCTCTACTCAGTAGTCTATTTTGCATTTTTACAAGGAAATGACAAGTTTACTCAGGAGTGTTTGAAGACAAACAGGCCTGCTTTATAATTTTGTTACTGGCCATCCCTACCTTCAGTGCACTTGGTCAACAATTACGTCCACAAAACAGAAATTACAACTCTGACTCGTGCTTTTATCTGAGGAACCACAAGTCATTCACTTGTATGGTTCACTTGTCAACTGTAAGGGAAACTCTAACTGCTAATAACTTTAACTATATAGCCAAAAGGATCTTGTAAAACTCTTCCTATCTTCCTAGCTTTAGTCTTTGCATATAGTTCAAGGTTACTACTAACACTCCCCGACACCTGATTTTCTTCTGAAATACCAAAACCTCCCATTTTTGAGTGTTCAGTGTGTGCTAGAGACTGGGATAGGCGCATTTACATGGATGATCCCATTTAATCCTCCCCAAAACTTACAGTGTCTGGGCCAGGTGCGGTGGCTCACGCCTGTAATCCCAGCACTTTGGGAGGCCAAGGCAGGCGGATCATCTGAGATCAGGAGTTCGAGACCAGCCTGGCCAATATGGTGAAACCCCGTCTCTACAAAAAATACAAAAATTAGCCAGGCATGGTGGCGTGCGCCTGTAGTCCCAGCTACTCTGGAAGCTGAGGCAGGAGAATCGCTTGAACCCAGGAGGCAGAGGTTGCAGTGAGCCAAGATCGAGGCACTGCACTCCAGCCTGGGCAACAGAGCAAGACTCCGTCTCAAAACAACAACAACAACAACAAAACCCTTATAGTGTCCATGTTATTATCTGTATTTTACAAAGAGGAAAATTGAGGCTCTGAAAAGTTAAAGGATTTGTTCAACTTAACACGTCTATTAAGTGGTGAAACTAGGGTTTGAATCCAAGTCAGCCTTACTCCCAACCACTTTCCACTTCATTATGTTGTCTTATTGATGACTTCCTGCCAGGACTTCCCAAGTGTTCATTTTCATGTCTGCAGCTCATTTAATTACTTTTAGTTCCTTTTTCATTTTCCAATCCAGTCATCTATACTATTACCCTATGTCAGTGAATGACATCCAGTTGGTTCAGTATTTCAAAATTTCTGGCCCACCTTCTCTTCTCATCTGTATCTGGTTACCTTTTTATCCACCTTATATATCATTTCCTAGGAAAGATTCCATGACCTCCCAAGGATTGACTTTGTACTTTTCATGTGCTTTTACAGCACAAACAGAATCCTCTTTGCCCTATCAAGGTAGTAATTACCAGGTATAGAAATTATCTGTTTGCTTATTTACTCCCCAACTACACTAGGCTCCTAAGGACTGTGGCAATATTAATCTTATTTATGAGTCATATCTACAGCCTAGCACAGTGCCTGGCACATAGCAGGTGCTCACTACATATTTTGTTGAATGAATGCATAAATGAATGAGGTTACACACATACCTCTATGACATAGTTTGGATATTAGTTCCCTCCAAATATCATGTTGAAATTTCATCCCTAATGTGGGAGGTGGGGCCTAGTTGGAGGTGTTTGGGTCAGGGGGGCAGATCCCTCATGAGTTGCTTGGTGTCATTATGTTAGGATTGAGTGAATTCTCACTCTTAGTTCCTGTGGGATCTGGCTGCCTAAAAGAGCATGGCACTCCTCCCCTCTCTCTTGCTCCCTCCCTTGCCATGTGACATGCCTGCTCTCTCTTGGCCTCCCCCCATGGTTAGAAACTTCATGAGGTCCTCACCAGAAGCAGATGCTGGTGCCATGCTTCTTGCAGAGCCTGAAGAACCGTGAGTCAAATAAATGTCTTATTTTATTAAATTACCCAGCCTCAGATATTCCTTTATAACAATGCAAAATGGATTAAGACACTCGTATTTATTAGTCCATTCTCACAGTGCTCGGCTATTTATAAACGAAAGAGATTTAATTGACTCATAGTTCGGGGAGGCCTCAGGAAACTTACAATCATGGCGGAACGGGAAGCAAACACATCCTTCTTCACATGGCAGCAGCAAGGAGAGGTGCTGAGCAAAAGGGGGAAAAGTCCTGGATAAAACCATCAGATCTCATGAGAACTCACTCACTATCATGAGAATAGCAGCATGGGCTAACCGCCCCCATGATTCAATTACCTCCCACTGGGTAACATGTGGGGATTATGGGAACTACAATTCAAGATGAGATTTGGGGGGGACACAGCCAAACCATATCACACTCTGTCTGAATTATTAATAAAATATTTTCTAATCTAAAGTAATGTTCCAATGATATTTTAGCATTTGACACTAAGTTTCAAAAATTTAAATTTAAATGAAAGAGGGTCTTAAATCTCTATTGCAAAAAGGACTCAGCTGAATAATCTGCGGCACAGGTTTAAATCGCCTTGGACCACACCGCCATGTTCCAGGGCTCACCGGGAGCCATCGAGATGAGAGACCACCCAGCCCTTGTGACTTGACTAAGAAATTAAATCCATATTATCAGCACGTTTTTAACTGGATGTGATATAAGGTTAACATATTTTGTAATCATTGTATTTATAAATATTTTGTCTAAATGTTATTGTATTCCAAGTTTTCCAAAAGAATCAACCAAATACAAGTTATAAATAAACACTATATTTGTTACGGGAGTTAAGCTAACCAAATTTATAACCCAGATTTAGATACACAAGAAAATCAGTTTTTAAAGTTTTGTTTAATAGAAAGCAGTGTAATACATCAAACATTAAACAACGAAAAATGTGTATGAATATTTATTTATTTATTTATTTTTTAAGCAGAGTCTGGCTCTGTCGCCCAGGCTGGAGTGCAGTGGCACGATCTCGGCTCACTGCAAGCTCTGCCTCCCTGGTTCATGCCATTCTCTTGCCTCAGCCTCCCGAGTAGCTGGGACTACAGGTGCCCGCCACCACACCCGGCTAATTTTTTGTATTTTTAGTAGAGACGGGGTTTCACCATGTTAGCCAGGATGGTCTCGATCTCCTGACCTCGTGATCCACCCGCCTCGGCCTCCCAAAGTGCTAGGATTACAGGCGTGAGCCACCGCGCCCGGCCATGAATATTTATTTTCACACACAAAAGTCCCTCAGACATTGATTCTTAAATTCAAAACACCAAAGGCATTGTATATGCCTTTTCATGTTTTCTAATTGTGAAGAAAATAAATTTTACTTAAAATGCTAATATTTGAATAAAGTATGCATTCATAATTATGTTCTTGTCTTTAAAGTTAATTTTTCAAACAGAACTAAATCAGTTTTATCTTCAGTAGATCTTTTAGAAAGGAAGCAATCCTACCTCATCTAATTAGAGTTTAGTCCTACTAGGAAGATACACTACAAATATTTATTGTGGCAATCTTTGAAAGCAAAATGAAAGGTGATTTTGGTTTCCTTTTCTATATGTTCTTGTATTACATTTTTCAGGTTTTTCTCTAAGTTCTTTTCTGTGATTTTTAAATCAGGGAGGAAAAATTCATTCAGTCTAAACACTTAATATTTCTTCTACAAGAAGTATCCTCATGGCTATTTTGTTATTTTGTTTCACTTAGGGGAAAATGGATTTGTTGGCCTCAAATAGCTGCTTTATTAGATGCAATGAAGCAGGGGACATAGAAGCAAAAAGTAAAACAGCAGGAGAAGAAGAAATGATGAAGGTAATGATGACATTTTATACAGATGACTGCATTCACACATGCGATGTGACTGTATCTCTTTAAAATGTTAAGTCATCATTTACTGTCACTTTGAAGATTTACTTAATAGCTTTTTATAATGTGGTGTTTCAAATAGACTCATTTTTAATTACAAATCGCATAGTTGATGGCTTGTTTATACAGTGTGGTAGAGAAATCAGTGCATCTAGGAGCTACCTTGCCATTATCTCCATGGATTAGTATCTTTTACTGGTAGTTCCACATGCTCTTTTTATGCTTTCATTTTCTTGTTTTCTTGCTTGTATTTTAAAATCTAATTTTTAAAATAGATAACATGTACACGTGGTCCAACATTTTTAAATAAAAGCATAAGAAGATGAAGACATATGCCTGCCATGCATCTTGCTCACCTATGTCCCAGCTCCTGTTCCTCTTTCCCTTTGTTTTGTTTTTTTATAGCCTCCTAAAATTTCTTTATAAACATATGAATATATTTATAATTTTCAACTGTCTTACACTAAAGGCAGCCTCCTCTATAGTTTTCTCGACTTTGATTTTTTTTTCTTTAAAATTGTATCTTGGAGAGTTTTCTACTATTAGTTTGAATGTAGAAAGCTTTCTCTTTTTCTTGCTTCTCCTCTCTTTCTCTCTCTCTCTTTTTTAACGCCACATAATATTCCATTTTAGGGATGTACCTTTATTTATTTAGTCTTTTATAGATGGAAATTTAGGCTGTTTCCAGTCTTTTGCTCTTATAAACAGTGCTGCAGTACATAACATTGAATATGCATCAATTTGTAGATGTGCGGGTGGACCTGAAGATAAATTTCAAGAAGCAGAATTACCAGGTCGGGGTACACGCATTTGTATTTATGTAATGCTTGAGCTTCTGTGATGATAATCACTCTATGAAACATAAAAAATCATAGCAGAACTTCTGGGGCCTTAGCCCTTACATTTTAAAAATATTTTTAGTAATAGTACCCGTCTTCTTTGCATTAGGAGAAACATGAATCACATAAAACATGATTTTTATTTTATTTTTAAAATTTGTGTGCGTCACTAAGCTGGAAATAAAAGTTCCTTATTCCAGGCTAAATTCCCTCATCCGTAGTCAGACGCGTTATCCATTGCACCAGTGGCCTGTGCCCTCCCTAACCCTACTCTTTGTTTTACATCATTGTAAAAGTTACACAGACATCTTCATATCAAGGTGAAATTCTAAATAATACTGTTAATATAACCTAGATAAATCAGGTAGTTAACTGGAATTTGATGAAAACATTTAAGGCTTAATTTTTTAGACTCACAAAAGCCACTGATCTTTAATGATAAACATATATCAGGATGTGTCTAAAGAATAACTCCCCCCTTCTTGACACATGGCTTTTCTGTGTCTTGGCATTCCATCGCAGTACTGAGCATCCTGAACCTTGCTTTGTTTGTCTCTTTTGGGAATCACTGGTTGCATCCAGTCTGACCCAGATTTACTCTGTCAGGCATTGTGGGGGCCAGAGTGGAAGGCTCTAAGAGAGGGGGCAAATGCCTTTTCTAAAACGGCCTTCGTTCTTATAATCAGAGCATAAAAATTTATGTTACGTTTTTCTCTACTACCAGTGTAATTTAAAAGCATCTATCAATTCTCTGTATGTGCTTCATGTTAGATTTCCGGTCATATGTTTGATTTTCTTTTTAGAATAGTCTTGATTTCAGATAATTTCAAATCTAAAGCTCAAACAATTTCAATCTAAAATGTAGGTATTTTCTTACAGTTAGAGAAGTGAAGTGTTATATTTTTTCGTTGCATGCATCCGGCACATGCGTTGCAGTCTTGAATTTCCATAATGCTCCTGTGAGGTGGATGTGAGCTCAGCCTTACAGACAGTAAGACAGCCTCTGACCCTCCTTACATCCTCGTGGTTTTTGTCAGTCAGTTCATGGAAATCACAGTGATTTCAAGGTGTGGTAAGACAGGATGTGTACCCAGGCCCAGCTGACTCCAGAGGCCAGTCTCAGTATTTCATAGCACATTGCTTCTCAGGAAACAGGTCATGGAGGAAATGCAGATGGGTTTGTGACTTACATTTAATTTAATTTATTTATATTTTATTGTATCATGTTTAAATTATTTTTCATCTGGATATCATCACAAAAGTGTTATTGAAGGCAACAATTGCAAATATATGTGCAGTGCTTTGCACTTATACAAAGATACAAAGATACTTACACAAAGATTGCATTTTTCACTGTTTAAAGCAATTTTCAGATGAAATACAAAGTTTTCTGGGTCTCTTTGGTTAGTCAAGTACTTGGAAGCTCTGAACAGTGATTATTTAGGACTCTTTTCGTACCATTTAATTGCAGGCTCTCCTAATCTCTGTCAGCCCTTCACCTTTATGACCTTGCCTTATCTACCAGAACACAGATCCCTCTTACTAAAGGTAGCATTGTGCTACAGGCCCTAGCAGGGAATGTTTTCAGGTCTGGGACCCCTCTAATAAAAACTGTCACAAAGATGTCATTGGCACAAACACGTTATTTGTCATCACTTTCTGAGCAGCCCTGGAACTAGACTCTGGCCACAGAGATCCCTTAGGAGACATGAGTCCTTACCATTGCCAATTACCTGTTCTGTGGGCGATCCTAATTGTTGAATGCAGATCAATTAACTTATGACATGTGATAGTAAACATCTATCCAAACTTAGGAGGATATAAGAGCTAGTAAAAGAGGTGGGTTCCAATTAATTAAAAACAAGTTGTGTAATGTTAAAAGTTTTAATACTTTGGTAATAGTCTGTGCAATCTAAAATAGCTATTAAGCTTTCAATCTGATCAAATGAACACTTGTCTACTAGGGATAATTTGATCCTAGTGTATTGACTTGGAGGACAAAATTAAATTAGTTAATGATTGCTTTACTGCCTAACAGATCTGATGTGTAAAATTTTTCTGAAATAATTTTGTCTGTAGTGTTTCTGACACAAGGGCTGCGGAGGAAGCATGTGATAGCACTTACTCATATAGATTATATATATGAAGTAAAAACACATAGCCAGAACCTGTCTTTTTCTGAATATAGTTGCTCAGTTAATTTTTTCTTCTGCATAAGAAATCATCTCGAATGTTCTTATGTGATACGTAAAGTGGGGAAGGTGGAAGATAAACATATAACCCATTGGATTCTCTTTTCCAATATCTAGATTAGATCCTGTGCTGAAAGAGAAACCAAGAAAAAAGATGACATTCCAGAAGACAAAGGAAATGTAAAACAATGTGAAATCAATTATGTGTATGTATGCTTTTCCTTTTAGACCTACAGATTTGACAGTGAAGTGCTTCTCAAAGTGCTTTCAAAATAAATTACCTAATTAGCTGGGGATGGTGGTGCATGCATGTAGGCCCAGCTACTCGGGAGGCTGAGACAGGAGGATTGTTTGAGCCCAGGAGTTCAAGGCTGCAGTGAGCTCTGATCACCACTGCATTCCAGCCTGGGTGACAGAGCAAGACCCTGTCTGAAAAAATGAAAACTGATGGACAAGAAGAGGCAACACAATGTAGCCTCTGGGACAGAGCACTGAGCTAAATGCTTTTCTTTTCTTGAGGGTTCAGTTTTCCTAATCATCCTACCAGCTCCCAAAACTAGTCAGTCGGGTTAGTCAATCTCTCTATTCATTCATACAATGGGAGTGATGCCAGTCAAAGGCTGTGCTATGGCCAGGACACAGGGGACTCCAGCCAGCATGCCCTAATAGAAATGGGGCCTTGTGCTACCCAGTCAATGAGTGGCCCTCCTCTTGAGAGGTCACCTTTGTTGTTCAAAAGCTCCAGCTTATTTAAAAAAATATAATTAGACTTTTTTTTTTTCTCCCCCAAGACGGAGTCTCGCTCTGTCCCCCAGACTGGAGTGCAGTGCCATGATCTCGGCTCATCGCAACCTCTGCCTCCCAGGTTCATGTGATTCTCCTGCCTCAGCCTCCCGAGTAGCTGGGACTACAGGCACACGCCACTACGCTCGGCTAATTTTTGTATTTTTAGTAGAGACGGGGTTTCACCATGTTGGCCAGGCTGTTCTCGAACTCCTGACCTCGAGTGATCTGCCTGCCTTGGCCTCCCAAAGTGCTGGGATTGCAGGCATGAGCCACTGTGCCTGGCCTACAATTAGACTTTTTTAATAAGTGAAAAAGAAATTAACAGTATTTATAAATTTAATAGTAAATATGTATAATCAGAGTTTGAGGTTTTTTCAATGAAGGCATTTTCTTTGCAGAAAGAAATTTCAGAGCTTCCAAGACCACAAACTTAAAATAAGTCAAGAAGCAGTAAAATTCTTAAAAAGACGCAGAAAGATGGATTTTTGCATGAGACGCTTCTGGACAGGTAGCTATTTATGTACTTATTTCCACTATTTTCAGTAGCCAATAGAAATGGCATATAGAAAACCTACATTCTCTTAAATTACTGTAGTTTTCACATTTTTGTCTTTATTTCTAATTTATGAGTGTGGCAATATTACCTAGAGAGGACATCATGAGTTTGGGAAAAGACTTTCAAGAAAGAATATCTAAAAATTATAACCGATTCTAAACATATACTTTAAGAAATTCAGGTTTGACTGTATCTACTTCATAAATTTATCATTATATTTTTATAACTATTAGAACCAGAGTTAGAAAGAAGCAGTTTGACTAATATAAAAATTATGTGGATTCTGTTAGAGTAGTTCAGGTTCCTTAAAATAAGCATAGATCAACTAAAAAACTAAGTATAAAAGCTAAACAAGTGAAATTGAAGCAGTTTTATTGTAAGATTTGGAAGAGTGCAGGATGTTTATCATAGCACATTATTAATATTTATTACTATTCCTATGTAGATAAGTGATGTCCTAGATTTACAACATAGAAAAACAGGTAGAGACGTTTAGCTGTGAGTGTACAAGTATAAATCAATTAAGTGTCAGATTTTGATAATCACCAGCCGCTCATTCAAGTCCTATGTTGGAAAGTTACTCTTACCCTTTTTTTACATTACTTGATAAAGTCAATGTTTAATTACATATTTCCTGTTAACTAGCTGGTAGAGTTCATACCTAAAGTCAGTAAATAACGTTAAGAACTTTTTCCAGCTGAGCAAATGAGTATGTATCTAGTTGTAAGAAATCAAGAAGAGGATATAAAATATAATCAGGATGTGGAGTCTAAAACGGAATAAGCTCTATGTCCTGTAACTTTTTTCACTTGTAATAATACAGCGTTCTCACCCTGTTAAATGGAAATTTAGAGCACCCTTAAATTCCAGAATAATTAAAATTGCTATTTGGATTGAAAAAGCCCTTAGGCAACATTTATTGAATATTAGGAAATAACTTTTATAAGATTAGAATCCATTTTTTATAGAAACCAAATTTAAAAGTATACATATTTTAATATAAGTGTTGTGGTAATACACTAACCAAAATTGAACACACAGTTTTAAAGCTTTTTATATTTAGTAGCAGTTGAATATATATGACATGTTTTACATAGATTAATTTTACTATTTTTCTTTATTTAAACAAGAGAACCAAATTGAAAGCTGACAGATACTGCAAATGACTGGGATTTTTGTTTCTGCCTTATCTTTTTGTGTTTTTTTCTGAATAAAATATTCAGAGGAAATGCTTTTACAGAGTTCTTGAGTTGTTGTGAACTTATTGTTTAGCTAGTAGCTAGTTTAACCAGGATTAAACAAGTTTAATCAGGATTCTTCATGGATGTACTTTTTAGCTAACTACAGTTTTTCACATGGAAATGAAACTTACAGTAAACACTTAACGTACCACAGAATTTTTTTCTGGATTTCTGGTCCTGAAGCATGAAGTGTACTAGAAACCAATTCTTCCTGCGCTACTTGTGGAATCTTTCTTACTGGATCATAATCTTACTTTACTTTATACAATAGATGCTTAATCAGTGCCTTTAATAGGAAGTTAGAAACTCCCAATCCAATCAACAAGGCTTTGATTCTACCTCCTAAGTACTACCCAGATCACAGACAATCCAAATATCAGAACTAGGGGGCTGGGCAGAGAGGACAAATCATCTATTAGGGAGTGGGACAGAAAGTGGAAACATTACAAAGGAGCAAGTAGGCTCAGAACAGAGGGGAGAGTAATACTGGGGAAACTCCCTACTGAGGACAGGTTTGCCACAGTGGATATGTATGTGATGCTTTTGTCCTCATGGGCTGGAATGGAAGCTGATAAAGAAGTTCAGACGCTACGTGTTGCTTAGGTCTGCTTTGTTGAAGCATGTCTCTTTCAGAGTTCCTAAACACAATATTCCCGTGGCATCTAATCCCAGTGAGTGCTCCAAATCCAGGCTGTGTATCAGATGCCACGGGAAATTCTGCCTCAGGACTGAGGTTGGTTCAAGCATCTGGATGATGTCAAAAGTCCACGTTGCGTGCTGGCCTAACCTGAAAGACCCTATCTAGTTCTAGCCTTTAAATTCCTTCTGTCACCAAATCTAGAGTTACATGGCATCTGTACAAGCTAGGTAGCTGAGGCATGGGATCAGCTCTATAAAGGAGCTTTTGGAGCTTTTGTTGTAGGTCTAGCTCCAACTTGGCACTCCAGTTCCAATAGCTGGACTTTCTCTCATCGTGTGTTCTGATCCTTGGATTGGGAACAAAGTAACCACTCTGATCTCACAAAGCAGTGGTTCCAGTTCCCAACTGGTGACTATTTTGCCTCCCAGGGGACATTTTCGTTTTCACAACTGGAATACGGTCTTAGAGAGTAGAGGCTAGGGATGCTGCGAAGCATGTGGCAGAATCCTGTTCCGCCCAGAATGCTAACAGTGCCAAGGTTATGGAGCCTTCCCACCCGAGGGCTTGGTCTATTCCTTGCTTTTGCCAGCTCCCTAACCCTTAAACACAACAGTTCAAATCTATATGCATAAGCATCTCCTAGGGACCTGCACGTTTCCAATATCGACTACTGAGACCCATCTGTAGAGATGCAGGCTTAGGAGGTCTAGGATTGGGCTCAAAATTTGCATTTTAACAAGTACTCCAGGTCATTCTGAAGCAAGTGATACAAACCACAGAATGAGGAACACCGCCTTCAAGAGACTGAATCTTGCTTCCCAACACTAGCTTGGTATCTGAGACCATCTGCCTGCTGACTGGCTTTCCTGGCACAAACATTCTGCATGTAGGCACAGTGTGTTCCTGGACTCCACGTCAACCCGTTCACCCTCATGTTCCCTTGGTTCCTGTCCCCAGTCCAGCAAGCAGAACTGATTATAGATCTTGACAACAGAAGATACAGATTTAAAATAACTTGCCTGTTCCCGTGGACTTTATCCACTAGTGAAGGAGGACAAGTGGACAAGGGGAGAGG